>NC_000002.12:102641133-102944163 GCF_000001405.40 Homo sapiens
GACCCTGTGCTCTAGTGGGTGCGACAGACTCTCAAATGGATTTGTGAACTCAGGATGGTGGGCAGTTTGTCAGGGGCCTCAGCAGGGTCATGAAGGAGAGAGAGCCACACAGAGCTCAGGCACAGTCCTGCCCAAACGCTCTGTAAACGTCTCAAATGAAAAGCATAGCTCTTTCCTCACCTCCTTTCCATATTGGGTGTTACTTCCCATGGCCTTATGGTAAATCCAAATTGTGGATGACAGGTCCCAGAACACATCACCCTTTCCCTCTTTTTGGATTTCATGCAGTGTCTCTTGTGGGCCACCTTTGTCCCCACTCTAGTGAGTTTTGCACGTGCCGTTCTGCTTGAGAAGACCCTCAGACCCTTCTTGGTTTTCAGAATTCCAACTCCTGTTCACTTCTCAGGTGAAAAATGATTTCCTTAAAAAGCCCCTCCCCCACAGGGAAGACAAGATCAGAGACCCTGCCATGTAATTGTGTTGAAACTTACACTTCCTGCTCCGTAACAAGCATGCTGTGTGTAATCACCTGCTCGACATCCTTCTTCCCTGTAAACTGTAAACTCCATGAGGACAGAAGTCATGTCTGTCTGGGATATTGCTGTGTCCTTAGTGCCTGACACATTTCATGATGGTGAGTGCTTAGAAATACCTGTAAGTTAGGACAGAAAACCAAACACTGCATGTTCTCACTCATAGATGGGAATTGAACAATGAGAATACTTGGACACAGGGTGGGGAACATCACACACCAGGGCCTGTCGGGGGGTGGGGGGCTGGGGGAGGGATAGCATTAGCAGAAATACCTAATGTAAACGATGAGTTGGTGGGTGCAGCAAACCAACATGGCACATGTATAGCTATGTAACAAACCTGCACGTTATGCACAAGTACCCTAGAACTTAAAATATAATAATAATAATAATAATAATAAAGAAATACTTGTGAGTTAATGAATGAAAAGATAAGCAGTAACATAAGTTATTTATCAATTTCTAGGAAGGAAGAATCCTTGTAATGATTTTCCCATAATGTACGTGGTTTCCACCTAATGATTTACAGGCTGTGCAAGCATTTCTTCAACATGCTGTCTCCAGCACCTCCTTGGAGTTTTAAAGATGAGCTGGCTACCTTTCTGTGTGGTTAAAATTGACATTTAGAACCAGTCAGGCTTTCTGAAGATGATCTTTGACAAGCTGAGGAAGTTCATTTCTATTCCTAATTTGCTGAGAATTTTAATCATGAATAGATGTTGAATTTCGTCACATACTTTTTCTGCATCAATTGATATAATCGTGTGGTTTTTTTTTTCTTTAGCCTATCGATACGATGGATTACACTGGTGAATTTTTGAATATTGAACCAGCCTTGCATCCCTGGAATAAACTTCACTTGATCCTGGTGCACAATTCTTTTTATATATTGCTGAATTATTTGCTGACATTTTTGCATCAATACTCCTTGCTAAAGGGTATTGGTCTGTTGTTTTCTTTTTGGTACTGCTCTTGTCTGGTTTGGTATCTGTCAGGGCAATATTAGCTTCATAAAATGAATTGAGAAGTGTTCCCTCCTCTTCTGTTTTTTGGAAGAAGTTGTATAGAATTGCTTTTATTTTGTAGAATTCACTAGAGAAACTATATGGACCTGGAGATTTTTTGGGGGAGGAGTTTTAAAATTACAACTTCAAATTTTAACTGTTTTTGCTAGTTGTAGGGCTATTCAGTTATTTTCTTCATATTGGTTGAGGGCTATTCATATTTTCTTCACCAACACAAACTGCAGTTGGTGTTTTTTGAGGAATTGGTTGTTGCAGTTGGTGTTTTTTGACGAACTGGTCCATTTCAGCTTAGATGTCATGTGTGTATATGGTTGCTCAAATATTCCCTTGTGAACTTTTTGATTTCTACAGGGTCTGTAGTGATTTCTACAGGGTCTGTAGTGATACAGTTTCATTCTCAAACTGATAATCTGTGGTTTCTGTCTTTTTGTCAGTCAGGGGTCAAAAGTGGGTTGCCTTGTGGCTGGACTATGGTGACGTCCATGTTCTCTGCGTTCTTTACGTCGTCCTTCCTGGCTCTACAGGGAGGGGAGTGCTCATTATCACCCAGCAGAGAAGAAAATCCCTCTTCTGCCCTTTTCCTTCTCTGACACCACCCCAATAGAAAAGCCAGGGTGTTCCTTACACTCTGGTGAGGATGGAATCTAAACAGCCCATTCAGACTTTGCTGCAGTTGGGGCCACCGTTTCTTCTGTGGTGTTTGGCTGGAGAGGAGCAGTTATTGTGTAAAACTTCTGTGCCTTGTGAGGTTGACTCTTCCCTATTCTCTTGTCTAGATAAAGCCGGCTATTGTTGGGGCTTTTGTTGCCTGTGCCCATTGGCATTTCTGGGCTGCCGGCTTCTTCAGCTCCAAGTCTGAGACATGAGAGACAAAAAGAAGACCCAGAGAACTGAATGCCATGGTCTGGGGGTCTCCAGCCAGCATTTCTTCTGCTATCTTTCAGAGTTATATTTGCTTTACATATAGTATCCAGGCTCTTTAGGTGTATAGAGTGGAATAAAGAAAAATGCATCTACTCCATCTTCCCAAAAACAGCAATCTGTTTTTTTCTGCTTTTTTCATCTTTTTTCATTTTTCACTTTTGTTTTTGTTAAAGAGATGGAGGTCTTACTATGTTTCCCAGGCTGGAGTGCAGTGATTATTCATAGGCGTGATCCCACTAATGATCAGCATGGGAGTTTTGACCTGTTGTATCTTTTTAAATTTTCATTTTCTTACTTTTTTTTTTTTGCACAGACATTTAAAACGATGAATTCAGGTATACCTGTCTCCTAACTTAACGGCCATTACTTTTGTCACTGATTATATCACTTCTAACCTAGTAAGAGAGATGATTACAGCAAAGAATTACTTTCTGTTGAAGATGGCCAAATAGGAACAGCTCCCAGCAAGTCCAATGCAGAAGGCGGGTGATATCTGCATTTCCAACTGAGGTACCCGGGTCATCTCATTGGGACTGGTTAGACAGTGGGTGCAGCCCATGGAAGGCAAGCAGAAGCAGGATAGGGCATCACCTCACCCAGGAAGTGCAAGGGGTCAGTGAACTCCCTCCCCTAGCCAAAGGACGCTGTGAGGGACTGTGCATTCTGGCCCAGATACTACACTTTTCCCTTGGTTTTTGCAACCCACAGACCAGGAGATTCCCTTGGGTGCCTACACAACCAGGGCCCTCGGTTTCAAGCACAAAACTAGGTGGCTGTTTGGGCAGACACTGAGCTAGCTGCAGGAGGCTCCCCCCCGCCCAGTGGCTCCTGGAATGCCAGCAAGAGAGAACTGTTCACTCCCCTGGAAAGGGGGCTGAAGCTAGGAAGCCAAGTGGTCTAGCTCAGCAGATCCCACTCCTATGGAGACCAGCAAGCTAAGATCCACTGGCTTGAAATTCTTGCTGCCAGCACAGGAGTCTAAAGTTGACCTGGGATACTCGAGCTTGGTGCAGGGAGGGGTACCTGCCATTACTGAGGGTTGAGCAGGTGGTTTTCCCCTTACAGTGTTAACTCTGACTGTGCAGAACTCATGGCAGTGTGGCAAAGTGCCTGAGGACAGGCTGCCTTTCTAGATTCCTCCTCACTAGGCAAGGCATCTCTGAAAGAAAGGCAGCAGCCCCTGTCAAGGGCTTATAGATAAAACTCCCAACTCCCTGGGACAGAGCACCCGCGAGAAGGGGCAGCTGCAGGCATAGCTTCAGCAGACTTAAACCTTCCTGCCTGCCAGCGCTGAAGAGAGCAGCAGATCTCCCAGCACAGTGCTCAGCTCTGCAAAGGGACAGACTGCCTCCTCAAGTGAGTCCCTGACCCCCGTGGCTCCTGACTGGGAGACACCTCCCAGCAGGGGTCGACAGACACCTCATACAGGGGAGCTCTGGCTGACATCAGGTGGCTGCCCCTCTGGGACAAAGCTTCCAGAGGAAGGAGCAGGCACCAATCTTTGCTGTTCTGCAGCCTCCGCTGGTAATGCCCAGGCAAACAGGGTCTGGAGTGGACCTCCAGCAAACTCCAACAGACCTGCAGCAGAGGGACCTGACTGTTAGAAGGAAAACTAACAAACAGAAAACAATAACGTCAACATCAACAAAAAGGATGCCCACAGAAAAACCCCATCCAAAGGCTATCAGCATCAAAGATCAAAGGTAGATAAATCCACAAAGACGAAAAAAAACCAGTGCAGAAGGGCTGAATATTCCAAAAACCAGAATGCCTCTTCTCCTCCAAATGATAACAACTCCTCTCCAGCAAGGGCACAAAACTGGATGGAGGATGAGTTTGACAAATTGACAGAAGTAGGCTTCAGAAGGTAGGTAATAACAAACTCCTCTGAGCTAAAGGAGCATGTTCTAACCCAATGCAAGGAAGCTAAGAGCCTTGATAAAAGGTTATAGGAGCTGCCAACTAGAATAACCAGTTTAAAGAAGAACATAAATGACCTGATGGAGCTGAAAATCACAGCATGAGAACTTCATGAAGCATACACAAGTGTCAATAGCCGAATTAATCAAGCGGAAGAAAGGATATCAGAGATTGGAGATCAACTTAATGAAATAAAGCCTAAAGACAAGATTAGAGAAAAAAGAATGAAAAGGAGTGAACAAAGCTTCCAAGAAATATGGGACTATGTGAAAAGACCAAACCTATGATTGATTGGTGTGCCTGAAAGTGACAGGGAGAATGTAATCAAGGTGGAAAACACCCTTCATGGTATTATTCAGGAGAACTTCCCCAACCTAGCAAGACAGGCCAGCATTCAAATTCAGGAAACACAGAGAACACAACTAAGATACTCCTCAAGAAGAGCAACCACAAGACACATAATCATCAGATTCACCAAGGTTGAAATGAAAGAAAAAATATTAAGGGCAGCCAGAGAGAAAGATCAGGTTACCTACAAAGGGAAGCCCATCAGACTAACAGTAGATCTCCCTGCAAAAACTCTACAAGCCAGAAGAGTGGGGACCGAGATTTAACATTCTTAAAGAAAAGAATTTTCCAACCCAGAATTTCATATCCAGCCAAACTAAGCTTCATAAGCGAAGGAGAAATAAAATCCTTTATAGACAAGCAAATGCTGAGATATTTTGTCACCACCAGCCCTGCCTTACAAGAGCTCCTGAAGGAAGCACTAAATATGGAAAGGAAAAACCAGTACAGGCCACTGCAAAAACATACCAAAATAAAAAGACCAATGATACTGTAAAGAAACTGCATCAACTAATGTGCAAAATAAACAACTAGCATCATGATGACAGGATCAAATTCACACATAACAACATTAGACTTAAATATAAATGGGCTAAATGCCCCAATTAAAAGACACAGACTGGAAAATTGGATAAAGAGCCAAGACCCATCAGTGTGCTGTATTCAGGAGACCCATCTGATGTGCAAAGACACACACAGGCTCAAAATAAAGGGATGGAGGAATATTTACAAAGCAAATGGAAAACAAACAAACAAAAAAAGCAGGGGTTGCAATCCTAGTCTCTGATAAAACAGACTTTAAACCAACAAAGATCAAAAAAGACAAAGAAGAGCATTACATAATGGTAAAAGGATCAATGCAGCAAGAAGAGCTAACGATCCTAAATATATATATATATATATATATCTCCAATACAGGAGCACCCAGATTCATAAAGCAAGTTCTTAGAGACCTACAAAGAGACTTAGACTCCCATACAATAATAGTGGGAAACTTTAATACTGTATATTAGACAGATCAACAAGACAGAAAATTAACAAGGATAGTCAGGACTTGAACTCAGCTCTGGGCAAAGCAGACCTAATAGATATGGAACTCTCCACCCCAAATCAACAGAATTGTACATTCTTCTCAGTACCACATAGCACTTATTCTAAAATTGACCACCAAATTGGAAGTAAAACACTCCTCAGCAAATGCAAAAGAATGGAAATCATAGCAATCCATTTCTCAGACCACACTGCAATCAAATTATAACTCAGGATTAAGAAACTCACTCAAAACCACAGAACTACATGGAAACTGAACAACTTGCTCCCAAATGACTGCTGTGTAAAAAACTGAACAACTTGCTCCCGGATGACTACTGGGTAAATAAATTAAGGCAGAAATAAATAAGTTCTTTGAAACCAATGAGAATAAAGACACAAGGTACCAGAATCTCTGGGACACAGTAAAGCAGCATTA
Source organism: Homo sapiens (assembly GCF_000001405.40). Taxonomy (NCBI): domain Eukaryota; kingdom Metazoa; phylum Chordata; class Mammalia; order Primates; family Hominidae; genus Homo; species Homo sapiens. The sequence goes on from NC_000002.12 coordinate 102,647,352, forward strand.
AGAGGGAAATTTGTAGCACTAAATGCCCACATCAGAAAGTGAGAAATATTTAAAATTGGTACCCTAACATCACAATTAAAATAACTGGAGAAGCAAGAGCAAACAAATTCAAAAGCTAGCAGAAGACAAGAAATAACTAATATCAGAGCAGAACTGAAGGAGATAGGGACACCAAAAACCCTTCAAAAAAGTCAGTGAATCCAGAAACTGGTTTTTTGAAAAGATTAACAAAATAGGCCACTAGCCAGACTAACAAAGAAGAAAAGAGAGAAGAATCAAATAGACACAATAAAAAAAATAAAGGGAATATCACCACTGATCCCACAGAAATACAAAATACCATCAGAGAACACTATAAACACCTCTATGCAAATAAACTAGAAAATCTAGAAGAAATGGATAAATTCCTGTTCACATACACCCTCCCAAGACTAAACCTGGAAGAAGTCAAACCCCTAAGCAGACCAAAAACAAGTTCTGAAATTGAGGCAGTAATTAATAGCCTACCAACAAAAAAAAGCCCAGGACCAGTCGGATTCACAGCCAAACTCTATCAGAGGTACAAAGAGGAGCTGGTACCATTCCTTCTGAAATTATTCCAAACAATAGAAAAAGAAGGACTCTTCCATAACTCATTTTATGAGGCCAGCATCACTCTGATACCAAAACCTGGCAGAGACACAACAAAAAAAGAAAATTTCAGGTCAATATCCCTGATGAACACTGATGCAAAAATCCTCAATAAAATACTTGCAAACTGAATCCAGCAGCACACCAAAAAGCTTATCCACCACAATCAAGTTGGCTTCATCCCTGGGATGCAAGGCTGGTTCAACATACACAAGTCAATAAACATAATCCATCATATAAACAGAACCAATGACAAAAACCACATGATTATCTAAATAGATGCAGAAAAGGCCTTCAATAAAATTCAACACCCCTTCATGCCAAAAACCCTCAATAAACGAGGTATTGATGGAACATATTTCAAAATAATAAGAGCTATTTATGACAAACCCATAGCCAATATCATACTGAAAGGGTCAAAATCTAGAAGCATTCCCTTTGAAAACCGGCACAAGACAAGGATGCCCTCTCTCGCCACTCCCATTCAACATAGAATTGGAAGTTCTGGCCAGGGCAATCAGGCAAGAGAAAGAAATAAAGGGTATTCAAATAGGAAAAGAGGAACTCAAATTGTCTCTGTTTGCAGATGACATGATTGTATATTTTGAAATCCCCATCCCCTCAACCCAAAAACTCCTAATAAGCAACTTCAGCAAAGTCTCAGGATACAAAATCAATGTCCAAAAATCACAAATATTCCTATACACCAATAATAGACAGAGAGCCAAATCATGAGTGAACTCCCATTCACAATTGCTACAAAGAAAATAAAATATCTAGGAATACAACTTACAAAGGACACGAAGGACCTCTTCAAGATAACTACAGACCACTGCTCAAGGAAATAAGAGAGGACACAAATAAATGGAAAAACATTCCATGCTCATGGATAGGAAGAATCAATATCATGAAAATGTCTATACTGCCCAAAGTAATTTATAGATTCAATGCTATCCCCATCAAGCTACCATTGACTTTCTTCAGAGAACTGAAAAAGACTACTTTAAATTTCATATGGAAACAAAAAAAGACAAGACAATCCTAAGCAAAAAGAACAAAGCTGGAGGCATTATGCTACCTGACTTCAAACTATACTACAAGGCTACAGTGACCAAAACAGCATGGTACTGATACCAAAATAGGTATATAAACCAATGGAACAGAACAGAGGCCTCAGAAATAACACCACACATCTACAACCATCTGATCTTCGACAACCCTGACAAAAACAAGTAATGGGGAAATGATTCCCTATTTAATAAACGGTGCTGGGAAAACTGGCTAGCCATATGTAGAAAACTGAAACTGGACCCCTTTCTTACACCTTATATAAAAATTAACTCAAGATGGATTAAAGGCTTAAGTGTAAAACCTAAAACCATAAAAACTCTAGAAGAAAACCGAGGCAATACCATTCAGGACATAGGCATGGGCAGAACCTTAATGACTAAAACACCAAAAGCAATTGTAACAAAAGCCAAAATTGACAAATGGAATCTAATTAAACCAAAGAGCTTCTGCACAGCAAAAATTATCATCAGAGTGAAGAGGCAACCTACAGAATGGGAGAAAATTTTTGCAGTCTCTCCATCTGACAAAGGTCTATTATCCAGAATCTATAAGGAACTTAAACAAATTTACAAGAAAAAAACAAACAACCCCATCAAAAAGTGGGCAAAGGATATCAACAGATGCTTCTCAAAAGAAGACATTTATGTGGCCAACAAACATGAAAAAAAGCTCATCATCACTAGTCATTAGAGAAATGCAAATCAAAACCCCGAGATACCATCTCACACCAGTTAGAATGGTGATCATTAAAAAGTTAGGAAACAATAGATGCTGGAAAGGATGTGGAGAAATAGGAAAGCTTTTACACTGTCAGTGGGAGTGTAAATTAGTTCAACCATTATGGAAGACAGTGTGGTGATTCCTCAAGGATCTAGAACCAGAATTACCATTTGACCCAGCAATCCCATTACTGGGTATACACCCAAAGGATTACAAATCATTGTACTATAAAGACACATGCACACGTGTGTTTCTTGCATGCAGCGCTATTCACAATAGCAAAGACTTCCAACCAACCAAAATGCCCATCAACGAGACTGGATAAAGAAAATGTGGCACATATACACCATGGAATACTATGCAGCCATAAAAAAGAATGAGTTCATGTCCTTTGCAGGGACATGGATGAAGCCGGAAACCATCATTCTCAGCAAACTAACACAGGAACAGAAAACCAAACACTGCATGTTTTTGTTCATAAGTGGGAGTTGAACAATGAGAACATATAGACACAGAGAGGGCCTTGAACATTATACACTGGGGCCTGTTGGTGGGGTGGGGGGCAAGAGGAGGGAGAGCATTAGGACAAATACCTAATGGAAGTGGGGCTTAAAACCTAGATGATGGGTTGATGGGTGCAGCAAACCACAATGGTACATGTATACCTATGTAACAAACCTGCACCTTCTGCACATGTATCCCGGAAATTAAAGTAAAATAAAAAATAATTAAAAAAGAATTATTTTCTGTTTTTTAGATTATTTTTGTTTAATGTTAAACTCTTTGACCTTCATGGAATTTTCCACAGTTGTGGAAGTTAAAAAGAAACCTGTAGGTATGTGTTTGCTATTTCTATCTGCCTTTTCTGATAACACTGGTTAAATTATGCTTTCTTTCCTTATTGTTGTACAGCTTCTTACTTTATATGACATTCATGTACCTCCGTACATCATTGTGTGAATTTACTATTTCATCCCTGAGATACATTATGGGGTTAATAAGAACATATGGCGATGTGTTTAGCAGTGGTGTGGGGGAGTGTGGCATCATACTCTGAGAAGTGATGGCTCTTCTCTAGTGCTCCCTAGAAATCGTCTGCCACTTCTTCTAGCTAAATCATGCTATCAATTTGTTAAGCTCCATGGTATGTTTTAAGGATTTCTGATTGGCGTTTACCATCTTGAGTTTCTCTCCTAAAATTTTCTGCCTTCCTATTGCTTTCCATCTCAGTAAATAATCCCATTCTACACATTTGTTTGAACCTCAAACTATGGATTCATCCCTGATCATCTGTCTCACATCCTTTATCCAGGTCAGCAGCACATTCTGTTGGAGCACCTGTTACAATATGCCCCCCATCCCCCTCCTGCCCTACTCACCACCACTTTAATGGTTGGAAGCCACTCTCAGCCCTCTCCTGGATTGCTGAAAAAGACTCCTCACTGGCCTGCCTGCTTCTGTTTTTCAAAGGCAGCAGTGTTTTCAACGGTGGGGACCTGGTCATGACATTCCTCTGCTCAAAAGCCTCTCAGGAAATAACCAACTTCTGTCCCAGGGCCACAGGCTCTGCAGGCTCTAGCATTTTTCTGTCCCTCTGTCCTCATTTCTTACCTTGTTCTGCTTCATTCTCCCAGCTCCAGCCAGAGTAGCCTCTTTGCTCAAGGTGCTCCCAACTCAGGGCTTGTCCCCTTATTCTTTTCTTCCCTGCTCTGGAAAGTTCTTTCACTATTCAGGGCTTCACTTCATTCAGGGCTTTGTTCAGGTGTCACTCACCAATGAGGCTTCCCTGAGCACATTGATACAAAATATCCATCAAGAGGATTCTCCCATCAATCAAAAGGATTCTCTCACTGCTCTCTGCTTTTGTCTGCAGTGCTCATCACTGCGTGCTACTGTGTCTTTATTGGCTGACTGACTTATTTTCTATTTCCCACACTAGCCTGCAGCTCTCCAGTGCAGAGGTTTTGTTTAACACATTGCTACACCCCAGCACCTGAGGTCTCAATAAATGCATAATGAATGACAAAAATGATTGAATGAGGTTGATAATTTTTATGGCTTCCCCTTTTTCTCGATCATATATAATGCCTCAATATTCTTGATGTATAAAGGTTTGCTTGAATTTTCTAATATTATGTGCTATCTGCAAAAGATAAGGGTTTTTGTTGTTGTTGTTGTTGTTGTTATATGTAGGAGTTCTTTTTTATTGCTAAAGAGTCACATTCTGTCATTCGTCTCTTCTTGTTCTGGCTGGCTTTTTCCAGACTCTATGGGATCAAACATGGATCCATTTGAAAGTTGGGCTGTTCCTAAATGTTTTAGTCAACATTTTAAAAGAAAGTGTTGACTAAAGAAAACATACTTATTTTCACTAGTGGTTAATCACATCTGTTTGGTTTAACTTATTGGGCAGCCTTGATCTGCTTTTACCCAAATCCAATCTCTGGTTCTTTTGTTTCTTGGGAGGGACTTCTCCCTGTCACTCCATGGGCAGAAGACAGTGTGGTTCTGAGGTTTCTTCACTAGCTCCCACATGCTCAGAGAACAGAGGCAGCTCTTCAGAGATACAGCTTCTTCCTGTTGGCTTAGCCCTCCCCTCTGCTCCCCTGCAGCCCAAGCACCTCGTAACCAGGCCAGTCATGCACCTCTTTCCCATGGCGCCCAGCCTTTCCTCAAACCTGTGCTTGGCTTCCTTCTCCTTGGAATAGGAAAATCCACATCCAGCAATCTTAATGCCACCTCCTCCATGAAGTCTTCTTGAGTCTCTGCTTCTGAATGAACCCTCACACCCCCACTTCTCATCTCCTTTTTAATAGCATTTATCACTTTCCATCTTGCGTTATAATGATTTGTGCCCTTGTCTTATCTTCTGTGCCAACAAGCTGAAAATATTACTATCTGGTCCTTAACAGAAAAGTCTTGGCCAACCACTGGACTACACAGTAGGTCATACTTGCAGTAGCTCGTGGACAGCCTTGTAAAAGCCATCCAAAAATTCCTTTGCTTTTTTTCCCCCAATAACTGATATATTTGTCAATGACTGATACATTTTTTCCCAATAACTGATATATTTCTTGATAATATCAGGTAGGATGATGATTCCAAGAAAGCAAATTTTCTCTATTCAAGTTCATTTCTTCTTCAAGAAATACTTGGGGGAGGAAAAGCCATAAATGCATGCACATTTGTAATGTTTTATTTATTTTATTCTGTGAACAATGAAATTTAAGAAGCCTTCTTTTGTTTGTTGTCACTAATTACTTAGCTGATGAGTTTTACTTTGGTAGTTCATAAAAGCACAGACACCTGCCCAGAAAATCTTTTATGCCATCAGAGGGCATGTTACACAACACAGTTTCTCTGCTTATGTTCACCAAAAAGCACTGAACTAAGATCTTGTGTGACAGCCCTTCATTTAATTTCTTCTTGCCAATGAAACAATTTGGCAAACTCAGTAACTGCTGTCCTACTTTAAGAAAGGGTCATTCAGGCCAATTCTGAATGACCTGAGTACTCATAAAAGAAAGGAGTACAGATTTGAAAACATGAAACCATCTTATTTTTTTCAACAAGCATCCCTGGGTTTGTTGCTGTTCCTCTCTGATTTTGTTACCCCTGGATTTTCCTCTGCCTCACTTCCTCCATGCCTCCTTTGGCATGATGTTCTGGTCGGTCTTCATTCTAACTGCATCCTGCATTTATTTTGCCATGTTTTATTTGCTGCTTCTTGGTTGTTTCTGCTTGCCCGAGTTTCTGGTCAGGATCAGTCTCATTGCCTGAGCATGGCAGGTGCATTGGCCTCTGTAATGCATTTCAGCAGTTTCTGTTCCTTCCTTTCTCTCTTTTCCCTGGTTTCCATTCTCCAACCTTAGGAATGAGAATGTCCTTTTGATACAACAAGAAGAGCAGCACCCCATGTGAAAGCATGGGTCTCTGAGGCTGCTGGGTCAGTGAAAGGAAAGAAAAAGGTGAAAGAGGAAATGGGAGTCTCCAAAACCAGTCCTCATCCATTTTCCTGTTTGTCTCCATGGATCCTATGGCTTCTGTGCATTTCTTTAAAACTGTTTTCTCTTGCCTTCTTACATATAGGAGGGGAAGGCAACTAAAATGTGGAGGCATTTGTGATGTTAGAGGCACAGTGGTAAGTACTGTGCAGTTGACTGCCTGGTTATAGGTACAGTTCTTTACCCAGCAGGTGCATTTGTGTCTGTTTCACAGATGAGTAGGTGGGGCCTGGGCATGTTAGGAACCTTTCCACAATCACAGGCAGAGAGCGGGAGGGCTGGGTTTCAAGTAAGGGGGCAGTCCTCCGATGGCATGCTGCAGGCCCATGGCAGAAACCCCCAGATTGCTACCGCGTTAAGGAAAGGAAGTGATTGCATTTGGATATTAGGGGACTGGCGATGCTGCTGTTGGCTGACTCTTTTTTTTTTTTTTTTTTTTTTTGAGACGGAGTCTCACTCTGGCTGACTCTTATCACACACTAGCAGGTGCACATAGAAGCAAGAGTCAGCTTGGGGGAACAGAGACATGGTTTTCAGGGAACTTTTTTTATTTCCTCATTTATCAGTGAGGTCAGTGGGCTTGCCAGAGGTCATAGGTAAAGAGCAGCTGCACCCATTGAATACATTTAGTCCCCACAAATTATTGGAGCCTTTTGTAGTATAAATATTAAAATAAAGCTAGATTTGAATGCTCAACATACAGATGATCACTTTATTATTTAACAGTTCTTTAAACCTTTTCAAATTTTTACAGTTATATTGCTTTGGCTCACAAAATGTTTAGTGCTATGGGTTTAGTCCTGTTTGTAAGCTCTTAAGGATTTACTTACTAAAACTTCTGTGACTGTAAGTATCTAAGGACTTATTCTATCACTTTAATAGTCATTTATCACTTAACAAAGGGGATACGTTCTGCAAAACGCATCATTAGGCGATTTTGTCATTGTGTGACATCATAGGGCGTGCTTACACAAACCTAGGTGGTACAGCTTACCACACACCTAGGCTATATGGTGTTGTCTACCAGCCTATCGCTCCTAGTCTACAAACCTGTGCAGCATGTTACTGTACTGAATACTGTAGGTATTTGTAACACAACAACGATTATTTATGTATTTAAACATATCTAGACATAGAAAAGGCATCATAAAAATGTAGTATAAAGGATTAAAAGTGGTATACCTGTATAAGGCACTTACTATAATGGAGTTTGCAGGACTGGAGATTGCTCTGGGTGAGTCAGTGAGTGAGTGGTGAGTGAATGTGAAGTCCTAGACATTAGTGTACACTACTGTAGACTTCATAAACACTGTACATTAGTCTATGCTAAATTTATTTAAAAATGGTTTTTTTGTAATAACACTTAGCTTGAAACACAAACACATTGTACAGTACAGCAACACAAAAATGTTTTCTTTCTTTATACCCTTATTCTTTTTTTTTTTTTTTTGAGTTCAACTTCCATCTCCTGGATTCAAGTGATTCTCCTGCCTCAGTCTCCCAAGTAGCTGGGATTACAGGCACCCGCCACCACACCCAGCTAATTTTTTTATTTTTACTAGAGATGGGATTTCACCATGTTGGCCAAGCTGGTCTCAAACTTCTGACCTCAGATGATCCACCTGCCTCGGCCTCCCAAAATGCTGGGATTACAGGTGTGAGTCACCACGCCTGGCCTATACCCTTATTCTGTAAGCTTTGTAAATTAAAAAATAGTTTGTTGATATTTAAACTTTTTTGTTTAAAAACAAGACATAAACATACACATCGGCCTAAGTCTACACAGGGTCAGGATCATAAAGGTGTCACTAGGCAACAGGAATTTTTCAGCTCCATGATAATTTTATGGAACCACCATCATATATGTGGTCAATTGTTCACTGAAACATTGAATGTGGTACATGACTGTATTATCTTTCTATAATTCAGATAAATTTCTGTCCTACTCTGTTCCTGTTGCTATATAACAGAAGACCACAACTGGATAATTTATAAATAACATTTATGTTTTCACAGTTCCAGAGGCTGGGCAGTCTAAGCTCAGGGCACTGGCATTTGGTGTCTGGTGAGTGCCTTCTTGTTTCAGCCTCACATGGCAGAAGGCAGAGGGCATGTGAGAGCAGAAGAGCAAACCAGCCAGCAAGGCTGTGAGAAGCCTCTGTTGTGAGGGCCTTCATCCCACCAATGAGGAAGGAGCCCTCATGGCCTAATCACCCCTTAAAGGCTCCATCCACCTCTTACAGCTATCACGTTGGCAACACCTAAGTTTTAGAGGGGGGACAGCCAAAGCGTAGCATTCTCATATTCTGCTTTAGTTCTAAAACGTATTGAATGCCTGAAGGATGATTGCTGTTGTCTTGCAAATAAGTGCGCTCCAAACTTAAGCTCTGTCCAGTGACCTTCGTGTGTTAAGTCACTTTCCACGTTGCCTCCATGTGCTGGCCCAACCCACATCTCTCTCCTCTTTCCCTACAGGCCTCCTCCTAACATGTTCTCTGTTTTAAAGCCACATGGGCTCTACCATGAATTAAGAGATGGATATTTCCCACCATTTTTCCATTTACTAGAGAAGCCCCTTTATGGCTCTGTTTAATGCCTATCTTTTAAGCCCTGCCCACATATTGCCCTACTCTGGGTCTTCCTAAGCAGACTTCCTCTTCCTCTGTTTCCATAGCACTTGGCTGGGGCTTGACCACACTTTGCCTTGTATTAGAGTAAGTCGTAAATACATTTTGGGAACTTGATTGGGAACTATGTGAGATTAGAGATCATGGCATGTTTATATCCCTCATAGAGTAGTTTCTTGAGGCATCCTGACGAATTGATTGGGTTGTCTCTGAAGGAGCAAACGTCTCAAATATTAAACCTATTCAGTGTTCCAAATGCAAGAATCAGACGTTAAAAATAAATAAATTGCCAATGTTTCTGAATGCCACAGATGAGAGTAGTAATCTAAAAATGGGCTGTGACCCAACCACCTTGGTAATAAGACCCTGGATCTCTTTCAGCTTCAATTCCCGCTTAAATTTTTACAAAGCATGAAAATAACTGCCTTGCCTACTCATTAGGGTTTTTATGAGGATGAAATGAGATGTTACATCTGAAAGTGTTTTAGAAATCACTGAATTGTTTCAAATATAAAATTGCACCGGGTGCAGTTACTCATGTGTGTAATCCCAGAACTTTGAGAGGCCGAGGTGGGCGGATCACCTGAGGTCAGAAGTTCGAGACCAGCCTGGCCAACATGGCAAAACCCCGTCTCTATTAAGAATGCAAAAATTAGCCAGGCATGGTGGTGCGTGCCTATAATCCCAGCTATTCGGGAGGCTGAGGCAGGGAGAATTGCTTGAACCCGGGAGGCAGAGGTTGCAGTGAGCCGAGATTATGCCACTGTACTCCAGCCCAGGTGACAGAGCAAGACTCCATCTCAAAAAAAAAAATAATAATAATAATAATAAAATTGTGTTATTCCATTTCCACAGTTCCAGCCCTGAAGAAAATCTCAACGGGGATTTAGAAAAAATAAAATCTGTACAATGTAGATAATGTGTACCTATAGCACTCCAATTTTAATGTAACATTAATTTTTTGTCTACATGTGCTTCATGAATAGTTTTAAGGGAAACCTCTGGTTTGCACTGTAATCTGGGAAGCCATTGTAAAGACAGTGATACTGACTTGGGAGATGGTGAAACAGGACCCACTGGTTCTATCAAAGGGAACCAATTTCCTGTCTCCCAAATTCCTCCATAACCCAAGTTGTGTGTTTTTATTTTTTCCTTACCAGGCTTCCATCTGTATCACAAGTTGCCCACAATAGTGCCTGAGAGCTGCCTTCTTATAATGGTTGGACTTCTACTAGGTGGGATTATTTTTGGTGTTGATGAGAAGTCTCCCCCTGCAATGAAGACTGATGTATTTTTCTTGTACCTCCTCCCACCCATCGTGCTGGATGCCGGCTATTTCATGCCCACTCGCCCATTCTTTGAGAACATTGGCACGATTTTCTGGTATGCTGTGGTAGGGACACTTTGGAATTCCATTGGCATTGGGGTGTCTTTGTTTGGTATCTGCCAGATCGAAGCATTCGGCCTCAGCGACATCACTTTGCTCCAGAACCTGCTCTTTGGCAGCTTAATCTCAGCTGTCGATCCTGTGGCTGTGCTTGCTGTCTTTGAGAACATTCACGTCAATGAGCAGCTCTACATCCTGGTCTTTGGAGAGTCCCTGCTGAATGATGCAGTAACAGTGGTGAGTCACATTCACACTGCATGACTCCAACAGGTGGGGGCTGCCCAGCCACCTGCAGTGGCTCTCTGCACCTCAACTGGCAGGGGCGAGACCCTGCACACAGGGTGGTTTCATGAGCAATTGCCCAGGGCCCTTCACTTGGTTTAATGCTCTGACATCACTGTCTTATAATTCTTAATACTTTTAAACTTATTATTTATAATTTATTTATTATCATAAAACTGTCTCCTCATTTTCATTTTGCACGGGGCCCCACAAAATATGTAGCTGGTCTGTGCTGACAAGGCCCTGTTCATGCCAGAGGAACATATGATTTTGGCCTTTGCAACTCTGATGATTTATCATTTTGGCATTTTCAAAAATGATGGTCTTCGATCATAACTTAAAAGCCTTCAGATCCCAGAGTTCTTTGTGAGAAGTAATACTGTCAGTATCCAATGTATATAACACAGGTGAAATGATAATACCTGCTAAGTGCCATTCTCTATCTGGGGATGCTTTAGTTATCATGTTAATGATTTTACGGAAAGTTTTTGTCACACGCTCACTGCTCACTTTCTGTTACTACTCAACCAGCACATTTCTGGCCCTCATCACCTTCTCATAAATGAGTGTTTATTCAGAAGGCACAAATTATTTGTAATCCTCTCTTAGATTACATATAATTAGAGTCAGGGGCTGTTATGATCTTAAGGTTAGCAGAATTTACTTCTACCCTGCCTTCTGAACACAGGCAAGGATTGAGAGAAGGGATGAGAAAGCCTCTCCTTTTACCCACATACCTCCAAAGAGCTCTGTGTCCACCAGTTAAAGACACTCAAGTGATGCTCAATTGATAAATCAGTTAGGGAGCACTGATGATGCTGTTTTCTGTTAGCCACAGCTCGGTAGTAGTAAAGGTGACAGTAATGATAGCCACTAACTTGTGAATGCTCACTTTGTGCTCAGGTCTCTATAACAAATTATGAAACAGGCATTCCTCCCATTATTCAGATAAGAAAAGCGAGGCAGAAAAAGACTGTGTTTAAAGGACTTAATTTTTAATTCCCTCTCCATTTGCTCTTATCATTAAAATGCCATTCCTGACTCATTTAAAAGTCTACATAGTAGGCCGGGTGCAGAGGCTCATGCCTATAATTCTGGGAGGCTCATGCCTTTGGGAGGCTGAGGCAGGTGGATCACTTGAAGGTCAGGAGCTCGAGACAAGCCTGACCGACATGGTGAAACCCTGTCTCTACTAAAAATACAAAAAAAAAAAAAAAAATTAGCTGGGCATGGTGGTGAGCGCCTGTTATCCCAGCTACTTGGGAGGCTGAAGTGAGAGGATCGCTTGGGCCAGTGAGGCGGAGGTTGCAATGAGCCAAGATCATACCACTGCATTCCAGCCTGAGCAACAGAGTGAGACTCCATCTCAATAATAATAATAATAATAAAATAAAAGTCTACATAGAAACCGATTTATTCTCTGTTAGCTTGTATTCTACTGCAAAAGCAAATCCTCAGAATGAATAAAATGTCATCTCTAAGGACATCCATTAACTTCATGTGAACATTATTGTATAGAAGATAATTTATTGATCACAATTTGTAGTATAGATATTTTAAGACAGCTAAGTTACCTCACTTAAGTAACAAAATCCGCTTCATATATTCCATTATTCATGAACTGAGTAGTCATTAACTTAGCAATATTAAATTTTAACTGGGAAACTGCCATAATAGTAGAGACATTTTATAACTCATTCTAATTTCCAGAGGCAGAAGGCATGAAGTTTTCCATTCTGACTTATGCTCGATACGTAAATTTTACCCTGTCGAGGGAGACTGAGGACCTTTGAATGGGAATTCCTGGAGTAAGTCTATTTAGTGCAAAGGGAACTTTACAAAGAAATAAAAGCTCCTGTTGCAGTCCTTCTAGGGCAGCTCAGTAGAGTCAAATTCATTTCAGAATGACACACCAGGCCTCCACACTGCTTTCCCACCTCTGATCAAATTTTTATTCAGACATCTCCGTGGTCCATTCTTTGAGTTTGTCCCAAATCAGATCTCAGGATAGGGTCTGGCTAAGTCACTGTTTAGAGTATGCAAAGGTAGCAGGCCATCCAGACACACACCCTGTGCTTCCTCTCAGGAGGCACAGAGGCACAACTGTGGTTTTATGGAAAGAAAGGGAGGGCTGACCCAGGGAAGGCAGGCGGCCAAAGTGAGAGCTTGTCACTCTACTCAGAAGAAGGGCACAGACAGAGCAAGGCCCTGGCTGGTGCTTTGAGGTGGAAGCTCTTATCAAGGAATGGCCAGAGCCTGTCAGTCAGAACCACTGTCGTGGTTTCATATCTAAGAGCCTCCCTTGGTAACTTACTTGCCCTGGCTGAGAGTCCATGGACTCTCAAAGCCAGACCCACAAGATATCAGGGCATGCCCACAGGTTTGCCAAAGAATAAACTACTAGACGTTTCTCTCGCTGAATTGTCTGAGTACTGTACTGAATTGAGCGTGTGTTAAGAATAATTAGAACAATGGTGTCAAAAATTCTAATTTTATCTCCTAGTCAGGTACCTTCAAAGAATAGAGGTGGAGATGTTTTGTGGAAGATTCTTTGATTCATTCATTCAGGCTTATCTGTAGGAGAGGTTAAAGGAACTCATGGACTTTGGAAAGGTATTAAAAATATGGGCCATGATGCATACAGCAAAAACTGTGAGTCACTAGGAGTTGCAAATAGAAGAATAGGGGTTAGTTTAAGGAACTCACGGACTTTGGAAAGGTATTAAAAATACGGACCATGATGCATACGGCAAAAACGATGAGTCACTAGGAGTTGCAGATAGAAGAATAGAGGTTAATCGGAGAAAATTCATTGTCACAGTATATAATCTCGAGGATGGGTAACATGGTAGGTTAGTGCCATTAACTCCTTTCCCAAATTATGATAAATTCAACATTGAGCTAGAAAAGCTGAAGCGAAGAAAACTTAGCATGAAAATGTCTCAAAGCAAAAGAAATGCAGATCAAACACTTCATGCTATTGTACAGGGCTGTAGTAGATTAGAAGTAACTAGAGACATGACAATTGAAAAAAATAAACGTGTGATTTTTAAATAGGATTGTGGTGTTTTCCGTTAGAATAAATGTTGCATGAAAACTTTCCAAAATTTCCCTATTAGGCAAAGATTTTTCAGATGATTTCTAGAACATGTTAATGCAGCCACTGAATATTCTAATAAATTTTCCGAGAAGACTTAAAGAGTTTCCTCCATCTGCTCATAACCGGGCTTGGTTAAGGAGAGCTGGCTCTGTAGAGAGAAGCCAGTAATGGACCCCAGAGGCCCAGTCACTGTGTGCTGTGGAGTGGAAAGTAACTTTAGGAAGATGGAGGGTAAGCAGTGACCACTTGGATCTTAATTTTGATTTTGCAAACAGCAGAATAGTTCTAAAATTTCATATGCAAAATGATTATCCTGTATGTTTCATACAGGAAGAAATTACCTGAACATTTTTTTTTCTGAGACAGAGCCATTCTGATAGACGACTGTATTTGTATAATTTGCACCCTTGCTTTATATGATTTCACAGAATTAGTGTGCTTTTAAAATCAAAGTTCAAAGTTCCTAACTCCTAATGTTAATATATATATGTTTGCAATTTAAAAATATCATTAAGCAGTATAGCTTTGATTATTTGAAAGATTTCAAAGCTGTCAAATTAGCCCATGACAGAATTTAGTACATAGGTATCACTGACATTTTAATCTAAGGATAAAGTGTCAAGGGGAGACCAACTTTGCACCGACTCACTAGAGTCATTTGTAGCCCACATACATAATATATACACATAACACATATACCTATGTAAATTAAAATTCTAAAACACTTCTCGGCATAGATTCCCTCATAATACAATTAAAGGATTTAACTGGAATGAACTAAGTATGTGGTTTCGGCCAGTTGTAACCAGAAGAATTTTATCTCGTGCTGATCACTAACTAGGTATCAGGTTCATTGTAAAACAGGTGGGAGGTTGTGGAAAGCTTTCTGGTTGTTAAGGTAACGCTCCTACCTGAGATATTAGCTCTGACACTGCCGTGGCATCTCAGGCAGGAGAAGGATCAAAATGGAGCTTTGGCTCAATGTGCTGAGAGTACAGTGCCTGTGACCCATCTTAACTCTTTGCAGAGTCTAAGGGGGGATTTAAGACTGGCTGTACCTTTGATAGATTTGATGCATTAAGTTGCCAGGAAAATAGTTTTGTAAGGATTAGGAATGTGCGACCCAGCTGCAGATGCCCGTTAATCTGTGGAAGGAGTACCTGGGCTTCCCTCAGAGAACTCTTCAGTGCACTGGATGGACTAGGGTGTAGAGATGAGAGGGAGGAAAAGAAGAAGGAGACTCAGCTCTGTGCTAAAGGAATTTCTAGTTTTGTTGGGGACATGGGGCACTCACTCAAAACTCAGCACCAACAGTACAAGATGCTGAATTTTCTGGGAGATCATCTGTGGTGCAGGAGGTCAGAGAGCTGGGTATTTGCAAAGGCTGGAGGGGTCCAGGAGGGCTCCTGGGGGCAACAGCAGCTTCAGCTGTGCCTTAGAAGATAGGTAAAGGTTCCCTAGATTTAGGTGCAGGTTGCTGGCAAGAGAAAGGACAAGGAAAGGAAAGCAGGAGCAGGAGTGAATAAACACGGTGTGTTTTATGGAACAGTGATGAAATCCTTTGCAGTCTGAAGTGTGTTAGAAAGCAGTTTAAAAAAAAAAAGCGTCCCAGGTGTTTTGAGACTATGAGGACTTCCTGATGTGAAAATGGAGTGGCAGCCTTTGAAGGAAGTAGGTCTCGTAGTGGCTGCAGTGGGATTAGAGCAAAGAAGAGATGAGCCTCCTAGGTGCAGGCTGGAGGCTGGAGACAGAACTGTGGTGCCTGAGTGGCCCTGGAGAGAGGCTGTCCATGCAGAAGCAGATGGCTGGGAAACCCGCCTCTCCTCTGGAACACTGGTGACTGCCCCTTTTGCCTTTGGCTGTTTGGAGGCAAGGGGTATATATAGCACATCTGTGATCCTGTCTCAGGAAGTAACTGTGGCGTGTTGATGCCGATGAAAACCGATGCTGACAGCAGGTTCAAAGTGGAAGTGGGTACTACATGAAGCCATTTTCTTCTCTGTCTGGCAAACAATGATGCCTTTAAAATATTTAAGTTTTCAGGAGAATGAGTCTCTTTTGTTCTTCTCTGAAGTCATTTCTTGGTGGTAGGATGGCAAATGATCTTGAGTGTTACACCAACAATTAGGGAAAAGGAAATGTTCACTGTTTCCTAGGGAATAATCCACTATTTTTCAAAGCCAACAGATATTTATTGCCATCTACTAGGCAACTTGGAAGATGTAAATTGTAATAAGGTGCTAATTGATCACAAGGAGCTTACAATCCAGTAGAAAGGAGTAAAGAATAACATATTAAACCCATATTGTGGTAGGCTATGACCACAAAGTGAAGTAAAAAGTGAGATGGCATTTGCCAGGCCGCACACTGCTTACCAGGCAGTATGACTTCACTCTCCCATGATTGAACCTTGAACAACTTAATCAGGAGGTCAGGAGACTTGGATGCTAATATTGCCTCTGACATTTTGTGTCATTTGACCTTGAACAAATGGGATCAGTTTTGAGTTTCTCAGAACCCAAATGAGGGTGTAGCACAGCCTTTCTCCCTAACGTCCTTATCAGTCGGTTTTCCTGGAGATTCCAGGTGCTCCCAGAGTTGTAAATATCACAGTGAAAAAAGAAGCAGTCCACCTGCTTGGCTGGTATTTGACTTGCTTCTCTTGTGAAAAGAAAGTGGTGGGGCTGCAGCCATGACTTTCCATTTCAGTTCGCTGAGTGGCCCCAGACACAAGTTGAAAGCATATTGTCCACCAGACATGAAGTGCCCGACATTCTTGAAGCCTTCCTTAAACCAAGACTATGTAAAGAACTAAACAACAGGCTGGGCGTGGTGGCTCATGCCTGTAATCCTAGCATTTTGGGAGGCCGAGGTGGGTGGATCTCTTGAGGTCAGGAGTTCAAGACCAGCCTGGCCAACATCATGAGACCCCATCTCTACTAAAAGTACAGCAATTAGCCGGGTGTGGTGGCGCCTGCCTGTAATCTCAGCTACTTGGGAGGCTGAGGCAGGAGAATGGCTTGAACCCGGGAGGCAGAGATTGCAGTGAGCTGAGATCAAGATCACGCCACTGTACTCCAGCCTGAGTGAGAGTGAGACTCAAAAAAAAAAAAAAAGAACAACAGAGCAGTCTCATTACAGCATGAAGTTTTGCTGATGTACCTTCCCATTTCTTTGTAACAAAATGTAAGATAAATCTATTTTTAATTGTTCTTGAAGAATAAGAAAACCTAGTGTTTCATTTACAAAATATGTATGAAGTTTCAGCAGATGCACACACACACACACACACACACACACACACATACATATGAGTTTGCTGCCTCTTTGCTTGAAGAAAATTCCTTTGGGTGTGTCTCAGTTACACCAGACATGTATGTGTGGGCGGGGAGAGGAGGTGGAGTGTGGAGTGAGGAACTGGTGACTGGGAGGATGACTGACTCATCTTGGGTACCTGTCCTGATGCGTAGGTCCCTTCTGTCATGTGGCTCCACAATAGGACCTTATAAGGTAAATGTGTTCACAGCAGCACTGATAAGCTTTCTCACTGTCATATTACTTACCAAGCAATGGTAACATGAGCTGGGTGTGCTGGATAGCAAACAAATATTTTAAAATAATCTTTCAGATGATATCTGGAAAAAATAATGTTTTTGGAATAAGTTATGCAATAACTTTGAAATTGCCTCTCCCTTACTTTTAGAAATAAATTCCCTGACAACTCACTTTTATTGAAAGGTTTTTTGGTTAGTTTAAAGCTACAGTATTAAAATATGAGACAAATGAATACACAATGATTGTCATTTTCCTACTTGGGTACACAGAAGAAATGTCCTTATTAGAAGTCCAGGTAGATGTGTTTGTGCCCAGAGTGACAATGGGGAAATGGGAAAGGGTCTTGACAAGGTGTTTTTTTTTTTCCTGCAGGTCCTGTACAACTTGTTCAAGTCGTTTTGCCAGATGAAAACCATTGAGACCATTGATGTGTTTGCAGGAATCGCCAACTTCTTTGTTGTGGGAATCGGTGGGGTGCTGATTGGCATCTTCTTGGGCTTTATAGCGGCATTTACTACTCGATTCACCCATAATATCCGAGTGATCGAGCCACTGTTTGTTTTCCTGTACAGTTATTTGTCCTACATCACAGCTGAAATGTTTCACCTCTCAGGCATCATGGCGTAAGTACTTCTTTGTTAAAAGTGCTCGATGATGGCATTTCATTGAATGCATGCATTCTCAGCCAAGATATTAAAGTTGAATAAGTTATATGAAACACTAGGTTTTCTTATTCTTTTAAGAAAAATTAAAAATAGATTTTTCGGACGGGCACAGTGGCTCACGCCTGTAATCCCAGCACTTTGGGAGGCCGAGACGCGTGGATCACAAGGTCAGGAGATCGAGACCATCCTGGCTAACATGGTGAAACCCCGTCTCTACTAAAAATACAAAAAATTAGCCAGGCGTGGTGATGGGCCCCTGTAGTCCCAGCTACTCGGGAGGCTGAGGCAGGAGGATGGCATGAACCCGGGAGGCGGAGCTTGCGGTGAGCCGAGATTGTGCCACTGCACTCCAGCCTGGGCCACACAGCAAGACTCTGTCTTAAAAAAAAAAAAAAAAAAAAAAAAAAAAGATTTTTCTTATGTTTTGTTACAAAGAAATGGAAATATGTATCAGCAAAACTTATGCTACCATGATCTGTTGCTCAGATAGAAAGCTGCTTAAACATTCTTCTGGGTCTCATGAAATATGACAGTAAACTGTTGGGGTGGATCTTGCTCAGGCACCAAGAATTGTACGAGCTTGATGCCCAATCAGGGTTGCCCACGTGGGAACCTATAAGCTTATTCCAACAAAGTTGCATCCCAAGCTGCTCTTGGAGTTCTGGAATGGCTTATGGATATTCATTGGCATAACCTTAGTCATAGAAATATTTTGAATGGTAGATTTGATTTGGGATAACAGCTTAGTCATTCAAAGCAAAATCAGCGAATGAGAGTTGTGACCATGCAATTCCAGTTTAGCTTTTTTTTTTTTTTTTTTTGAGGCGGAGTCTCGCTCTCTCGCCTAGGCTTGAGTGCAGCGGCGTGATCTCGGCTCACTGCAAGCTCCGCCTCCCGGGTTCACACCATTCTCCTGCCTCAGCCTCCTGAGTAGCTGGGACTGCAGGCGCCCGCCACCACACCGGGCTAATTTTTTTTGTATTTTTAGTAGAGACGGGGTTTCACCGTGTGAGCCAGTATGGTCTCAATCTCCTGACCACGCGATCCACCCCCCTTGGCCTCCCAAAATGCTGGGATTACAGGTGTGAGCCACCGCGCCCAGCCGGTTTAGCTTTTTAAACAAAGATGCAGGATTATAAAGCAGGAAATGTATAAAGCCAGGAATTTACTAAAGATATGGTTAGTGTCTCATGCACTAACTGGTTCTGAAGGAAGTTTTTGAGAAGTTAGACAAGTAGGCTGATGAATGATGGAGTTTGAATCCTGTTGTAGCATTTGGAGGATCACTTTGAAGGAGGCGGAGGCTGCTCATTGGGTGTGGATGTTTTTGTAGCTTCCAAAAACAAGCTTCTATTCTATTATGGTAAGACCCTGTATACGGTCAGTGAGAAATACTTAGTAATGGAATGCTTTTACATTTTTTTTTTACTTTGACAAATATGTATTTACAGCTCCATATGCACTAGGCTAAATGCTAGGACCTGCCATACATATTTAGAATTTTGCAGCTATAAGCATAAGCCTAGATCTTCCTGAAATTTTCTCTTCCGATCTGATTAAGATGATCATTTGATTGGGGGCTAGTTTGACTTTTGCCATATATCAGCACGTCTGTATCAGAAGCAGATGAGGTTTGTGGTGGAGGAAGTCGAAGACCCCCTACACAAAGAGAGTGGAAGCTGGGGTCATGACAGCCCTGAGTTACAGGTTGGGTGGTTTTCTGTTTCACAGAGAAACCTAAATAAAGCAACGCATTAATCTAGTTTGACCCAGTAATGAAATGTTCCATGTCTTTCTGGTTGCTATTCATATCATTTGTATGACTTCCAGTTTCCTCACTCTTCTTTGGCCAGTGTCATTGAAAATGTATGACCAGCTAGTTACTAGGTCTCTAAAAAGAGTGTGGGGGCGGGACTTAGTATCTAGTTTCCAGCAGTGTTGTTTTAGCAAGAGTCAGGGTATGAGAACCTTGAATTGCATTGCAAGTCTGAGTATATGTAAATGTTCTAGAACCCACAAAGGAGCTATGCAAATTTGTCAGTTTGCCAGATGTTCACAGGCAGGAATTGGGGTTCTTAAAGATCCAGCTATTGGGGGAAAGTTGAAGAATTGGATGGGATGGGAATCCTGGTGCATCCCCCATGTCGGTGATGGAAGGGTTGGAAGGCCTATGCTGTATCAAGTCACTGGCCTCTTGTGAAGATGGGATCACAGGTTTACTTATGCCAGGAATTCAGAAGTAAGAGACAAATAGGGCCACATATTCCTGATAAATAGCACAGGTAATTCTCTGCTGTGGTTCGTGGGCCTTTGTTTCCAACTTCAAAGTGAAGATTTTCTTGACAACTTAGTGTAGAGGAAATTTCTTTATTACATTTAAACTAATATTGTCATTGGCCAGGCACAGCGGCTCATGCCTGTAATCCCAGCACTTTGAGAGGATGAGACGGGTGGATCAATCGAGGTCAGGAGTTCAAGACCAGCCTGGCCAGCATGGTGAAACCCCGTCTCTACTAAAAAAAAAATACAAAAATTAGTCCGGCATGGTGGTGCATGTCTGTAATCCCAGCTACTCAGGAGGCTGAAGCAGGAGAATCACTTGAACTGGGAAGTGGAGGTTGCAGTGAGCCAAGATCACACCACTGCCCTCCAGCCCAGACAACAGATTGAGACTCGGTCTCAAAAAACTAAAAAATAAAAAAAAAACTAAAATTGTCATGGCTTATAGTATACCAAAATAATAAATGGGTCCTTAAATAAGATATTACCAGTGATGTAAACATTTTTGCCCCAAAATTACCATGTGCACCCATTATTCTGTCATGAAAAATGCAGGTACACATTCACATTGGGGTATGTTTGTTCTCAGAAGTTATACCCTCTTTTCTAATGCGGGGTAATCAGTATGCCATTCAAAACTTGACTGTGTGTTGCTTCCTTATGGTGTAGATCACAGATGTGCATGCCCCGCCCCTCTCTAAAGTGCATTATGTGCACTTCCACATTGTAATTATTGTATTTACTTCAGTCCAGGGGATACAGCATAATGATGCAATTAAAAATGCATATCTACACACACGCCTTACAGAACTAGTCATTTTTCCTGGGCTTAAATTGTACTGAGTTTAGAAATTCCTATCATACTTTGTACTAATTACGCTCTCTCTTTTACCATTTATAAACCAATTTTAAGGTTAATGAGAGTGAAGGCATCTGACGTACTGAGAATGCTCAGGACTTTCCCTTGTTTTCTTAAGAGAAATGGGCAGCTCCTGAGAAAGGCAACTAGGCAGAGAGGACAGGCACCTGCTAGGCGGGGAGAGAGGTTAAACTGCTTCTGTAATGATTTGTAACCCAGTTGTGAAACTTGGCTTTCCTGAGTTTTGCCTGCTCTCCTCCATCTCTCCCTCCTCCACCTTCTACCATTCATCCTTCCTTCTGTCTTCTTCGTGTTGCCTTTCAGAGCCTGTAACCCTCTGCATTAGCTTTGTTGCCTCTTGGGCAGCCTGTTCTAGACGGATGTCACTTACTTAATGAGCAGGTAGTTACTAGATGAATCTAATGAAAAAGAAACAATCTTCTGAGTAACAGAAGATTTTGGTTTGGGTTAAAAATGCAAGGACGCTTTTAGAGGAAAGTGCTGGACAGGATTTCAATATCTTGATTTCTTTGGAAAGATGATGGAAGCAGTGCACCTCGGGTGTTCATAAAGTCTACTGTTGCTGCTATTTAATTTTATCATAAGACTGAGGTTTTATAGGCTTTTTACTGACAAGTAAATTAAATAATGAGGTGAAATCTTCTGTCTTACAAAATATTTGGAGAGATGTCTTCTGAGTATTCTTAAATTTGGTTTCCCCTTTGTGGCCCTTCCTAATATTCCAAAACCTAATTTAATGTTAAGGAATGATTTACACTTATGTTTTATTGTATATTCAGAAGGGTTTTAGACTCAAACACTAATAAGGTAAATGCAATTCCCTGTTTTCTGATATTCTTCTACTCATTTCTATACTGGAATAAATTGTGGCAATAGGGAAATGTGTGTGTGTGTGCATATGCCTGTGTGTGCATACATATGTGTGTTTCAGTTTCCACAGCACCAGAACTGTAGTAAAGGGAAAGTTTCCATAGCCCCTTAAACCAGAAACTTCACATATCAATAGCATTGGACACCTTTGAGTATCAAAGTACTATAGCAGGGCATGAGAGGTGACTAATAGTTATTGATTTTAGAAATTCTTGCCTTGACTCATGTGTTTTGAACTTTATATTCAGGAAAATGCTCAGAGTCAAAGCACTGATGATTCCTATGGACAACGGTGTGTTTAACCTCATTTTACTTTCTTTACCCAAGGACACTAACAGTTGGATAAATTGATCACTAAAATTCAGGGCCATTACAGAAATCAACTTAAGCCAAAGTTTGTTATCCACTTTTGGACTTCAGGCTCCTTTCTGATCCTCCCCTTCTACCCTACACAGTCCCCTGGGCTCTAATAAGTGGGACATTGGAAACACACATTGACCTGAAGGGGGAAGGGCGTACTTGGCCTCCACAGCAGCAAATTTTGAAAATGGCTAACTCCTCCTTCACATAGGAGAGTAAGTGCCCAATATTTTTTTTATTTTTTTATTTTTATTTTTTATTTTTTTTGAGACAGAGTCTTGCTCTGTTGCCCAGGCTGGAATGCAGTGGCGCGATCTCTGCTCACTGCAAGCTCACCTCCCAGGTTCACGCCATTCTCCTGCCTTAGCCTCCCGAGTAGCTGGGACTACCCAGCTATTTTTTTTTTTGTATTTTTAGTAGAGATGGGATTTCACCGTGTTAGCCAGGATGGTCTCGATCTCCTGACCTCGTGATCCGCCCACCTCGGCCTCCCAAAGTGCTGGGATTACAGGCAGGAGCCACCACGCCCGGCCGTGCCCAGTATTTTTTAGTTCTGCTTTGATGGATTAATAATTCCTTAGTATTTCTTTCCTCAAGGGTACTGTCTAAGTATTTTCTATTTATTGTTAATTATTCTAGCAGCATTATTGCAAAGAAAGTAGAAAATGGTGATTAGTTTCATTCTTATGAATAAATAAATCGAGGCCCAGATGGACAAAACATGGCTGTCAGATGACTCAGTGGAGAATGAGACCTGACCCTGTGTCCCCAGTTACCAGGCCAGTCCTGTTTATGTGCAATATCCCCTCCCCCCACCAAAAAAAAAAAAAAAAAAAAAAACAACCCCAGCACATCCCGATGCAAATTTGTAAATGAGGAAATTTGTAACGGGAATTTCCAGAATGATAGGTTTAGGAATGAAATCCAGGAGTAGTTCCAGCTTGCTGGACTGAAGTCGTCACTGGTGAAGGTGCGAAGATCATCTGCTCTCTTCTTCCTGTTTTTCTTTGTAGGAGCTGATAATTGTCATCTGTTTAACACTTTGAGAAAAAAATAGGAAGGCATGCTTTTTTTTTTTTTTTTTTTTTGCCTATCCTAGTTCCTTTTGGTTTACCCACACTTTGTAGCGTTTAGGAGAACATCTCTTCAACATCCAAGAGTGTTAAACCATAGCCCTACATGCCAGAATAACCAGTTCAACATGTTTACTTGCGTTCACAAAGAATAAAAATAATAAACACAAGACATTGTAGGACATTCATAAAACATTATATGACGCATCATGTTTATAAAATGCTTTCAAACACAGGATGCCAACTGACCCTCATCTCAACGTCCTGAAGTGTAAAGAAGAGCAGGAAGAGAGTTTACAGAGAAGGAAGCGGGGAATCAAGACTAGAGTCTTAGATCTCTGGCTCCTTGTTTCTTCTCTTCTCACTGGGTCATTGTACGTTACATTGCCTTGACAAATAATAGTTTTACTTTTAATTATAGTGTATGCTTTCACTGATAGCTCTGACTGGCCAAGACTGACCACTTTAAAATCTGGTATGACCACCCCAAACATAAATAAGCCTGGGGTGGGAGGGGGAAAGGTAGTAAAATGATGCGAGAAATTAAGTGATACAAAAACAAAGCATATACCCCTTAATTTCTTGGACATATTCAGGAAAAAGGAAAAACAAAGAAAGCAACAAAAAGCTTGTGATTATCTTTTCTTTTCTATTGTATAACTTTGCCTGAACTGTAGGGTAAGACTAGTAAAGACAGAAAGGAATTGGAAATTATAAACCTTAACCTAGAGAAATGTAAACAATTTATGAAATTATCTGTATTTATTTTTATGGTTTAAACCGTTTAATTTAGTAGATTCAATAGATGGACCCCAGCATTTGCTTGGTTCTTTGAAGGAGGAACAAAAATAGTAGGTTGTCACTTCTTTCCTAGGTCCTGTCCAATAGGGTGACCACCAGCCTCATGTGGCTTCTGAGCACTTGAAAGTAGAATTGAGTTGTATTGTAAGTTTAAAATACACAGCAGAGGCTGAGTGTGGTGGCTCACGCTTGCAATCCCAGCACTCTGGGAGGCTGAGGCAGGTGGATAACTTGAGGTCAGGAGTTTGAGACCAGCCTGGAAAACATGGCGAAATCCCATCTCTACTAAAAATACAAAAATTAGCCAGGCATGATGGTGGATGGCTGTAATCCCAGCTGCTACTTGGGAGGCTGAGGTAGGAGAATTGCTTGAACCCGGGAGGCGGAGGTTGCAGTGAGCCGAGATTGAGCCACTGCACTCCAGCCTGGGAGACAAAGCAAGACTCCGTCTCAAAAAAATAATAATAATAAAAATAAATTTAAAAATATATAGCAGATTTTTAAGACTGAGTAGGAAAAGGATTCTAGAATATCTCATTAGTAATTTCTATACTGATTTGATGTTGAAATGACAATGTATTAGACATGTTGAGTTACATAAATATGCTCTGAAAATTATCTTCAGTTTCTTTTCGTGTTTTTCACTGTGAATAGTAGGAAACTGCAGATTACACATACAGCTCTGATGATTCCTATTAGACACTGTTGTTCTGTAGTGCTCACCACTAGTGTTTTCTACTTGGATATTTGAAGACTTGGTGACATATGTTTTACTCCTTTTGATAAGGTAAAAAAAAATAAGTCATGAAAAGATGGGAGGAATAAAAGAGAAATGCTCTCCCCGCTCTGATGATAATTGTGCTCTTTATAAAGACCATTTCTTTGAGAATGGGGAAGTTTAGAAAGAAAATAAGGAAGGAGAGACTGAAGGGAAGTTGGAGGTTCTTCTGAAGTGGCTTGTGATAATTAAGATGTCAAACTAAAGCCACCTTGTGAAAATGAAAAATGTTTCCCTAGGTCCACATTCGGGGGTTTTATATAAATATCCTCAAAATCTAAAGTGGGAGGGAAAGTTGTGGCTGCTGCAGGAATGAGCAGCGTACTTTAAAACAGATTCCCTGGGTTGAGATAATATATATATATATTTTGCAAATTGAATTTGTAAACTTATACAATAGTCAGTATTCAAAACATTATATTTTCTTGCCTCATCTTCTTAGAGGTAAAACAACATTAAAGGCACTATTTTCATCTCTGTTTTTATCTGTATTTACTCTGCAGACTGACTGAAGATCAATCGAGCCTCTATATTAAGGTCTATAGGTCTTTATTCTAGCTAATGCCAAAAGATATTGATTTCTGATGGAGGCAAAAAAAAATCAAATACACAAAACTCATCCTAAGTAGGATTATGTATTCCATTCTTGAAGATTATCAGGAATACATTATGAAGCTAGTCAGTCTTCCCTCAACTTGTCACCTGTGTCTTAGTGTCTTCTGGTATTTATCAAGTGGTCAGGGTACTAAAGAAATAATTAATATACTGGGTACTCAATGAATAATAATATAAGTTTAAGTGAAACACAAGCAGAAAAGCTCATTTTCTAGGAAAAATTGGTACAACGCATAATAAATCCAATAAATGCTGTACTTGACTGGCTTATGAAAATCAATTCACTGCATTCTTAGAATATTTAGCTAAAAAGATAGGATATTGATATTGCTTTTTTTGTTATTAAGATGAATCATACCATTGCTTTTCTCCTTCAGTGCAGATAATGGTAGATTTTAGAGGTATATTGGGAATCTTTTAGACAAGAAAAAACTTGATATTTCCTTGTTAACTTTAAATTACATAAAACTTTAACAATTCGCTCCTGAATTAAGAACTGATTCTTCCAAATCTACCTGAAGAGTGGGTATTTTTGTGTAACTGAAAATGCTGCCATCACTTTGCTTTTTGGACTGTTTCTTGACTGTTCTTTATGCTTATTTTTTAAAAAGGATGATATCCTTTCTGGCCTATATTTCAAGAATATTGTAGGAAATAACACTACTTTCTGGTAATGTGTAGGCCAAAATATAAAACAAGATAATAAGTCAGAAATGTATAATTGCTGAGAAATAAATACTTTTTTTTTTTTTTTTGAGACCGAGTCTCACTCTGTCGCCCAGGCTGGAGTATAGTGGCGTGATCTTGGCTCACTGCAAGCTCCGCCTCCTGGGTCCATGCCCATTCTCCTGCCTCAGCTGCCCGAGCAGCTGGGACTACAGGTGCCCGCCACCACGCCCGGCTAATTTTTTGTATTTTTAGTAGAGATGGGGTTTTGCCATGTTGGTCAGGCTGGTCTCGAACTCCTGACCTTGGGTGATCCACCTGCCCTGGCTTCCCAAAGTGCTGGGATTACAGGCATGAGCCACCACACCTGGCCACTTTTTCTTTTTTAATAAAAATATTTTTAGAAAAACTGAAATGAAATGTACACTTACCACCCAGCTAGTAGTTCTGAGGATGACACGCTTCGACACATGGATTAAGTCAGTGTTTCAGCCCCTTCGTGAGGAGGTTAGAGCTAGGAATACAGCTACGGAGGTCAAGCTTGGCCCTTCCTTGACATGATACGTGTCCCAAGGAGAACCCGTTATTCTTTATCCTTGCTTGAACAAACCTCAGTTTACTTCTCAGCAATTCTCTGGACAGGGGAGGACAATGGCCTGGTATGAACCCCAGGCCCTCCTGTGTTGGCTTCTGGGGTGAGGAGAGTCTGCCTGCAGCTCCTCTTGATGCTGTAGCATTTCTCTTATGTACTCACTCCTGCTGCTGCCATTTCCCTCACCTCAATCAAACATGAGGTCTGACTTTGTCAGTATTCCCAGGGGACCTGGCCAAGTGGCCCTGATTCTGTCTTTCCACTTGTGTCCTCACAGTTAATCCCCCGTTATTTGACATAACTTGAGTCACCAGGCATCTTTGTAGTCAGGAGCCCAGCTGAAACAGTAGAGAGAAGCTCTGTGTTAATGAAGGAAGCCAAACTCAAACCAGGTTAAGTCAGAAAGGAGGGATTTCCTGGCTCATGCGAATAAATA
This sequence comes from Homo sapiens, assembly GCF_000001405.40. NCBI lineage: Eukaryota > Metazoa > Chordata > Mammalia > Primates > Hominidae > Homo > Homo sapiens. Next base: position 102,674,744 of record NC_000002.12, read on the forward strand.
CATTTTTGAGAGGACAGGTGGGATTTAGCCTTAGGGTGATAGGACAAGGGACTCCTATGTCTGCCTAAGCATTTCTCTCTCTCAACTTTGTGTCCCTTCATGAGAAGGCTTCCTTCTAGTTGGTTAGCCATCTCCAAAGCATGAAACCAGGGTCACAGAGAAATCGAGCTTTATATCTCTGCAACTCTGTCACTGAAGAGTAAAGTGAGATCTACCCTGCCAGGTCCTGTTAGAAAACATTTCAGAGGAAGCACTGTGATTGGCCCTGGGGTTTGGAGAACTGTCATGGGATCAGACTGTGTCACATGACCCGCCCTGTGACATGAGAAGTAGGGTTTGTTGCCAGAAGAAGGCAGCGAACTTAAACTAACTTTGAGTGAGACGACCATCCTAATCTGTGTTGACTGCAAGTTAGCAAGGAAAGCTCAATCCTTTATAGTAAAGTAAACTGGGATGGGAATGTTGATGATGCTTGGGTTGAAGCCTCAGTGATGAGAAGAGGGACATTCTGGGTAGAGGCAGAGGTGTAATTGAAGGCTCCAAGGTGAACTGAACTCTAGGTTGGTGAGAAGGAGGGGTCCCTGGTCTTGCCAGACCTGTTGTGTGCTATAGGCAGGTGGGAGCCTTTGGAATCTTTAAGGAGAAGTGACACAATTGTATTTCTGTTTTATGATAAATACATAATCAGAGTGCTTCCAGAACTTTTTTACACCATGACACTTACAACTGATAAAGTTTTCATGGTACTCTGGGTGAAAGCTGTAGGTCACGGCTCCAGTCTGACTGGCTGTCCTAGGGCTGAGGAATCCTTGATTAAGGAGGAGGATCAGGAAATGCCGCTGTCAGCAGGGATAAGGTGCCTAGGTAGAGACTCAGACAGGAAAAAAAATGTGTGAAGATGCCTGCACACTAACTAGTCTAGGCAAGAGAACACAGAGACCTGCACCTAGATCCAAGTCATAAAAATTGAGAGACAGGAAGGAAGAATAGTTGGCAAATGTAGTTAAATCCACATTACTCCTCAAATCCCATGTTAACCCTTATGCTCACCCTCCAATACAATTTTAAATAAAATGACTCAAATTTCAGCTTTTTTCTCATTTCTCCTTCCTCTTTGCAAGCCTCTGCCTATACTCCCATTTCCTGTTCTTAAATGTTAATGTGTTTAGGAATCACCTGGAAATGTCATTACATGGACAGAATCCCAGGCCTCAGCCAGAGGTTCTGATATAGGCCTTGGATGGGGCACAGGCATTTGTAGTTTTGCAACATTTACACGTGGTCCACAGACCATACTGCTCTAATATACATGCTAGTAGCTGTAAGAACTTCCAGAAAGCAGCAACTCATGCTGATGTTTCTAGGACTCATGTAGAACCACAAAGTATTCTGTGTATGTGTCTGGTGCAGGATTGTTGCATGCAGGTTTCACATACCCAGGCCCCACCTGTAGCCCACATAGACCAGGAGTCTTCCACCTGGAAAACCTTCATTCCATCATCAAAGTGTTGGTCAAATCTTCCTGCCTCTCTGAGGCTTTTCTTAACACTCCCCAGCTAGAATGGGGACACTCCATGGGACACTTGATGCCTGTGCTTCATGATGCTGTTGACATTGAGTTGTGATCCTTTGGTGTTCTCTCTCCACGTAACCAGAGTTGCTTTAGGTGCCAATAAGTGATCTATAAACATTAGTTGAATTGAATTGAAAGCAGTTATACAGGAGAAAAAAGTTGCAGAGAATTTATGCAATGGACAAGTCTTCATGATTAATCCAGGATTTTTGACAGTTTCAATGTACTTTATTTCATTTTTGATATTTTAAAAAAGATTGTTCAGTTTTTATGCTTGGATCCTGTTTTAAAAAACAATTGTTGTTTGCATTTTCTCATATGTCAAACTCTGTTTCTCTTGGTTGTCAGGTTTTCTGGAAGAAGCAATTCACTGTATAGTACATTCATGCCCTGGAATAATTTAATTTACTTCACTTGAGTGAGTACTTATTCTGAGAGCATGCAACGTGCCCAGAGTCACCACAAGACCTGGCTTTAATCAATACAGAAAAAGCTTTTTAATTGGTCTTCATCATTGCATATGCTTGGCACTGATTAGTGGAATATGCTTTCATATTTGGCAAAGCCTTAATTGAGAATATACAAATATTATTTGGGTGATACTTTCCTGCAATTGAATTCATACTTTTTAAAATCATATGGAATGGGAGCAAAAGAATTTTGCTTAATTGGTTAATTCTACACAGTTCAGATTGTAGATAAAGCACTCTGGATCTTCATTAAACTAGACTTAACAAGCATTAATTGAACTTGTACTTGGTACCACTATAGGCACAGACCATGCTAAGCATTAGTCCATAGTCTCAAAGCACACATTCTGGTAGAAAAGAAATAAATATCTATAGAAAGCAGGTTAATAATGGAGTCATGGAGTAATACAGAGGAAAAAGTATCTGTTAGAATTTTCTATTCAGAAAATAGTCAAATGACAAATCATTTAAGTAGAAAGGAAAGTCTATTTCCACCCACCCTCCCCAGGGGGAAAAAAAAAACTCTTTTGAGGTAGTGTCTATAGCTGGCCTGAATTGTCCTACACTGTATTTTGATTGATATACTGATAAAGAAAACCTCAGTTGCTGGTGTAAGTGAAAACCACTAATTATAGTGCTCTCCCTTCTCTGTCTCTAAATTGGTGATAATCACCACACATTTATGTTAAAGTGGGGCAAGATAATAACATAGCAGGCTGCATCTGCGAATTTTGTGCATGCCTCATCTCCACTCTGTCCTACAGAATGGAGCCTAAGACCTATCAAAATCTGGGCATGCTTTGGAATGCGAAATGGGCAATGGATATAGAGAAAATATATTCATATTGCACCACCATTCCTATTAATGACTCATCCATGTAGTCAATGATGCAAAATACATGCCAGACACTATGCTAAGCATTGGCAACACTTTTCTTTTTCCTCATGGAGCATCCAGTTTGGTTGGGGAGATAGACATTAATTATGTGATTGAAATTATAATTTCTCATTTTTCTCTCCAGCCTATAAAGTTAAAACTCCTAAGCATTAAGTATAACAGTGTCATTGAGCCCTAACTTCTTTCATCCTTCCTCATCTCTTAACATTTTCATCTTCCCCTCCTCCAGCTAACAGAATCATTTGGCAGATTCCTGAATGCACCACCCTGTTTATTTCTTTTATGCCTTTGCATATGGCTGCTGCTTTTCCCTGAATTACTCACTTCCTCTTTTTCCTGATAGGTGAGCTTATCCATGAAGGTGTTGCTCAAATGTCCTCTTTTGTGGCATAAGTCACCCTTTGCTTTCCTGCACTTCTATAGTATCTTCCCTTCCCTCATTCTAGCACGTACAGTGTTGTGTTCCGATGATCTCTTTGTGTCTGTTTCTTCCCTTAGAAGAACTCTTGAAGGCAGAAATTGGGTCTTACTTGCTTTCATCTTCCTAGATCCCAGCACAGAATTTGCCTCAGAATGGGTGCTCAGAAAATGTTGGTTGATGTTAAATTGCACTTCACAATCACATTAACTAGGTATGGAAAATTAAAAAAAAAAAACAGAGAGAGAGAGACATGCATGAAAAGGGGGGGGAAGGATAATTCAATGACATGAGCTAATAAAAGTAAGGATGTACTAGGAATATTGAAGGCCAATAGTTTTATTTTGAAGCTTTAGAATTAAGAAACTTAACCAGAATTTTCTATAATATAAAGAATCTATTTAGGTTATTATTTTGTTGGGGACAATGTCATACTGATGACACAGAATGAGGACGTGAGGCTGTGGACTCCGGTCATGAAATCCTCATGTGTTCATGTGATGGAGGAAGAAATCTTATCTCTTGATAGTGTGGTGGCACTGTGATAATGCTGTGACGTGACATTGTACCCAAGGACTCTCCTGGCCATATACTTCAGTAAGGCCAAGGACAGTCCGGTACTATCTTGCATCATTTGCCAGCTCTGTAAGTTTCTTGTGATTCTTTTAGAGAAATGGAGACTCATATGTATATACTGTGATGGTGATGACTATCAGCTCTAGAAGATGACCTGGCGGAGTGGGCAGAGATGGTTTCATTCTTTCTATCCCTAAGAGGCTGTTTTGCCTGTACCTCTCTAGTGGAAGGGAGACTAGCTCATTTGTAGTGTGTTTACTTCTGATATTTTTGAAGGTGAGGTGGTTTGACTTCAGGTCAGAGTACACTGCAACAAAAAAATCTCTTTGCAGTAAAAACAGCCCCGGACCTTTGCTTGAGAGGCCAGGTGACTCAGGTTGTACATGGCAGACCAGAATGGGAACTTTAGGAATGTTTCCTCCAGCCCCTCAGGTGCCTCAGTGCCACAGACATGCACACACTCCCTGAACAGGACACTACCAGATACTAGGGTCTGTGGTACCCACCCAGGGCGTTCTTTCTTCCTGTTCAGTGTCTCACTGAGGCTGGTAGGAAACTTCACTGAGTTACAGCAAGGTGTCTGGCTACTGTAAGCATCACTCTTGGTATCGTGTTAAGGATACAAAGCAATGGAAAATGATCCCATGGACATTCATGTTAAATTAATTCATGTTTTATTCCTACACCAAAGCTATATATATATATAATTTTTTTTTTTTTTGAGATGGAGTCTTGCTCGGTTGCCCAGGCTGGAGTGCAGTGGCGCGATCTCAGCTCACTGCAAGCTCTGCCTCCCGGGTTCACGCCATTCTTCTGCCTCAGCCTCCCAAGTAGCTGGGACTACAGGTGTCCGCCACCACACCCAGCTAATTTTTTTATTTTTAGTAGACAGGGTTTCACCATGTTAGCCAGGATGGTCTTGATCTCCCCACCTCGTGATCCGCCCACCTCGGCCTCCCAAAGTGTTGGGACTACAGGCGTGAGCCACTGCGCCCAGCCACCAAAGCTATATTTTAATTGTTTCTAAATAGAAATTGTTAAATTGCTCATGTAATAAACTGGAGATTACTTTTTGCCTGTATGGTTTACTTTTTTCCCAGTGAATGATATGAACATAATTTCAGAGGGAAATGTTTAGAACATTTAGAGAAACACTATTCATCAACCTTTTAAAGTTACATTTTTGAATGATTCAAAAAAATCAACTCAAGAGGGAGAGAAGGGAATGGGGTGAATATGAGAAGTCAACTTTATTGCTGATGTTTCCACTCTATAGATGACATTTTGTTTTAACAAATACAAGTGACTGGAGAAGGCTGGGTAGTGGGTACTTTGGTGTTCATGTCTTTCCATATTTGTCTATAAGTTAAAGTGCTTTATAATAAAACCCTTTTGAAGTATCTTTTGTATAGGATTAGAGAATTAAAAAATATATGTCCATTATAAATTAGTTTTATTACAAATTTTCTACTTGGCAACATTTTTTTTTCCACTACATGAAGTACCTAAAAAAGCAACATTTTTGAAAGGCTTATTAGTGTGTGTTTCTGTATACATGTCTTTTTTTATATATATAAAACATGTTATAATTCAGATTCTTAATCTAATCTATTGCCCTTGATACTTTGTATTGGAGAAATCTTACTTTTTAAAGTCTAGTTAAACAAAAATTAAGCCAAAATATGAAAGATGAAGATTTTCAGAAATGCGGGTAACCAGTGATTTATATCTGGGGGAGTGCTGGCGAGATGCCCGATATTGGCTTACTGAGACAGATGCCACTTTCCAGGCTGTTCTCCCAGTTCCTATTGCCTGCTGGAGGAGGTTCCAGGATTTCACGTCAAGTCAGTGTGACAGAGCTCCTGCTAGCTTCTGTCACCCAACTGCATGCAAGCAGCAGAGGCCATGCTCATCCGGGCCATGCACTTGGTTCAGGATACAGTTTAGGGGAGGAGAATGCAACCTGAAAGGGTTGAAAAATGGCCTCAAAGATGTCCCCAAAGATGTCCACATCCTAATCCCTGGAACCTGCTAATATGTTACCTTCTATGGCCAAAGAGACTTTGTGGATGTGATTAGGTGAAAATCCTGAGATGGGGAGATTCCATTAGAATATCTGGGTGGCCTTGATATAATCATAAGAGCCCTTATGAGAGGGCGTAGGAGAGTCAGACTCAGAGAAGATGTGATTAGGGAAGCAGAGGTCAGAGGGACGTGGCACGAGCCAAGGAATGCAGGGGGGCCTCTAGAAACTAGAGAAGGCAGGGGACAGATTCTCCCCTAGAGCCTCCAGAAGGAAAAAGCTTTGTCACCACCTTGATGTTAGCCCACTAATGTGATTTTGGACTTCTGACCTCTGGAAGTGCAAGATGGAAATCTGCATTGTTTGAAGCCACTCAGTTTGTGGTTATTTCTTACAGCAGCCATAGGAGATGGATACAAACAGGCTTGTGCTTGAGAAAGGATAAGCCACAGCTTGGTGGGCAGGGAAGACCTCCTTCCCATCAGAGATCGTAGGGCTCATTAAGAACTTGGAAAGGGTGAGGATTAAGTCTTCCACAGTGCTGGCTTTGTTTTTGTAGAGATGAGGTCTCATTTTGCATAGCTGGACTTAAACGCCTGGGCCCAAGCAATCCTCCTGCCTTGGCCTCCCAAACTGCTGGGATGACAGGTGTGAGCCACCATGCCCGGCCCAGTACTGTCTTTAAATCAAACTGCCCAGATTCATACCCTGGCACCACCATTTATTAGCACTGGAATCTTACATAATTGAACCTCTGTCTGCCTTTGTTCTCCCATTTATAAGCATAGGAATGATAATAGAACTTGCTCATAAACTTGTTATAAGGTTTAACTGACATAATCCATTCATGCCTGGCACAAAGTAAAGGTGCTGTGAAGATTGACTGTTTTTATATGAGTCCTCAACTATTCAAAGGCTTTGCCATGTGTTTATAGCTGTTGAATTTTATTAGCACATTTAATAAGGCCATTCCTTCTTTTGGGAAACCAATAAATTATGCATTCTTCACTTATAGAAATCTAAAAGAAATACCCACTTATTCTGGGGACAGTGACATGGTAGCTCAGTGTGTGGTCCTTAGATTGATGAAGTCTTCATTTTGTTTTAATAAGGGGCACAAAAATAAACATACCTGCCTTTGTTTTCTATGTGAACAACAGATATGTTACTTGCAATGAGACGTGTTCGTGGTGACCTGTTTAGGTTTTAGAGGATGCTTAGGTTTGCATTCTTCTACCTATTCTGATGCTCACAGTAAGAGGATTTCCTTAAGACAGCAGAAGTCTTCTCCGAGTGAGGAGGACCACATGATGGGAGTAGAGGGAGCTAAGCTAGGGTCACTGTACTGGTGGAGTTACGAGAATGCTGGAAACTTTGCAGATCATGACCAGTATTCAGCTTATGGCATGGTTACCACTGAGTGGAAGGCAGGGTGGCTCCCTCTAATCCCATCCTCCTGTTTCATTCTACAGGACCTTCGTAATGAAATTCTTTTGATACTTCATAGTAACCGTGTCTCCTTAGACCGGACCTACCATGAGCTGTCACCAAGCTCATCCTAAATTCTCCTCTGTGGGTGGCATCTGAGTTGATGAGGTGTAGCATCCTAGACAGAGAGGAACCCATGTGTGTAGTAAGGCAAGAAGACAGTAAAGAACAAGTTCAGGTTGGGCAATTCCATACAGCGGAGGCACATGGTGTGTGCCGGGGTGGAGAGAGGGCAGATGTGAAACTGGAATTCTCCACTGAGGGAAGTGTGTGAAGAGCTTCAGGAGTGTGGACTTGACCCTGGAGCCCTTCCTTTTCTCCAGGTGCCATATTCCAGTAGATATCATGAGAGTGGGAATAAAGGACTCTGTGGTCCCAAAGTTTTGGAAATACTTGGAAGAATAAGCCAAAGAGTTTCTTTGCTTTAGGAATTCTCAGAACCTGTTAAAACCTTTTGAATTTCCCAGAAGTGGATACAATAGATACATAGATATGAGACTCAGAACTAAGGATAAAAAGAAGTGAGTGGGTCTAAGAGATATTCAGGATGAAGAATCGAAAACAGTTGTTGACCAATTATATGGCAGGGGGGCTACTAAGATGTGACAGGGAGAGAAGTCTAATGCAAGCCCATTTTCAAGTTTAGGATTTTATACAATAGAATCCTTTTAGATAATAGAGGAACAGGGCATATGTGGGAAAATAAATCAGTTTACAGAAAGATAATGAGTTTCAAATTTATTTTGGACTTGTTTTATTTGAGATACAGAAAGGAGAGCTGATGGTGTCGACGTCCATAGACCTTTAAGTGTGAATCTGGGGTAAGGGAATTGAGGGACCAGAATGCTGGGCAGAGCCGGGTAGTTCAGCCAGGGTTGCTAAAGAAGACCTCCGGAGATTGCAGGATTTCCGAGGTTTGCATGCAAATCACATTCACCTATAAAAATCATTCGATGATGTTGTAGTCTTGGGCAGAAGAGTAGAGCCATAATTTAGCTCTTAAGTGCTATCTCTTGCATTCTGATTAAGATCATTGTTAGGTTTCAATAGAAGCTGAATCTTCCCTTTCAGAATCACTGCTTGTGCAATGACTATGAATAAGTACGTAGAAGAAAATGTATCTCAGAAATCCTACACGACCATCAAGTACTTCATGAAGATGCTGAGCAGTGTCAGCGAAACCTTGATCTTCATCTTCATGGGTGTGTCTACCGTGGGCAAGAACCACGAGTGGAACTGGGCCTTCGTCTGCTTCACCCTGGCCTTCTGCCTCATGTGGCGAGCCCTGGGTAATGAGTGCTTGTTTGCTAACTGGACATATGTAACACTCACTAATTGAATGGGGCTTTCCTTTTGTCATTCCCTTTCTGCTGTTGTGGATTCTTTTATGTCTGCTTAATTTCTTCTTCTTTCTTACCTACGTCTTCCTCCTCTTCTTCCTCTTCCTCCTTTACTTTTTTCTCTCCTATATCCTCCTCTTCCTCCTTTTCTTATCCTTTCTCATTTCCTTCCTCCTCTTCCCTATTATCTTCTTCCTCATCCTCCATCCTCCTGTTTCTCTTTCTCCTCCTCTTCCTTCTCACCTTCCTCTGCCTCTTCCTCTTCCCCTTTCCTTCCTCATCGCCCTCTTCATCTTCTCTGTCTCTTGCTCTTCCCGCCCCTTCCTGATATATTCTTTTCTTCTCTGAGTATCTTCATGGCTTTGTTATAAGTCAGATTAGTTTGTCTTGTCTTCTCTGATTTCACATTTTCACCCACAATCCTGAAACAACATCAAAGGCCCAGAACCTGGTATTACTAGCAAGACAGAGAAAAAGGGGAAAGACTTTGGGGCCTATTCTTAAATCCTTTGTCCCCATCGCAGAAGCACAGAAAATGAGTCTATGTATTTTCATATTTTGGCCTCACCCAGTCTGTTTCCTCTTGGGTTTTCTTTCTTTGCAGGTGTTTTTGTCCTGACTCAGGTCATTAATAGGTTCCGGACCATTCCCCTGACCTTTAAGGACCAGTTCATCATTGCCTATGGAGGACTTCGAGGTGCCATCTGTTTTGCGTTAGTGTTTCTCCTTCCTGCTGCTGTGTTTCCTCGGAAAAAATTGTTTATTACGGCTGCCATTGTTGTCATATTCTTTACTGTCTTCATTCTGGTAAGTAGAGTGATCCCTTTACCAGGAGGGTAAAAAATATCGTTCAGAATATTGGATTCTGTTTACAGGATGCAAAGTAGCAAAGGTGTGTTGAAACTTTGGTAGTTAATTACTAGGGAAAATGATATTTCCTGTCTGGGTTCATGTCACTAGATTGTTGAGGGGCCTCAGAGAGTCCAATTTGGTCACTTGGCCTACACAGAGAAATTATTATTTAAGGAAACTAAACTAAGCGCTCTAATCTTATGACTGGAAACAGGAACTGCACTTGCTAATGCTTATTATTTTTCTGACTTAGTGAATGCACTTGTTAAATGCTAGTTGTGCATATGACCTTCCAACAGCTATTTGACATGAGTTGACTGCCTCGCGGTGACTCCCCTAAATGAGGAATGGATGAATGCACGTTTAATATTGGGAGGCAGAAAATGTGGTGGACCTGTGTCCAGATCCCTACTTTGCAAGTTAATCAATATCTTTAAGTTAAGATGCCAACTCTTAGAAGATTATATTTTGCAGATATTCATTTATCAAATATTTCCTGGACTCCTGCTAAGTGCCAGGCAGTGCTCTAGGAGCCAGAACATAAAAAGATCCCTGTCCCTGCTGCAGAGCTTACATTTCAGAGGGGTTGGTAGCACTAAACAAGAAACACAAGTAAATCATAGAGCATGTTAGAAGGTGGAAAATGTTATGCAATAAGGATAGAGTAAGGAGTCAAGCATGGTAAGGGTAAAGTCGTGGGGGAAATGTTACAATTCCAACATCAAATGGTCATGAAAGGGAACAGCGAGAAAAATGAGATTTGAGCAAAGACATGCAGGAGGTGGAGGAATTAGCTAAGCCCAAGAACATCCCAGGCAAATGGGCTGAGGGATCAAGTGTGTTCTGAAGGCAGTGTGCTCTTGGCCAGTGTGGCTGGAGTGGCACAGAGTGTGGTGTGGAGTGTAGGAGAATGAGGCGAAGCAGGGTCTGGAGTCCTACATCATGCAGGGCCATGCAGCCCAGTGTATGAAGCTTGGCGCTTCTTCAAGTGAAATGGAAGCCATTAGAGAGTGTCATGCAGATCCCTGATATGTTCTCACGTCCTTTGTAAAAGGATCATACTGGCCACTGTGTTGAGAATAGACTGTTGCGAGGAAAGGGTGAATGTTGGAATCCAGCATGGAAGCCCTGCAGTCATTAGGGAGGACAAAACTGGTGGAAGTTCAGTTGGTGAGAAGTGGTAAGATCCTAGAATACATTCTGATGGAGCAACCTATGGGATTCCCTGATGGATTAGACATGTTGTGAGGGAAAGAGGCATCACTCATGACTCCAGGGGTTTTGGCCTGAGCAGCTAGAAGGATGGACTTGCCCTCAAGTGAGAAGGGGAAGTCTGTGCATGGCAGAGGTGGGGGTGGGGAGACTGTCAGTTCAATGACGGGCATGCTGCATTAGGGGTGTCCATTAGACCTACAGTGGAGATACGGATGAGGCAGATATTATGAGTCTGGAGCTCAGGAAAGAGGCTCTCTGGCCACTAGCAGAGAATTGGTATTTGAAGCCATGAGCTGGATATGATTGTGAAGGGAGTGAAAATATACATTGAAGAGGCTGCAATAGAGGAGTAAGGATTGAGCCTTGGGGCGGCCCCACCTTAAGATATCGTGGGAAGAAGGGAGCAGCCAAGAAGAACTAAGAATGAGCGATCGGTAAAAAAGGAGGAAGATCAGGAGATGTGCGTGTGTTTTAAAAATTTATTCATATTTATTTAAAAGTTAGTCACAGAATGCTTTCTAGGTACCTGATGCAAATCTGAGCATCTTACATGTTAATTCATTTAACCCTCATAACAATTCCATGGCACATAACTCTAGGAATCATGGTTTATTATCCCTATTTTGTGGAAGAGGAAAGTGGGGCACTGAAACTGAGGCTAAGTAAGTTTACCAAATTTGCACAGATACTAAAATGTAAAGCAGAGTCAAAATCTATTTGCTTTTGACCCTGAATAAGGTGTCCAGGAGAGAGCCTGGTGTGTAGCGAGTGCTCAGTATTGTAATGCATCACGATTTTCCTCCTTCCTTCTAGTCATTTCTTCAAAAGACAGTTCATCCTTCATTCATTCATGCCTTCCAACACTGAGGACACTGAGTTCTCTGGAATCCTGAAGAAGACCCTTTCCTGAGTTAAGATGACCACCTTCTGTTACTGTCTTTATTATCAACACCTTTCTGCTTTCGCGCAGTAATATGGGCCAGAAATGGTGATGACTTGCCCTTGGGAAGTAGTGGCAGAGCTGAGAAAAAGCAGATGCAGCCCTCTTTATTTTGGAAGACTCTTCAATGAGACTTTATGTGAGAAGTGAGCCAAAGCAGGGCAGAGGATCAGTCGAAGGATGACTGCTAACTCTTGTGTTGTGTGGAATGTCAGAGAGCTTGTGAGGACAGGGGAGGCTGGAAGTGGGGAAGTTCATGTGAGGTGGATCACCTGTTCTCAGTGATGTAGGAGCATGGCTTTCCCTGAGTATAAAGAGGACAGGAGGAGGATAGATGGGAGGAGAGAGATGAAGGTGGTTAAAGGCCATGATAGAAAAGGAGAAAGCCTGAAGCAACAAACAGCACAGTTGAGATGTATTAGCCGAATTTGGTATTGTGAACACATCAAGCTAATCCTCCACTGAGGGAGACATCTGGGGATCATTGTTTAGAGCCCGCAGGTGTAGAGATGGCAGTCTTTCCTCTTATTAGGTTAAACGAGAGTCTGGCCAAGTTCACTTGGATATCCACAGAGAAGAGAAATTGCTGCGGTTCCACTTGTGTTGATATCTTCTTTTTCCTTTTCTCTGCCTACCCTTCTGTGTGCACAGATCGGAGACTGCGTGCATATTGCTTGGTTCCATGACTCTGACCACTTCCTCTTCCTCCTATTCTCCTACCTACCACTGGTTCTTAAGATACTCTGAACACACACACGTGCACAAGCGTGCATGCACCCACACACACAAATACACACATACTCCCTTCAGAAAAGATATCTTTTCCAGAATACATCAATAATTAAGGAATTCAGTGAAGGAAGCCTGGAGGGAAATACTTGATGAGATATAAATATAGCAGGAATAACTAATTATACATCCATGCATAAAATATTGCCTTTCAAGTAAGAATTATGTATTCTTTTTCAAACGATGACTTTTATGTTGATGGACCAATTACTAAACTTTAAATATGTTTTTCTCCCCTTATTTCAATATTTTATATGATAAGCTCTTCCAACCTGGTACTACTGAGTTATAACTATCTTCAAAAATAGGATTTCACATGATGTATGATGCATTATTTGATATCATAGTTTATCATGAGAATTTTCACATTGTTTGAATCGTGTTGCTTCTTAGCAAGCGATGTAGTCCCTTTATGAGGCACACTATCATGTTGTCAGAATATGGTGCTGTTTGGGGAATTTTTTTTTTTTTGAGACAGAGTGTCACTCTGTCACCTAGGCTGGAGTGCAGTGGCACGATCTTGGCTCACTGCAACCTCTGCCTCCTAGGTTCCAGCGATTCTCCTGCCTCAGCCTCCCTGAGTAGCTGGGATTACAGAAATCCACCATCACGCCCAGCTAATTTTTATATTTTTAGTAGAGATGCGGTTTCGCTGTGTTCGCCAGGCTGGTCTTGAATTCCTGGCCTCAAGTAATGCACCCACCTTGGCCTCCCAAAGAGCTGGGATTACAAGCGCGAGCACCACCATGCCCGGCCGTGGAATATTGAATGAGGAAACAATTCTGATTCCTTGGACATTTGAGTTCATTTTTTTCCAATATGATTGGTAATGTTATTTATATCAAATATAAGCTATTTCTCATACATGTAAATTATATTCAAAATTGGGGAGGGTGAAATACAGTTACATAAAGTGCAGTTTTAGAGTAAGACTATTGTGGGTTGATACTCTAAGCCTGCTTTTTGCAGCCTCTGTGGGCCTCAGTTTACTTAGCTGTAAAATCTAGACAATGCTCCAGGCAGCTCAGGGGAAATATGTGTATAGAGTATGACACCTGACACAGGGTTTTTGCCTCACGAGTTGCCATGTTTAATATACTACATTAAGAAAAATTATAACGAGGCCATGTGCAGTGGCTCACGCCTGTAATTCCAGCACTTTGGGAGGCCAAGGCGGGTGGATCACGAGGTCAGGAGATCAAGACCATTCTGGCCAACATGGTGAAACCCTGTCTCTACTAAAACTACAAAAATTAGCTGGGCATGGTGGCACGTGCCTATAATCCCAGCTACTCGGGAGGCTGAGGCAGGAGAATCGCTTGAACCAGGGAGTCAGAGGTTGCAGTGAGCCGAGATTTTGCCACTGCACTCCAGCCTGGCGACAGAGCAAGACTCTGTCTCAAAACAAACAAACAAACAAAAAAAGAAAGAAAACTTGTAACGAAAGAAAGAAAAAGGTAAGTTCTTTCAATATATTTTTCTTTGGAAGGAAAAATGATTAGAATACAATAATTATTATGTAGTTAATCCCTATAATAAAAAGGGGCAGATCTCAAGAATTCTGTAAACGTACTAAGTGGTTATCTAGAAGTCCATCAAGTGGGAAAGTTAACCAAAATTCAAGAGATAGCAGCCTCTTTTGCACATTAGTGATGTAACTTAGGTTAAGTCACGGTGCAGAACTGCGAAGCATCTGGGGTTTTATTATACTTGTAAGCTAACAAGTTCGCCTGTTACTATTTCATGAATGCTACAGAAGACTCCTGAGTCAGAGACAAAGGACTTTATTGTCCATGACAAGAGCTGTAGCCACAGCCTTGTGTTGGTTTGTGTCAGTTTTCCACACCTCCTTGTCCCATGGGGGTGACACAAGGGACCCGCGATGGATGTCTGCCCATGTCATGGGCTGTATTGCAGGAGGGGGATATATTTGAGTTTGGGGATATATTGCTCTCTCAGAAGGGTGACCTTACTTCATTTCTCAAGAGTGCTCATTGCTTGCAACCCTAAGAAATGCTCCAGGTAAAAAAGTCATCAAGGCCTGACATTCTTGGCATCCCCTGCAAGAACATGTTGGGGTGCTTAGGGCCCATGGTGGGGTAGCCTCTCCCAGCAATTACATGAATCTTTGCTGATTTAGCCTCTCCAACTGGAATGATGATGCTCACTATTTTATAGACCTTGTGAAGACCCTCAAATGTGCCTTCATTTGTCAAATAAATGGTCATATTTTTATATATGTACTGTTTAAAAAGGACACCATCTTTATATTTCATTAACATATGCCATTATTAGGTGGGGTTCCATAGAATTTAGAATACTTTACAACAATCCTACAATAAAACGAGCAAGATGATCAGGCTTTTTTAAGATGGAACAATGTAGGTGAAAAGTTTAGGATATGAGAAGAAGAGCAGTATAAGACAGTTCCATGTGTTTTTGACTGCGCAGCCAGGGGAATGAAGGTGACATTTAATTTGGTGGGGACTACCTGGAGAGTATTAGGTTTGAAGGATGGGACATCATGTGCTCAGTTTTGGATGTGTCCATTTTGGACATATATATTTGCCTATTAGACATCTAAGTGGAGATGTTGGATAGGCAGTTATATATATATGTATATATACACACATATATATGAGTCTGGAATTTGGGGGAGAAGCCAGAGTGGGAGATGTAAATTTGGGATTCCTCAATATATGGTTTTTAACACACATAAGTCTGGAATTATTGAGGGTATAAACATAGAAAGAATACAGAAAAGAAGGCATCTGACAACTGAACCCTGAAACATAGCAATATTTAGAAATCAAGAAAAGGTTGAGGAATCAGCCCAGGAGGCCGGAAAGGGTGAACACTAAAGGAGGCGAAACATCAGAAGGGGTTACACAGGAAGGAGAGAAGAGGCCTCTAGCAACTGTGACAAATACAGCTGCAAGGTCAGAAAAAGTGTGAGTGGAGAGTGCAGTCTTGGATGTAGTGACGCCGTGATGAGTGGCCTCTGCACAAGAGCACTTTGGGTCAGTGAGGAGAACAAAACCCCAACTGGCTGGATTCGAGAGGGGAGGGGAACAGAGAAATGAGGGGCAGGAGATATGGGCAACTCTCTTAGGTTTCTTAGAGAAAGGAGGTGGTGGCCAGAGGTGGATATCTGTCACAGGATGGTTTTTGTTTCTGATTTTCGAAGATGGGAGCACGTTTGGAGACTGATGGTACAGGAGAGGGGGAAACCCTGATCAGCAAAGAGAAAGCTGGAGTATAGGGGAGAGACGGACAGACATAGAAGGGGAAATCAGTGTGCAGCATGGAAAGTGCTAAAAGAGAGACACACAGATGGGGACTGTGAACAGCTACTGCAATGCTTTAATGCTTCTCACTCCACCTATCCCATTCTAAGATAAACACTGTTTGCACAACTGCATTTATGATCTCTGTGACCAAGTGTGTGATGTGAGAAAGACCTTCCATAAGACAGCATAGCAGCGATAGTGATATTTTTTAATACATGAAAATCGTTTCTATAAGTTTTTCTGGAAATTACCTGATAATCAGCAAGGAAATATAAGTTTCTCTCTCCCACATCCTTTTTATTTTGCAAATATTAATTCCAAAAAGCAACACAAAACAAGAACTCATTTTCTTCAAAAAAAAAAAAAAAAAAAGATGAAAAGAATGCTCATGACACTCACATCGCAGTTGTATAATTTTTGTTTGTTTGTTTTCCCCTCTGATATAAATGGGAGCTGGGGGATGCCAGGTGGGAGGAAAGCAGAGATGGAACAAGATGCAAAACCAATAATTCTCCCCGTTCCTCTCCCTGCCCCTGCTGTTACATGATTCTCCCAGGCAGGCCTGACCCTCAGAGGTGGTGTTTAGTATGTATGCCAAAGTGAATGAACTGGTGAAAATTTAACTTGTATTTGCAAATATTTCTACTGGTAGTTTGATGAAAAACTAAGGGTTGTATTTTTTTTATTCTGTATGGATGGTAGCAAGCTCTTTGATTTTTCTAAGCCTTATCGGGTTACTCCCTGGGTGATCTAAATTAGAAATTTTCTAATGTGGTTAAAATAAGGTGCTTTCTTGGTCTTTGTTGTTTCTTTCTCCCTCCCAACCAGACACCCAGGCTCCTAGAATATAACATCCAATGTTGGGGGCTTAATATGGCATACACAGATGTCATATACTCTGCCTGCAAAATAGATGGATTGAAGAAGGAAGGAAAGTAAGAAGGGAGGGAGAATAAGTAAGGCAGCTTTCATCAAATAATTCTTATTGAGCATGATATGACTATTGCAGGCAATTCAAAGATAAAAAGGGCGACGATTAAAAGGGACTGTATATACAAAAACATATTGCTATAAGCTTTATGATTATAAACATAAATATATTATGCTTTCAAAAACTTGAGTTGATGGGGTGGTAGGCCACACTTGCTTCCTGGAGTTGATGAGTTGTGATTTATTTATGGTAGCGCATTCACTTCTAGATCATCTGTAGGGTGGAAGGAATCAACATATGGACTGGGGTAAGCCCTGTGTCCTATCTTTATGTCCTGTATTTACAAAGACTCGTGACTCACCTATTACTTACTAAATGAACACTGATAGGAAAAGAGCACGTGAAACAGCAGCTTGTGTCTTTAGAACACATTATAGAGTTTTAAAATTTACATTGATTTTGTCAACTTTTTCTTGAGCTATTATTAAACTACTGGCTTCATGGAATCTGGAACTTAGTGAATTCTCCCATCTCTGCGAACCACATGTTTACACCCGTTTCATTTACATAAGTTAGAAATTACAGAACATGTGTTGATTGGAAAACTGCTATTACCTTTTGTGTTATCTCAAAGTAGCAGACTGAAATACAAATAGAACACAAGATGTGTTTTATACCAAATTTGGTCAAAATCAGTTCACACTTCAGAAAGTTAAAATGAAAGTTAAGCTGAAAAATGCCCAGAGCTAGACTGATGGAAAAAAGCCAATCACCTCCTTTAAAAAAATGGATGTGTATGTGTGTCTCAGTCAGTTTGCATTATCAAAAACATTCTTAAAGTCTGAAAGACATGAGGAAAGATGAGATGAAAGTCAAATGCATGGCAGGGAATATCCCCCTATATAGCTACCCTCTGTCCCTGAAATCCTAACTACCCTTCCTATCCATGTATCCTTCCTGCAGGCCAGGAAGTAGTGGCCATCTGCCCACCAAGCAAGAAACTTGGGAATCTTGACTCTCACCCCCTCCTTACCTGCCCTATTTTGTGCCAGTAATGCATTACTTTAAGTATATTTACTGACAGTTCATTTTCATGTCTGTAAGTTCCCTTTCAGTCTCCTTTTTCTAAAATCTTCTGGTTACATTTACTTTTCCAGGTTGATTTAAAATCAGCCTCTCAAGTTATGTTAAAAGTCTTCAGGAATATGTCACTGGAATTGTGTTGTCGATACATGTTAGTTGAGAGAAAACTGTCATTACAATATTGTTATCCTGTCTAGGAATTGTGTTTTTCCTGATATCTCAAAATGTCCTTAATCTTCTTCAGTTAAATTGTGTAGTTCTCCTTGTAAAGGTTTTATGCATTTATGATAGGGTTTTATACATATATAGAGATAATGGATAGTATATCTATGCATATTTAGTATCTATATAGAATACTAGTGTATTATATAACATGTTATTAGATACTAGCATATACTTATTAGATACTAGTATATACTAGTATTTTATATATATATATATACACACACACACTCTTTTTATATGTTTTTTTCATTGCTATTGTAGGTGTTTATTCTGTTTCATTTAAAAATTAACATCTGGGATGGATTGGGCATTTTGAATTTGTGTTAGTTACTGTACCAAATTTTCTTGTTATTTTTAAATGAAAAGATATTATTTCAGGTTTTTTAGGACAAAAACTCAATCATCCAGGAGCAACAGAAACTTTGTCACTTCATTTTCAGTACTTATACATCTAGCTCTTCATCTGTCTATTCTTCTCAGTTGACTGGGACATGCAGAACTGTGCTGAAGAGAGGCAGAGAGCTGAACAGAGACAGACAGAGCATCCTTGTGTTATTTCTGGCTCTAATAGAAATGCTTATAATGTTTCATTTTTAAGTGATATGTTCACTATTGATTTCTGGCATATGTCTTTGTCACATTAAGGAATTTTTCTCCTCCTAGTTTACTGAAGAGCTGATAGTTCTCCACATTTCCGGAGTTCACTCATGAACGTGCCCAGACTGGCCGCAAGCCCCCTCTCACTGCGGTGCTTTGCTGTGCTGTGGTCTCCACTGGGATATGCTTCCAGCATCTCCACCACTGCCCACCAGTGTCTCCTCTGCTCCAAGCTTTCCTTGACCTGCTTCCTGTGCTAGCCCTGTCATCCCTCTTCTGCTTACTTTGTAACTGTTTTCGGAAGTATCTGACTTTGTATAAGACTGCAAAGTCCTAGAACCCAGGTCCTTAACTATTCACCATTGGGTTCCAAATGCCCAAGACCCTGATATGTGTGCAGTAGAAACTCAGTGAAAATCGTTTTAATAAATGAACAAATGAAGGAGTCATTGATAAGTTTTCTATGGATAATACAACAAGTAGGTGATTCCTCTGAACTGGATAATACTTTATTATTATTACTATTATTATTATTTTGATAGAGAGGGTGTTTCACTATGTTGCCCAGGCTGATCTTGAACTCCTGGCCCCAAGTGATCTGTCCACCTCGGCCTCCCAAAGTGCTGGGATTACAGACATAACCCACTGCATCTGGCCTACTTTATTATTTTGTGTAATTACTTTCTCTGCTTCTTCCATTTTGTCTTTGTTTTTGTTAGGACATGGTCCTTTTAAAATATGCCAGCTATTTGAAAAGAAAGAAAAATTAACAAAAAGTTACATTTACTGTGTTAAATCTTGGTAGCCAAATATCTTTTGTCATTACTTATCAAAGCTTAGGAGAAGTTACCCTTGAATATTAAAATGTAGTTTATAAAAAATTTATATTAAAATTTTTATATTAAACAATTTATAAATTGTATAAATATATATGAAATGCTTAAATTGTGTTTCCTGTTCAGGGAATAACTATTCGACCACTGGTGGAGTTTCTTGATGTCAAGAGGTCCAATAAGAAACAACAAGCTGTCAGTGAAGAAATCTATTGTCGGGTAGGTGTTAAGAGAGTGTAATAATTTTAATGATAAAGGAAAAATATTTGAATCAGTCAAACAGCTTGGTACCACGTTGTCCATTTCCTGAAGAAGAAGGGAATGGCAGGGTGAGAGGGAGGAGGGCCTGAAGAAGGTATTTGCTGGGGGAGTATAGAATAGATATGGCCCCACGGTAACTTCTCCAGGTTAGCTTACTAAACTCCTGCATGAGTAGAGAGACAAGAAGTCCCCTCTTCTTACTTCCTTTAGCCTGGAAATGTTCCTACTGGGAAATTATTACCATATTTCATACTTTTCAAAATTATTAACAAACTTATAGGTGAGCAAAATAATCGAAGACTTACCTAATACTGATGTGACAAACACTTCATCAGTTTGTTTGAAAATGAACTGTTTTATTGCTTTTGGTAATAAATAATAAACAAATAAGAAGCAAAAGCCATGAAGGTCTTTGGAGTTTAGAAATGATACAAGTAGAGTGAAAATTATTGATTTCAGGTAAAGACTAATCAATTTGCCTGCTTTTTCTGTTTTAGTTGTTTGATCATGTGAAGACTGGAATTGAAGATGTTTGTGGACATTGGGGTCACAACTTTTGGAGAGACAAGTAAGAAGGTCTTATGCCATTGGGTTATGAAGTGGCCCAGGGTCATTCTGAAAGCAGGACTTACTGATTTGTATTATTTTTTAATTGGAAATCTTTCCTGTGTTGTACCATAGTATGTCCTCTAAGATAAAGTTCAGCTATAACAGAGATGTGGAATAATAGTAGCTTAAACAAGGTAAAAGCTTATTTCCCTCTTCTGTAAATAGCCAGAGATAGGCAATTTAGGTTTAACAGATGAGGTTTACTCCAAGACTCCCCCAGGGTCCGAGGACTGTCTGTCTAGTCGATCCACTAAGAGTAGCCTTCATTTCCAAGGTTGCCTCTTGAACCACAATGGCTGCATCAATATTAGCCATTAGAGGCAGCAAGAAGGATGAAAGATGATGAGTAGACAAAGCATATGTGTTATTAATAGCTGCCTTCTAACTGAAACCATCAGAAGCTGCCATATGATTCTTCTGATCATTGGCTTGGACTCAGTCCTATGGCCATTCCTGTCTGCAAAGCAGGCTGAGGAATGCAATCTATTTGGCTGAAAACTAGGGCTTCCATTACTATCCATTTTGCCACACATGGTGGGAGACTTTGTCAAATGCAGAGATTCAGACCATCTAAGGATGTAAACAGATGAGCAGAAATAACGTGTATATATATATAATATATATTATATATATATTATATATATATTATATATATATATAATATATATATAAAAAGCTAAAATTATCTGAAAAATTACATACATTTATATAAATGCACATACCTACAGGCACACAGAGTTTACCATTCTGTAAAAGGCTCTGTGTTGGATAAATACAATTCAATACTGGTCTTCAAGGATCTTAAAGTTGAAGTGGAAAAGGTAGACCAGACAGGCAGAATTAGATGTATGCTTTAATATAAACTGAGAAACAGCATTATGGGTCAAGAAATTTGGTTCAATTCTGACAGCAGAGCTAGGAGCAGTGGGGTACAGGAGCCAGCCCCCACTTGCTAGTGGGAGCTCATCACGTACCTCTCTTCCTGACTGCACATTTGGCACTGTCCAGAGTGGTTGCTTGAATCAGGGCTTATATCATGGAACTGACAAATGCTACAAATCAAGGCCCTTTTTTTTCATAGAGAAATTTGTTAAACATTTATTAGCATATCACTGGCTAGGCGAGACTTTGGAAGGCAGCATTTAAGCTAATCCCTGAAGACAGAAGAACACGTTTTAAACTATATTTGGTAGATCCCTCTTGTTTTATTTTTCCTAACTTGCTAACAGAATTTTTTTTCCCTCCACTGCTAATTTACATGAAATTGACCAACCTACCAATGTCTGCAACTTAACACAAGGGAATTTTTTAGTGTTTCCTGTTTGCTCATATATGCTGGCATAATATTGGGCTACATAAGAAGTATAAGCCATAGACTCAGGCCTCTGAAATTCTGTAGTATCACAGACACAACAAAACCGTCACACAGCAAGCAGACTCCTGTGTGTGTGTATATATGGGTGTGTGAGAGAGAGACCATTAGGGAATATAATGAGTGACAAAGACATTCAGTGCTAGAACAACCTTTACAAGCTTTACAACACTGTTTACTACTGTAGACAGGGCCCTGGGACTCAGCCTTACCATATAATGAAAGGAAAAAGATTTTGTTTGTATGGAGAGCACGCCCAATTAGCTACATGGGAACACAAGGTAATAAAATTAAGCAAATTATATTCTCCATTGTAAAACTATTTTTTAAATGGCCATTTCTCAGGGGAAGTATTCCCTTTTCTGGAGGCAGGTGGTAGACCAGAGATCCTATACATCTACCCTATGACTCTGGGACATTCCTAGCATGAGGGAGTCCCCATCTGTGCTAAGCCAGTAGAACAGAACTTTTTGCCTCTCTTCTCCACTGTTTTCATAGTAATGCCTATTTTCTGCCTACCTTGTTCCTTTCAACTCAACTACTATCCTCCCTTTCCCTAGCATCCCCTCAGTACTTTTCTGAAATGACATATGAGAGGCGTAACCCAGAACAGCTGGTTCCCCTTCCAAAGTGAGTGTTAGGTTCAAGATATCTAGTGCTCCTCTGCCTCCCAAATGGGGGAATATAGATCGGCCTCACACAGTAATGAGGCCACCTGGTCCTGGGGCACTGTCAGAAGAGGTAGATGCTGTGGTCACTTGGGTTTGGCCTGGAACTCAGGAGAAGAAATGTCAGAGAAAGTCTGGCTACGTCTGTCTTTCAGGCAGAGACATTATCTCTGGAGTCCATGAATCTGCCCTAAGCACACATCCAAAGGCTGCCAGATTAATTGGCTGTAAGTCCTAAAGATGGGAGAGCCAACCTTGCTCCATGCCTGAAAGGTAATGTTACATGGCTAGCATTTGCCACTGCAGTGGATACACTTATTTTAATAATTTTGTAAGTATTGATATATTTCCACGCACAACTTTTTTTCCAGGAAAATTTCAAAGTTTCAGCACCACATCCCCCCGCACCTACTTCCCTGCTCTACCTATGATATACAGTGTCATAGACATCATAGATGCTGTATATCACAGGTAGAGCAGGGAAGTGGGTGCGGGGGGATGTGGTGCTGACACAAGACTTCTTAAAACTGTGTTCTGCTGAGATCACATCCTTGGTGATTGTTAATGTTACTAAAAATCAGCATCAAAAAGAAGCGATTGTTTCAGGCATGTTGGGTGTCTTCCCTTTTCTCTGGAATCCTTATGCTGTGGATTTCCAGTGGTTCTGCCAGAGAATTCTTGAGGCATTTGATCCTTTGAGAATGAAACGAAGGGTGATACAGTAGGGACCCTTCTCACTCTTGGCACAAGCAGTCTAATGATGGTGAAATAGAATGCCTATGTGTAGCTTAGCAGAGAAATGAAAGGTGTGGAAATGAAGCAAGGAAAACGCACTATCCCTACACGAAATAGAGCAGATGCCATTGTTCTTGGTGCTTGTTCTTCCTTTTACTCTCTCTAGTGAAAAGCTAAAACAACAATAATAATAAAAGAAGTTTTAAAAGATGTGTTGCTGTCAGGAGTCCTGGTCCAATGGGCCTAACATAAAACTCCAATTAAAAGTAGAGAAAAGTAAACCCAGTCCTTAGTGTAGTGGCCAGCCAAAAACCAAGCACATTCAGGATGGCTCTTCTTTAATTATTCAGAGCCCTCTAGTATTTAGAACAAAGGACTATCAACAAGAATGTAGGTTAACATCGATTCCTTCCACGGCACAGGTGTGTCTATAAACCTCCTTGGGCTTGTGGTGATCACGTAGTACACTTATTTCTTTCTCAACAAATATTTATTGCATGCTGCTTCACTTATGTATTGGCATAATAATGTTGTATAACAAACCATCCCCAAAACTCAGCTGCTCAGAACACGTCATTATTATTAAAGTGCATGAGTCAAGAGGCTGATTGGGGTTGGGCTTGGCCAGTTGGGGCCAGGCTTGTTCATGTGCTCCAGTGGGTTGGCTGGCTGCCAGCTGATTCTGGCTAGATCTATCTGGTGTGATTGGAGTGAGGTGACTCTGCTCCATGTGACAGTCACCTTTGTCCTCGGACTAAGGAGCCACTCTGCATATCCTTCTAATAGTGATTGTTGAAGCACAAGAGGTAAGCCTCCATGTGCAAGCCCAGGTTAAGCCACTGTTTCTTTCATTGTGTCTGCTAATAGCCCACTGACCAAAGCAAGGAACATTATTGAGCACGCTGGCAAGGAACAGGGCAAAGCAAGTCATCTGTGCCATGATGGAAGGTCATTGCCAAGTAATATGGCAGAGGGTGTGGATACAGGGAGGACTTGGGACCAAATGATTCATTCTACCACACGTGCTTACAGTGTGCCAGGCACTGGTGACACAGAAAAAAAAATCTCTGCCCATGTAGACCTTACATTCTGTGCTAGGAGACAGAAAGTAAGACAAGTAAATTGTATGTCATGCTAGAAAGTGATAACTACTATGGGGAAAAATACATCTGGGCAGCGAGATGGGGACTGCTGGGGGAGGAAGGTTGTGTGCAATTCTAACAGGATGGATAGGAAGGGCACTTGTGAGAAAATGATTGTCAAGGAAAGACTTAAAAGAAGTGTAAAAAGTGAGCCCTGAAGGTATCTGGGGGAAAAGGATTCCTAGTAGAAGGAATAGTAAGTATAAAGACTCAGACATGGGAGCACTGCTGGTAAGTCTTTAAGATAGGAAGGACACCAGTGACGCTGCAGCTAAGGAAGAGGGGCACAGTACCAAGAGGGCCAGATCCAGATTGTGTAGGAAGTCACAGACCATTGTACTTGTACCCAAGGAAGATGCAGGACAGTTACATCATTAGACATATTTTTAACGGGAGCACTTGGGCTTCTGTAGGAATGCAATGGTGGAAGCAGGAATGCCAATTTGGTGCTCACTACAAGAATCCGAGAGAGAATGATGTCTTGGACCTGGGTGATAGCATTAGATGAGGTGGGAGATGGCTGGATTTTGTATGTATTTTGATGTGGAACCAACAGAAATTGCTGATGGCGCAAAGATTTGGAGTACTAGTCTGCTAGGGCTGCCATAACCAAAGTACCACAGATTGAGTGGCTCAACAGAAATGAATTGTCTCATAATCCTGGGGGCTAGAAGTCAGACAGCAAGGTGTCAGCAGGGCTCATTTCTTCTGAGGGCCACGAGGGAAGGTTCTGTTCTACGCCCCTCTGCTTGGCTTGTAGATGGCTGTCTTCTCCCTGCCTCTTCACATCATCTTCCCTCTCTCTGTATGTTTTGGAATCCAAACCTCTTCTTTTTATAAGTACACCAGTCATTTTGGATTTGGGCCCATTTTGATGGCCTCAACTTAATCACTTCTGTAAACACTAGATCTTCAAATGTGGTCATAGTCTGAGCTACTGGGGATTAGACTTTAACATATGAATTTTTGGCGGGACACAATTCAGCCCATAACATAGAACATGAGAAAAGTAGAAGAATCCAGGATGACACCAGGATTTTTGACCTGGTGGAGTCATCGTTTGCTGAGATGGGAGGACTCTGGCAGAATATCAGTTCAGTTTGAATATGTTAAATTTGGGATGCCCCATAGATATCCAACTGCAGATGTTGAGTAAGTAGCCAAAAGCTCATATCTGGGGTTTGGCCGAGAGGTTGGAGCTGGAGATACAAATCTGGGGGTCATTGGCATAGAGATGCTATTAAAAGCTAGGAGACTGGGCAAGATGGTGACGGGAGTGAGTGGCGGTATGAAAGAGGATTAAGAACCGAGGCCCAGAGCACTCCTACATTAACAGGTCAAAAGAAGAAAACAAAACTGAGAGGGAGGGTGAGAAGGAGGTTGGGGTACCCCAGGGTGGTGTCCTGGAAGCCAAATGAAGACAATAGTTTACACAAGTGAGGGCAGGAAAGATGAGGATTCATAATTGCCCACTGCAGTTATATCATGAGGTTCACAGACCACTTTGATAAGAGTAGCTTTAATGGAGTATTGAGGCAATGTGAATGTTCAAGAGAGAATCAGAGGAGAGGAATTGGGGAAAACAAACAGTGATAACGTTTCTGAGCAATTTCGCTAAAAGCAGAAGTAGAGAAATGGTAAAGACAGAAACATGTATTTTAATCTGTAATTAATGAATACTAGATTTATGTGCATCAGGGTCATATACAAAAATGTAGCAGTATGTGTCATATATACATATATGTGTATGTGTATGTATATATACATATGTATACATACACATACATATACATACGCATACACATATATACATATATACACATACACATATACATATATACAGGTAGGCACATACTAAATATATAAAATGACCAGATTAGCTAAATGCTGCTACTAAGTATTTTCCTGGGAATGGCAGAAATGACTTCATTGGTAAAAACAACAACTATTTTCTTAGTCAATCCAGTATTAATTTATTGAAAGTTTCTTTATTTACAGGTTTAAGAAGTTTGATGATAAATATCTGCGGAAGCTTTTGATTCGGGAAAACCAACCAAAGTCAAGTATTGTATCTTTATATAAAAAGCTTGAAATAAAACATGCCATTGAGATGGCAGAGACTGGGATGATAAGTACTGTCCCTACATTTGCATCTCTAAAGTAAGTATGGTCTTGCAAATAAAAGTTAGTATTGTTAAATAGGCATTGATAGTATTTTGAAACTGGTAATAATAATTTTAAAAAAATTATTATTAATTGATCCGCCCCCCTCGGCCTCCCAGAGTGCTGGGATTACAGGCATGAGCCACTGTGCCCAGCTGCAAATACTGAATCATTTTTCTATGGGGACATAAAGGTTAGGTTCCTTTGAGCCTGTGGTCACAAAATTTTCATCAGCCAATCAATATGTAACCTATTTTATGTATGTTTATGTTTACAGACACCTTATTTAATATATATTGCTAATTCATTAACATTGAATTGATGGTCAAGAACACTATAAATTCATGTATGATCAAGCTTAGTTAACAAATTTTCTCCATAAGGCACATCACAGGGTTCTTGTGCTTGGGAACTCTAGACAGCACTTCAGCAATGCCTGGGGGCCATTTAAAGCAGCAGAACCACCAATAAATAACATAAAAATATTAAAAAATCATGTCACTAAATAGACTGTGAGAAGGACATTATTTATAGTATGAGAGTGGAAACAAGAAAGCAGATGTCTCCTTGTTCAACATCTTCAGGGAAACTGTGTCAAGTGACTCAAATTTTTTGTCACTCTCCATATGTCTGAGAATAACTGCAAAAATACTGAAATTCTGATATTGGGTTTATAAATCAATATTAGCAAGTAGGTGAGGTGAGTTCATGATTATGGAACCCACAAATGAGGATTGACTGGATATACATACATGTTATAAATGGTGTGTTTGCAAATATTTATGATGAGGTTTTTAAAATATGAAAACTTAATGGTAAATTGAAGTCAATTAGGTTTCTGTTGGAGAAAACTATTCTATTTTACTTTATTTATGGAGTGTTAGAAATAATAAAGTGAGGTAGCATTATAAGCCATTGTAGTTTTTCTTCCCTGAAAACATAATGACATGAATAGATTCTGAAAACTTGTGAATTGTTAAACTTGCCATGAATGATTTTGAAACTGAAATAAGAGTCACAGAATTTGGAATTATTTTAAGTTATTGAATAATCCCTAAGTGCTATTTTTACAAATTAAGACTTGTCTTAAATACTTATATCTCTAAGGAAGAAAATCAATGATTCTAATATTTGTTGAAAGGTAAAATATTCTTTTTCTAAACTTTCACAGTGATTGTCGTGAAGAAAAAATAAGGAAGGTCACGTCCAGTGAAACTGATGAAATTCGAGAACTCTTATCAAGAAATCTCTATCAAATCCGTCAGCGAGTAAGAATAATTTATGTAGCAAAATATTTACTTACCTTTGGCTAACAGGATGCCTTCTGGTTTTGTGCTGTAACTGGAGGCTGCATCTTGACACTGGGCTCAGCAGGTCCCATGCTGGGCATCTTCTCTCCTTCTGCTTCTCTCCATCCCTCTTCAGGGTCCTACTATCCTCCTGGACACCATGGCTGAAGCCTTGGGGTCCCCTGGGAGTTCTGCTGCTGTGGGCTTGGATACAAAGAAATACACGTTGACTAATTTTAAAGAAATGAATTGATTGCTGTTTGTTTTAAAGAAATAGTTTTATAGCTTAGACTTTAAAAATGGACCTCACCCTCCTTGTTATTTATAAAGTGCTATAGTTTCTTCTCTTCTGAGCCACTTCTTTCACTTCGTTTCCATTGTTAGCACCTTATTCTAATAATTTGCTAACAACACAGCTACAGAGTAGAGAGTGTCCTCAATTTTCCAAGCCCCATTTCAGTGTGTTGCATGCATTAACTCATTTAATCCTCCAGTGAGTGGTAGGTGTTACTGTTGTCGCCATTTCACAGATAAAGAAATTGAGGCACAGGGAGGTGAAGTGGCACACGGGCCACACAGCTTGTCAGGAGTCCTCCTTGCTCATGTGGGGGCTGTTTCAGCAGCTTCTTAGCTGGTGTCCCCATAAGGTGTCCCCATTTCATCCACGTGACTCTTACCTGACCCTTTTTCCTACAGTACCTTTTAATTTAAAATGAAACAAAACATTAGTTGTGGCTCCCAAGCTAAACTATTCGTTGAAAATTTGGACTCTATTTCCAAGTTCCACTTTATCCAACCATATTTCCACATCTGCCTCACCCATCTGCTCCCTGAAACACCCAGGGAGTGAGAGGTTCTGTTTTCGTTCTTTGGCCCAGGTAGCTTTCTCGCTGTCCCCTGGGAGCATCTCACACCTTCCTGTCAGCTGGTCAAAAGCCTCCAGTTTTTAAGGCTCCCCCAACAGCCACCATATTATTCCCATCCTTGTGGTTAAATGGAATAGCACTTGGAGCTTATACTGTACCATGTAGATACAGCACTTATTTCCATGATTTTGCATAATTTTGTTAGCCTTAGATGCTCAGTGAGATGGTAAACTGCTCAAGGCAGGAATGAAGCCTTGTTCTGTGTTATGTTTGCATCTCTCAATAGAACCTAATATATTTCTGGACACAGGGATATTCCCAAGAAGTACATGTTTATTCTATCAGAAATGAATTTAATTATTATTTATGATTTAGGAAACACATTTCTATATAGCCTATAAAACTAAAAGTGGATTCCATGTACAGCCCTAGTTTAGAAATTTTACTTTTCAAACACTGGGATGTAATCATTGTGGGGAGTGTCACCAGCTCTCTTCATGTAACAACCCAGTTGAAAAAAGGGAATGTGCTGAAGTTAATCAGAAGGGCATGGCACCACCAAGTGGCTCAAAGTGGTTTGTTTTTAATGTCAGTAATTCCTATTCAAAACAGACTGTAGGATGGTGGCTTGTATTTTATTTCCAGATATTCATGATGGCTAAATACCTACAAGAGGCTTCAAGGTAGACATGGCACTTGATGAAATCAATCATTGTTCTCATTTATGAAAATCACACTTTTCAATGAAAAACAAACCTTATGATCTGACTTTTATTAAAGGATGAACTATGTGGCACATACCTGTAATAACAACTTGGAAGGCTGAGGTGGGAAAGTTGCTTGAGCCCAGGAGTTGGAGGCTGCAGTGAGTTATGAGTGCCACTGCATTCCAGCCTGAGTGACAGATCAAGACCCCAACTCTAAAAAAAAGAAAAATAAAAAAACACAAAATGAAAAGAAAATATAAATTCTTTGAAGATCTGAAGACTGTTAACTTTTATACTGTTAATTTAATTTTTTGCTCTGCACAGAAGTTATAAGTGCTTAGCTGAGGTGCAGATCCAAAGAAATGTGGTAAAGTCTTGGAATTTCTGGGGGAAATGATCAGGTTTTTGTTTTTGTTTTTTAATGTCCTCTATATGTTTTCATTCCAGACTTTATCCTACAACAGACACAGTCTGACAGCCGACACAAGTGAGAGACAAGCCAAGGAGATTCTGATTCGCCGGCGACACAGTTTGCGAGAAAGCATTAGGAAGGACAGCAGCTTGAATCGAGAACACAGGGTAACTGAGTGTGCGCCTCTAGGAGACTTCCAGGGGTGGAGCCGACAGCTATTCCATTGATCAGCTGATGGTATCATCAGCTCTGCAGATCAAGTGGCTGTTGACAGTTCTCTGAGGAGCTGCAGGAAGGCTGGGGTGGCCGGGGGAAGTGAGTGTTCACAGGTATTGTGGCCAGCATTGCCACTAGTTCAAGGAACTGTCAATAGATAAGGAAAGCCATTTAAAAACAATATCGTGGGCCGGTCGTGGTGGCTCATGCCTGTAAATGCCAGCACTTTGGGAAGCCGAAGCCGAGGCAGGTGGATTGCCTGAGCTCAGGAGTTCGAGACCAGCCTGGGCAACACGGTGAAACCCCATCTCTACTAAAATACAAAAAAAAAATTAGCTGAATATGGTGGCGTGCGCTTGTAATCCCAGCTTCTTGGGAGACTGAGACAGAAGAATCGCTTGAACCTGGGAGGTGGAGATTGCAGTGAGCCGAGATTGGGCCACTGCACTCCAGCCTGGATGACAGAGCGAGACTCCTTCTCAATAATAACAATAATAATAATATTGTGATATATTGGTTTCACATAGCAAGAATTGAGGCTTATTTTTAATAATATCCTATATTGGGTTGTCAGAAATCAAAATGGTTATATGTGAACAAGGAGTTATTTTATGTGTAAAATGTAGCAGTGTTAATTAAAAGTTAATTTAAAACACTAGCGACTGCGGTATTTGAAATGCCAGTAAATTAGCTGTAGTAATACTTTTTGTTCTATTAATATCATTTTTAAGATATATTAAAGTGAAAAAAAAAACACCTTACATATATATATTGTAAACATATCTTCTTCCCCATACATGTAGGTTCTAAGTCTTTCTGGCAGTACTTTTATACATAGATGTTTCAGTAGCTTTTCTTTGAGAAGACCCAGTGGTTTTCATATTTGTTTCTAATTTATTTCCCACTTATTCCTATTTCCCTTTGTAGAGATCTCCATTCCATTCTGGAAGGGATTTAATTATTTCAAGTTATAATAGTTATAGCCCCTCACAAAGTAATTTTGGAATCAGAAATTAAAATTCTGATTTTTAACATGAAGTTTTGCTATACAATTTTTAATCTTTAATATACAATAAGTGCCATTTGTATAGTTTAAGTAAGATTTTATATTTCTTTTACAGGCTTCCACTTCAACCTCCCGATATTTATCCTTACCTAAAAATACGAAGCTTCCAGAAAAGCTACAAAAGAGGAGGACTATTTCTATTGCAGGTAGTGAATATAGTTGGAGCAGAAAAATTTTAAATTTATTTGCCAATGTTTATAAACTAGACAAATTTTCCTATTATTTTTCTTCATTAAGAATGAGTTCCGGCCGGGCGCGGTGGCTCACGCCTGTAATCCCAGCACTTTGGGAGGCCGAGGCGGGTGGATCACGAGGTCAGGAGATCGAGACCATCCTGGCTAACAAGGTGAAACCCCGTCTCTACTGAAAATACAAAAAATTAGCCGGGCGCGGTGGCGGGCGCCTGTAGTCCCAGCTACTCGGGAGGCTGAGGCAGGAGAATGGCGTGAACCCAGGAAGCGGAGCTTGCAGTGAGCCGAGATTGCGCCATTGCAGTCCGCAGTCCGGCCTGGGCAACAGAGCGAGACTCCGTCTCAAAAAAAAAAAAAAAAAAAAAAGAAAAAAAAAAAAAGAATGAGTTCCAATGAGAACACTTGGACACAGGAAGGGGAACATCACACGCCAGGGCCTGTTGTGGGGTCGGGGGAGTGGGGAGGGATAGCATTAGGAGATATACCTAATGTAAATGGCGAGTTCATGGGTGCAGCACACCAACATGGCACATGTATACATATGTAACAAACCTGCACATTGTGCACATGTACCCTAAAACTTAAAGTATAATAATAATTTAAAAAAAAGAATGAGTTCAAGAGTTTGCAAATCTAAAATAATAACTGGGTGAATTTTAATTCGCATTGCAACCTTTTGGAATGGCATTCTGTGCAGATTCTAAAGAATCCAATCAGTTATTTTCCAGCAAATATTGTCATCATGGGGCCCAAGGGCAGGTAAACAAAAAGTTGTAAGTCTGCAAATGTTTAAGTAATTAAATTTTTACAGTAATTCTAATATATTTTCATGAAAGCAGCCATATATTTATTCTGGCTATAACTATAAAGCTTTGTTATAATGTCTAATATCTTTTTAATGTGATGGTTATCTTTATGTAGACACCGAAGCCATTGTCTGTGAACCCCAGAAGAACTATATTAGGATTTCATGTTATTAAAATGTGGGATGTCTAAGGGAATTAATGCAGAAATAGAAAACCAAATACCATATATTTTCACTTACAAGTGTGAGCTAAACATTAGATACACAGGACACAAAGGCGGGAAAAATAAACACTAGGGATTTCAAAAGAGGGGAGATAGGGAGCTGGGCAAGGGGCAAGGGTTGAAAAATTACCCATTGGTACTATGCTCACTACTTGGGTGATGGGATTATTACAAGCCCAAACATTAGCACCATGCAATATACCCATGTAACAAATCTGCACATGTACCCCTAGAATCTAAAATAAAATTTTCTTTAAATGTGGGATGGAAAAATCATTACCCCTCTTTTTTTATTTTTTTTTTTTTGCTTGTTTATTTAATTAACTGAGAAGAGGGAAACCTAAATGATGGCTGGTGGTAAAGGAGTGTGAGGTGAGAATAATAGGGGGAAGACAAGGCAGCACTGAATATTTAGAACAGTGGCCCGTGGTCCCACCAGCAAACATGTTCTCAGTTCCCAAGAATCTCAACTCCTGGACAAGCATTTTGTTCACTGCCCTACCCGTAGCACTCTAGCACCTGAATCTGCTTCCAAAGCTGTCTCCTCCCTTTGTTTGCAAAGGGTTTTCGCCCTTTTGTGGAAATGTAAAGGAAATCAGCAAAACCATGTTTGAGGTTCCAGATCAAGGCAAGAATCTTCTCCATAGCAGGTGATTATCAGACTGCCTACTGTGTGCCAGATGCCAGGCTGAGCCCTCCTGGGATCATTACTGTGGGGCAGATGAGCACAGCTGCTACTGCCAGAGGGGCTCTGTTGGAATCCCAGCTCCACCATCTACAAATACCTCTTGAACCTAGTTACCCCATCTGTAAAGTAGGTGATTGTGAAGACAAAATGGGCTAATGCATTTGAAAGGACTTAGGACAGTGCCTGGCACACAGTAAGTTCTTCAAAGTTAGCATGAATATATACCTGTGGGTATGGGTGCTCCCAGGGGTTATGTAAGATGCACAAGGCCACTCACCTAAAATTAGCATAAGCCTGCTAGCCTCCCCTCTCCCCAGAGCCCCAGGACGTATCAGTTGCCTGACTCACTAAGGTACTGAAGTTACTTGCAATGCCTTCTCTCTAAAATGCTTGCCCACCTTGTCTTTTGCTCCGTGATAGATGGCAATAGCAGCGACTCAGACGCAGATGCCGGGACCACCGTGCTCAATTTGCAGCCCAGAGCCAGGCGCTTCTTGCCAGAACAGTTCTCCAAGAAATCCCCCCAGTCCTATAAAATGGAATGGAAGAATGAGGTAGATGTTGATTCTGGCCGAGATATGCCCAGCACCCCCCCAACACCCCACAGCAGAGAAAAGGGCACCCAGACGTCAGGCTTACTACAGCAGCCCCTTCTCTCTAAAGACCAGTCTGGCTCAGAGAGGGAAGACAGTTTGACTGAAGGCATCCCGCCCAAGCCGCCACCACGGCTGGTCTGGAGGGCATCGGAACCTGGAAGCCGGAAAGCCCGATTTGGGAGTGAGAAGCCTTAAGAGAAGCAGCGAAAGCAGATCTGAGTGTCTGACCCAGGACAGCTGTGGTTTGTCACTCTGAAACCTGATGCAACAGTGGAATCCATGTAAAACTCTCTGTGCATCTAAATACTTCTGGAGGGCGACAGATTCATGCCACGGATAAATGAGGCAAATCCGAAGAAAAGGAAAATCGAATAAAAAATAGTCCCACAAAATACCTTTTGTGACTAATGGGTAGCAATCGTATTATTTGCTGGCCTGAAGAGAAAAAATGGTAATGTGTGCCTTTATTGAACTTGAATGACAGAACTTGAAATTTTTAACACATCCTTCTTGGTGAAGATTTTAATATATTACTTATATGCTTCAAATTTTATTTATGAAAAAATATGTATATCTGTAATCAGTTGTTAAGTGAATGGCACTAAAAGTATCGAGAACAGCTTTCTTTCCCAGGGGTGAAGGATGGCGCTCGGGGGTGACTCCTAAGCTCAGCGTGGAAGCTTTTCCCTGTCCTGACCCGATGGAGCAGCCGGTAAGTGAAGAGCACAGCTGGAAGCAGAGACACCTTATGACTCAAACTGGGCAAACAATCGGAACGTCATGCAGAAGGAATGGCCTGACTCCTGCAGTGCAGATTGGAGGCCCCAGAACTCCTATGAACTACTGAGAGTCTACTGGTTTTTAACTTGTTCCTCTGTCTACTGTGTGTTTGGGGGTGACATCTAAATTCCATTTCTTCTTCTTGTTTAAATGGTGCAGAGAGAAAGGTTGCCCAGACATCCACCAGCTTACTGTGTTGACAGATTTGGGAGCAGCTTTTGATGAAGTTCCACCCATGAGGGTCCATGTGGCAAGTAGGGCCACAGGGCAGCACCTGGTTACAACTTGCTGGTGGGTTTTATGTTGTGCAATACTAGGAGGAGGAGGCAGGTGATCTATGCTGATCTATGATCACCTGCTTCAGTAGAATTTTTCTGTAGAGTGTTGTTTGAATTTTGAGCCTCCAGGTTAGAGGCTCCAAGCAGACAAAGAAGAAAGTTTGTAGACACAATATTCTAACATTGCACAAGTTGATGAGATATCAAGTTTTGAATATTATTCAGGAAGCACTTTGGAGAATGTGGGAGTCCTACTGTTTTGCACTAGTCTGTAATTTGTTACCTCTCCCCATTCGATAATATAGTAACTCAGAATTTTCATATAAAATTGAATTCTACTCATTAGAGTACTTTTTAAAAGTACAGCAGAAAGAAAAGAAGTGGAACATAAGCATTCAAGATTAATATTTGATTCTCTATCTCTTAACTGTAGATTTTATTGGCCTGTTTTTTTTTTCTAAATAATTCTTTAAAACTTGACTGGAACATGCCTCTGCATTTCTGAGTGTAGAAATTAAATGAAGCCACTCACAGTCCTTTGATTTCCCACTGAAGATACCCCAAAGGATGCAAGTGCCTACAGTATTATCAGGAGGAGAACATGAAAATATTAAGACAAAAATCCTCAGCAGTTGTTCTCCACCCCTTCTCCACCTCCACCAGCAAGGAGAAGTCAATCTACACTTTTTTCTCATGTTCTAAAGTCTTAGAATACTGCTGGATTGTTGAGCATGAGACAGAGCAAAGGTTAGATACACAAGGTACAAGTTCATAGGAGCACAATTCCTTGATTCAGGGAAAGTAGCACAGAATGCAATTTGAAAACTACAGGCTTAGGACTCTGTGCCAAAAATCTCTATTTTAAATGAAAATATTTATATAAAAATACATTTATTCTGCTTAACACAAATTAAAACTGACATAAAATTTTATGATAATAACATGATTCAAGAAATGTGATGTAGATTTTTGAGAATGCCAAAAATCAGGTTTCAGAAAAGCTACAGTATGAAATCTGAAAAGCAACAGAAATTGAAAGTGACCTTAAAGAATAAATTTCCTAATTTTTCCCAGTTTCCTATGTTTATAACTATTATAAAGAGTTTAACTTTCTGGAACTGAAGGAGAAAACATGAAAATGTTTATATTGCTTCTTGTTAAGCAGGTAGACCAAATTCCGCTTTCAGTAATTCATCCATACAGAATTTGGATGACTATGTATAAAGGAAAACTTAAATCTTAATTATTATCAGTTTAAATTTTTTTTGTTTGTTGAATGACAAAGGCAATAAAAATAAATTTGACTTTAGCTTTTTTTCTATACTTTCCTCTTTTTGTAATTCTTAAATTCTAGTCACTAGTCATTATGAGAGTATTGACTAAATATTTTCACAATCTAAATATTGTCACAATCTAAATTTCTGTAGTAGAGAGAGCCGTAGCCCTTTGTAAAGGCTTTCGTTCGTCCAAACAACACTTGATCCAACCAAAGTTCCAATGTGACTGTGGATCTTTGATAGGTCTTTGGTGTTGGTTGTAACAAAATTTGATTTGAACTACCTATAAATGAAAAGTCGGGGTTTATTACTTTATATGTAATGCTGAGAGGAGACTGTTGGGAACAGTTATGTCAATGAGCAAACTAGAAATTGGCTTCAAAGTCTAATACTTTTAAAAGCATGTGTTTTGTGTATATGCTCACAAAATGTCTGTGAAGAGATTTCTTTCAGCTTTTGCTCAGCTTTATGGTGGGGTGTACTGTTTTATCTGGGCGGTGAGGGTATTGATTTACATAAAAACTGTAGACAAACACAGTACGAGTCTCAGCACGTTTTGCATTTATTGTACTGCCCAAATTGTTTTTATGTTAAAAGTCACGTTTCATAATCTGCAATATTTTTGTCAAAGTGCACACTGTACTTTCTTCTTAAAAACGTGATTAAAGAGATCACTTTGTCCGGATGAAGCAGCTGTTGGCATTATCCGCTGAGGCTTGAACACCACGTGCTGATTCTCTCATCAATCTGAAAAATAACACTCGTGGCTCAGAACACACAAGGTTAAAGTGTGTGGCGCACTGCTACTTTTTATCTCACTTTTTAACCAACCCTTTCTTCAACCCTCTTCTAAGGAAAGCAGAAGTCCCCTTTGGGTACCAGCTGTGTGGCATAACCATGGCTCCTTGTCCCTGACAGATGACACCTTCCTTTAGAATCCACCAGCATCATCCACTCTGCGTCTAGCTGACACCCTCAGACAGGGATCAGCCACCCTGGGGCGTGCAGGTCAAATATGCAGATGGGGACTTTGCAGACCACTTCAGTGTCACGCTGGCACATCATTTTTGATCCTTTTTCCTTTTTAAACTTCCTGCACCTTTTCAGATAAAATCATATTTTACTATGTATAGCTAATAAATCGTAGTTTTGTTCTCTTAATCGCATGGTCAGGAAATGAGTTTTTCTAGGTGTAGAGTTAACCTGTCTACTGTGAATGGATTATTATCAACTTTTCAATCTACACAGCATAGAGATTATTTTGATGGCTCAGAACATACGTCAAGAACTTTCAGTATGTGCAGAGGTTGTATGGGAATCTGTTGTTCTCCTACTGGAGGGTACGGAAATGTCACTCCATGAGATGCCCAGCAGACAGAATACCAGATACAGAGGCTGTGATTTTTCTGATTTCTGGAACAAAACATCTTGAATTAAAAATTCAGACATTTTAATCCTTTTTTATTTTATTGGCTCCTGCTGAGTCATAAGTATGACTGGAGACTAAATTTCTAATTTAGATGAAGCTCTTTGTATCCACTTAGGATAACCCTGCTTACCAAACAAATTTTGTATATGTACACGGACAAAGGAAATTTTTCCTTGTTTCTATGAAAAATCTTACCAAAGTTTAAATATTAAATCACATGTAAACCTTTAATCACTTATGGAGAAAATAGTACATACATGAAAACAGAACAGTCCCAGTTTTTGTATTTGTGTATGAAACCACTCTCATTTATGTTGAATGGGATTGTGATGGCTAGAATTCTTCAAAGGTAAGAGCTTCAGAGTATTGAAAATTTCAATTCTATTAATTCCAAATACATATATCTCAGACTAGGCTAACTCTATTACAGTGTAATAGAACGTGATTAGAGGAATAAACATTTTAATTGGTGCATTAATTTTTATATCTAAAAAGGCTCTGCAAAAGGGCTCAAAAATGGTGTATGCTTTTAAATATTAAATACGGCCTTCCCATGCAAACGTAAAGAAAAGAAGTTAATTCCAATTATTGCCTTAATAATTTTTAAAGATTATGCAAAGATGTGTATTAACACATCAAATTTTAGGTTTCCATGAATACATAGTTTGGCATCTGATTAATAAATAATAGATTTGCTACCATAACTATGTCTTACTATTGAACCTTTAGTTTAAGTCCTGACCTTTAGCTAGAAAGTTATTTTGAATGGCAGTAACAGTTCATCATGCTTTCAGTGCTATTCACTCCAAAGAGATGCACAGTGAAGGTACTTTGAAGGTGCCCCAAAGAAAATGCTCACCCTTGTCAGTGACGTCACAGACTGGGCCTGACAGATGTTAGGCTTTGAGATGGCCAGGCCTATGCTTCAGCCCCACAGAACAGACTACTTAAGGCAAACACCTACCAAGTCGCATACATACAGCCCCACAAGGGTCCAGCCCGAGTCAGCGGCAGAACACCTTTATTAGGTTTGCTTTGGATATTTCATGTGGTTTCAATTTCATTAAGCAAACTTGGGACAGGTTTAGGTAGGTAAGCTATCACACAAAAAACTAGTTCTGTCTGGATAAGAGGCTGTGTCTCAACTACTCAAAATGGCATGGAGATTCTTTGGTAAGCTTGAAGGAAGACTGTCTCCTATCCATGTTATAAGTTGCAATCATTAATAGGTATTTTAACCACTTTCTTCCTCTACAGTGGATGCTTAGAAAAAAGAACTGTATCAAGATGTAGTATAAAGACTGATCAAAATACAATTCTTTGTTCAAACAAGATCCTTACAGTTCATTCTTACGCTGTGTAAGTTATCAGCAATAATTAACACTCCTTCCTTAATGTTTATAATTATCTTCTCCCTGGAAGGAACAATACAAGCTGTGTTAAGTCACTTTTAAAAATAAGAATCAGTGGCCAGGCACCGTTGCTCACGCCTGTAATCCTAGCACTCTGGGAGGCAGAGGTGGGCGGATCGCCTGAGGTCAGGGGTTTGAGACCAGCCTGGCTAACATAGTGAAACCCTGTCTCTACTAAAAATACAAAAATTATCTGGGCGTGGTGGCGCGTGCCTGTAGTCCCAGCAACTCGGGAGGCTGAGGCAGGAGAATTGCTTGAACCCGGAAGCAGAGGTTGCAGTGAGCCAAGATTGTGCCATTGCACTCCAGCCTGAGCAACAGAGTGAGACTCCATCTCATAAATAAACGTTTCTTATAATATACTGAAACAGGAAAACAGAAGTTTTGCTTTTATTGTTTTAGTAGACAGCTATCTATAAAATGGTGTTTAGATACCTGTTTGGGAAAAATGAGAGATCTAAGTATTTGTGCATCTGCTTAACTAGAAATAAATCCTACTGTGAGATGTTACCTTAAAAGTACAGTTGACCCTTCAGCAACACAGAGTTGAACTATACAGGTCCACTTAAACGGGGATTTTCTTCCATCTCTGCCACCCCTAAGACAGCAAGATCAATCCCTTCTTCTCCTCCTCCCCCTCAGCCTACTCAAAATGAAGGTGGCAAGGATGAAGACCCTTATGATTCCATTTCCACTTAATAATATTATTTTTCTTTTTCTTAACATTTTTTCTCTAGCTTACTTCATTGTAAAAATACAGTATATATGTAACACACAAAATACATGTCAGTCGACTATTAATATTGTTGGTAGGGCTTCATGTCAACAGTAAGCTATTAGTAGTAAATTTTTAGAGAGTCAAAAGTTACACTCAAATTTTCTACCGTTTTGGGGGCTTGGCACTCCTAACCCCTGTGTTGTTCAAGGATCAACTGTCCTCTACTTACTGGCCTTCAGTATAAATGTCAGATTACATATATATTTGGTATCTGCATAATGGTTTTAAAAGCCAAAGCCTTGTTTTTAATATTAAGATGTGTTCTAGCATACTGGAGATGACATTTTTCAAAGCACTTCTGGATCCTGAATTGAAATATGTAGCAAGACACATCAGTGACTTCTAAAAATACAACTTATAAGAATAAATGACAGTTCCTCATTACAATTATAAAGTTTTATTTTTGAAGAAAATTATCATGTGACTGGCAAATTCAAGAAAAAAACATTAGAGCTGAAAAAAAGTTATTTTAATCCATCAACCTGTTCCAAGAAAAGCTGCTACACATCATCCTGGCTAAATCTGTGGTAACCCTGTTTTAGAGACTTCTTGAAGGCTACTAGGGGGCAAAGAGGCATGGAGATTCAGTCTCATGGCTTTTATTATGCATTCCAAATAAATAGCTGTTTTCTGAATGCAGTTGCCCAAATGCCTAAAATTTTCTGACTGGACTGATTCTCACTCCTGATAGATTTCTAAATACCTTATAGAAGTGTCTTCAGGAAAAGACGCCAAGCAACCCTTTGAAATTCCTCAAAGCTGCACACTCATCACCTGGGAATTATTCACAACCTCTCCTGCGATTGCCCTGTGGGCCACAACCTCTGCCTGCTGTCCCTGTCCTCGCGACCAGCTCTCCCTCAGGGCCCCCCTAAAGTTACTGCCCCAAAGTCCAGACTACTCCTTGGGCCTCCAGTTAATCCTCCTTGCTGCGGCTAGAGAGCTCTTTCTAAAACAGGAGTGTCTTCACAGCACTTTACCGCAGGAATTCTTCCGTCATTCCCCTTCATCCGTCAATACAATCTCAACCCGAGCATGGCAGCCGAATCCATTCTTGATCTAACTCAGTGATTCCCAACTCCAGATGTTCACAGAAACATCTGTGGTGCTTCAGAGTCTGGTTCCTGTGGTCTAAGGCATGTAGCCAGGATACAGAATCAGTGATTCCAGCTCCTTCTGTTGGCCCCAGGTGCAACTCTTGCAGAATTCACTCCCCAAGGGGCCATCCAGCCTGAGTTTGGAGCCTTGCAGGTGACTCCTGTGACTAGACACACCCTGTACCTTTTCAGAATGTTATTCATCCCTCTAGACATGAGGGCAGAGGCCTACCTTCTGCTCTATGGAACCCAAATCCTGGAGACCTGTTCCCAAGCAGTTATGGCTGGCAGAGTGTTGGAAAGGGTGACACTTCCTTCAAAGACATTTCAGGAAGGTTCAATACTCCTAAAATAAGATTCCATAGAATAGTGAGTTGCACCCTATGAAGATATTTTTGACTTACAAAAATAGCAACTTCATGTGGCTCAACCTGACACACTGGAAAGGGCTACAGAAGTTACTCAAGAGAATTTAAAAAATGAAACACCACAAATGTCAATTGAGCAGATTTAATTTCCCTGAGATTATATTCCATAAGTGATACAAATACTACCCCTTAGACCAGGGGTTTTCAAAGTTTGCTGTGCAAAAAATCAGCTAGGTATCTTATTAAAATGGTCCCCAACATGTCTGAGCTGGAGCTTCAGTGTTCACAGGTCTCAGGTGATGCTGATGCTACTGGTCTCTGGGTCACACTTTAAAGAGGAAGACATTAGATAAAGTAAAAGGAGTCATGAGAAAAGGTGC
Organism: Homo sapiens; assembly: GCF_000001405.40. NCBI lineage: Eukaryota > Metazoa > Chordata > Mammalia > Primates > Hominidae > Homo > Homo sapiens. The sequence goes on from NC_000002.12 coordinate 102,716,094, forward strand.
ACCTAAAAAACATCACATAACAAAATACTAAAGTCACTAGTGGAGAATAACAAACATGTCTCTCTACTCTATATTCTAAGATCAGTCTTTGGTTTTCTATATTTCCATGTGTCTGATTATAAAGACTCATTAAGTTTATGGGCTTTTTAAACTTCAAAAATAAAGTGCTACGATTTTTAAAATAAAAACACGACTATAAGGGCTTTTAAGAAACTTGCCTGTTTCTGAGAGTGAAGGACAATCTTTGAGATCCAAACTCTTCTGAAATTCTATTTCATTGCATAAACCCTCGATTATTTATTGCCTTTTGAGTCTAATCTCCATGAGATTTAATTTGCTCCTTAAGGGCAAGGCCATTTTATATATTAATAATAGTTTGGTCTCCTCGAAAGCACTTAACATTTACATAAAAGTTCACAATTGTAAAACCTAATCAGAAGTCCATTTTTCCTTGCAGCAAGATAGGAAAAAGGACAATCTTCAAACTAAAACATACTTCCAATTATTTATCATAAATATTTGATTTTACTCCATGACTTCTAAAATACAGAAATGTTTACTGCTTTACAAACAATAAATATTAAAGATATGACAAATTACTGTAGCATACTAAAATATTTACAAGTATGCATGTGTTAAGTTGAAAACAGGCATACCATCCTAGTGGACTAATTAAGAAAAGTAAAAGGAATGTGAACTTCAACTGTCTGACAGGAAGCCCTTAAGTAACTGATTAATACTTGATGCAATCCCAATGGTCATCCTGCCTGGCATATGTCTCCCTGCAAGGCTATGTTCACCTTCTGTCTGGGCCTCTGCCTCTCGTGGCCCCCTCGGTGCTGTATATGAAACTTGTTTAGACAAGAAATGGCACATCAAAATATTTCCGTTGATCAACAGAATGCTTGTGTTTGCAGGCGTGAAACTAAAAATAAAGGAAATGATTCTTTTTTTTTTGAGACGGAGTCTCACTCTGTCGCCCAGGCTGGAGAGCAGTGGCACAATCTTGGCTCACCGCAAGCTCCGCCTCCCAGGTTCACGCCATTCTACCTCAGCCTCCCGAATAGCTGGGACTGCAGGCGCCCGCCATCACGCCCGGCTAATTTTTTTTTTGTATTTTTAGTAGAGACGGGGTTTCACCATGTTAGCCAGAATGGTCTCCATCTCCTGACCAAGTGATTCACCTGCCTCAGCCTCCCAAAGTGCTGGGATTACAGGCCTGAGCCACCGAGCCTGGCCAGGAAATGATTCTTAACACAAGACACAGTAGCATCAAGTTCTGGTCTGGCATGACTCCTGACCCTTATTCTGCATAAACTGTTCATTTTTAAAGCATTCCTGTGCTTTGGCTTCACCACTGGGTTCTGTCAGCACCAGAAGGATGCAACCTGACTGGAATGCAGGCTTCCAGGAGCAGGCTGTGGCAACCCCAGCATCTAAGTGGTTTAGTCCAACTTCAGAGCAAGCTGGGCTCTCAGAGGCAGGGAGCACAGGGAACAGGTCCCAGGGGCCCGCTGCTCCATCATGCAGTACAACTGCTGAGAGCTGGGAAAGGTGTAACACACTGTGATTACAAACACAATTTTAAGAGTCCAAATTTAGTTAGCTGTGTAAAAACAGCCAAGCCTATGTACTTTAATCAAAATCAGTGCAGTCTCAGTGTGGTCTTTACTGCCATGAGAAATCGCCAGCAGTGCTTACAAAACACCACGGATTTCTTGGCCCCACCCAGGCCCACTGAATCATCTCTAGGGGTGAGGTCAGTATCTTATTTTTAAGCAGCTTTGAAAAGCGACAGGCTGGTTCTAATAAACCAGCTTCTTCAATCTGCAGGATTTTGATAGAAAACTCCCTCCTAGTGTATGGAATTTAACTGGAAACTCAAGTTCCAGTTGATCAGAATTTGACTGACATGTCACCCTATTTTTCAGTAGGAAAATGCTTGTGGTTTCTTCCCTTCCTCCAGGTATCATGTTCTCTTATTCCACCACCACTTCCCTATCCTGTAGCTGGTAGTTTGTTTACCCTTGAAAATTGTAACCTGATTAGCCCAGGTGGGAAGAAGAGACTTCCAGGTAAACGCTGAATATGCTCACCTTGGAAAAGCTTTGCTCCAGTCTTAACCTTCCCATGAGGTGCCGTGACTTCTGATCATCCTGCAGGCATGGCTGCATGGCCAAGAGCTGACCTGGAAGCCCAACAGCTCACACCCACCCGGAAATATTTCCCTTCCACCCCAACCCTTTCCAAAGTGCCCTTTTCATCATGGCCTCCGGCCCTCATTCAACCATCTCAAATTTTGTTGCTTTATGTTGTCCAAATCCATCTACTCACTTTTTAATTTACTATTCCCATCACCACTAGAGTGTCGCTTGTTTAGAGACATTATGAAAATGGCCACTAAGGCTAACACAGCGCCCAGGCTGGGGGGGCCGCAAGGGCTGACCTCCTGGGCAACCCCCGAGAGGAGAGGGGCGATGATGCGGCCCACTGCAGTCACAGACTGCCCCACGCCAATAAGGGTGCCGCTGGCCTGGGCCCCGCCCACAGTCAGCTGGAGGTCCGTGATGCACGTCCTGCCAATGGCAGTGGAGAAGGACAGGAGAGTGGAGGAGAGGACAACTGCACCCATGGTGGGGGCCAAGGAGTAGAGCAGCAGCAGTGTGCAGGTGAGTATGCTGGAATGCAGCAGCAGTGCCTGCGAGTTGTGCTTGTACAGCCGTAGGATTGGCCCCAGGGCAAGGCCGGCCACGGCCCCCAGCATGCTGCTGTAACTGATGAGGTAGCCTGTCACCTTGGGCCGCACCCCAAAGCGCTCCTCCAGGGCCAGGACAAAGTTACTGTAGTACAGCATGACTGCCATGGCCATCAGCAAGCGCACCAGAAATATGTCCCACATTTCGGAAAACAGCAGGTTCTTCATGTTCCGCAAGGCCAACACTACTTCGACCCAGGGCTGGGCAGTCTTCTTGCTGGCCCTGGCTCTGCGGCTGGTGGCTGCCTCCTGCACTGTGTCATGGCTCCTTCCCAACAGCACATGGGTCTTTCGCAATGGCAGGCCCTTCTCTGTACTGCCCGGTTTTGCTTCCCTCCATGGAAAGAACCAAACGAGACCTGTTAAAATGGCATGAGACCGGTTAAAGCATCTGAATGCACTGAATCCATACACTACCTCCTTGGGGAAGGGCCAATTATTTGTGTTAGATTACTAATCTATATTTTGGTACTAAATTTACTAGTCTGTATTTTTGTATCTAGTCTTTCACCATTCCTATGGCTTTATTCTGACATCAGGATTCTGGCAAAAGACTCTTTGCCTTTAAAAAAGAACACCACGATACCTACAAAATACTCACTGCTTCCTCCCAGCTCAAAAGCCTATGATAGTGTTCTACATCTCATCATTTCATATCTGAATTGTTATAAATTTAAATTCTTCCCTTATTAACTTTCTAATTCTCTGCCTATTCATTATCTGTCTGTCCACGTAACATCCATCCATCTATCCAACCATCTAGACATCCAATATTCATGGAGTGCTTCTTAAGTGCTAAACATAGAAATATATTAACACAGAAAAGGCCTCTGAAAACACTGTACTCAAGACGCTAAAACCTAAAAAGAGGTTCAGATAAGAAAAGAGGCAACCAGACTGCAATATAAGGGCCATGCTGGGGCAAGTGCAGGCTGCCACATATGTGACAGCCTGCCTTGGCTTGACCGATGGGCAGGGACAGCTTGGCCAACTCTCCCTGGGAAGCACCTGCTTGGATCTGCCCCAGGTCAGGGTCATCTAGTGCTTGTGCAGGTCACACCTGCAAAACCTCAGGGGGCACCATTCTCATAGACCACAACATATACAACCTTACGCAGTGGCTCTAACCGCCACTCAGATGATCCCACCTCTGTCCTCATAGGACTAGCACATTCTTGCCTGTTGATCTCTTGCCAATCCATGCCCAAAAGTGTTCTTAAAACTGAATTCAAACTTGCCATTCTAGGACATCCCTCCAAACTCTATCCTACTGTTTTTTAAGTGCTAAAGAGCACTTAAAAGTTCAACTCAGACCAGTGGCTATTCAGTGCTGCTTCATGTTGTTTTCAGCAACTTCATTTGTGTGTCATTTCTCCAAATATTGTATAAGTGCTTCAGCCATAGACAAATTTACAACGGAAAACCAACCACATGAGAATGTGGAGGATGTGGACTTTTAATAATTCAATCTTAAAAGGGCCCTTGAACATTACACAGAATATTGATAAAGATGTGAAAGAATTATTGCTGATGAACTAAAAAAGTAGAATTAAAATAATAAAAATGATGATGATGATGGCAACTAACTTCTGTTGAGTGCTTACTATAAGCAATCCACCCACCTACCCATCCATCTGTCCAACCTTCCAATATTCATGGAGTTCGTAAGTGTGAAACGCTAAGAAAATATTAACAAACAAGACAAGGTCTATGCAATCCTACCTCAGGCTCTGGGGTAAGCTGCTTGTATGCAGAACCTCTTACAGTTCTCATAACAAGGCTATGTGTTTTGTTACCCCATTTTATAGATGAAAAAATGGAAGACAATTTGCCCAAGGGTCACACTAAAAACTGGCAAAGCAGGGATTTGAACCTGAGTCTGTCAGATTCCAGAGTTTGGAGTTCCTAACCATATGAACAGAAATCACAATGAAAAGGCTTTCTCAGGCAAAGTGGCGGATCAGAGGAGGATATAAGAAGCTAACGGAGTAAAAGCGTTGACGAAAACAGCTATAGTCATTCAGGGGTAAAGGATGGCAAGACTGGAATGAGAAAGCAGCATGATGATATGTTCACTGCACTGAATGGCCAAAGCCCTGGGTGGGACAGTATGTGCTGTCTAGCCAGGTCATCCTCCCTCTCCTCCTCTGCTATTCTATTGGCCCCAGCCTGCCTATCCTCAAGTTTCTTATGTTGGAAAAACAAGTCCCTCTTCCTTGAAGCCATTGTAGTTGGGAACACTTGCAGCGGAATGTTTTCCTAACTGCTTAGACCCATTTATAGGCTTAAGATAGGGCAACATATTAAATGGCACTATTGTTGAAGGATCCAAAATAGAATTCCATAACCAATTCCTTTGTTATATGCTGACTTTCAATTTTGAGTGATACCACATTCATGTACCTTCCTTTATATGTGAAGATACCTGGTCACATCAACGAGGCATGTGTTTGAGATTTTTATCTAGGTTTATGTGCACCCCTCCTGATTCAAGTTACAGGCTAAGTAAATTCCTGGCAACAAATCATAATGTATTTCTGTGAGGACTGAGAATAAGCTCATGAACTTTGCTTCCTGGGTCTGACATCCTAACCCAATAAGGAAATCATCATGCAAAAGAGAACCTTGAATATGAAGATTCAAAAAGCTGCAGTAAAGTACAATATCATTAAATGTAAGGAAAACTGCCTAGCATGAATTCTCGTTTATGAAGTCATTTATCCAAGGGCCAGCCATGCACCACTCTCTAAGTGAAGAAGAAGAAAGACATTTTAAGCAACCAGCCCTGCATCCAAGGAGCTCATAGTCCTGTGTGTGTGTGTGTGTGTGTGTGTCTGTGTGTGTGTCTGTATGTATATATGTATGTCTTTATTTGAGACAGGATCTCACTCTGTCACCCAGGCTGGAATGCCGTGGTGTGATCACGGCTCACTGTAGTTTTGACCTCCTGGGCTCAAACAATCCTCCTGCCTCAGCCTCTCGAGGATCTGGGACTACAGGTATGTGTCACCATGCCTGGATAATTAAAAAAAAATTTTTTGTAGACAGGGTCTCACTATCTTTCCCAGGCTGGTCTTGAACTCCTGGGCTCAAGCAATCCTCGCGCTTCAGCCTCCCAGAGTGCTGGGATTGCAGGCATGAGCCACTGCACCCGGCCCAATGTGTATTCTGCACAGGGGTGATAGCAGTGAGTAAATCTGACAAAATCTCTTCCCTCATGGAGTCTGCCTACTGATTTGGGGGAACAAAGAGAACGTAAGCAGTAAAACAAACTAATAACATAATTTCAAGAATGCTATGAAGAAAATTAAGCTCTTTTAGGCAGAATGGTCAGAGAAGGCCTAAGGAAGCAGATATTTCAGTCTTGAATGCTGAAAAGAGAGAGCCAATAACAGATGTGGGATGAATGTGGCAGGTAGAAGACAGGCCTGGTACAATGCCCTCCTATGGGAATGAGCCTGGCATACATATGGTAGACCAGAAAGCCAGCATGGCCAGAATGTATGGAGGAAGGCAGAGAGAGGGGCAGGGTCTGCCCATCACCTACCACTGTGCCAGCTGTGAGGCATGTGCATTACCATGATAGAAACAACTGGGGGTCTGTAGCAGGAGATTGCATAGTCTTCTTTCTTACTTCCATAATTGTATTTAAATTTATATTAAATACATTAAAAATAAAATATTTCCCTTTTAAATTGCAACTAAAATATGTATCATGCAGAAGAATAAAATTAATCCCTTCCTCACATCACATTACAAAAATCAACTTAAATAGATTAAAGATAAAAATCAACTCAAAATGGATTAAAGACAAACATAAGACCTGAAACTGTAAAAGAAGGTAGAAGCTTCTTGAAATTGACCTTGGCAATAATTTCTTAGGTATAACAACAAAACCAATCCAAAAATAGACAAGTGGAACTACCTGAAACGAAAAAGCTTCTGCACAGCAATGGAAACAAATCAGCAAAGTGAAAAAGCAACCTGGAAACAATCTGCAAAGCAAAAAGTAACCTGCACAGTGGATACGATTTGCAAATCATACATCTGATAAAGAGTTAATATCCAAACTATACAAGGTACTCCTTCAACTCAACAGCAAAAAAAACAAAAACAAAAACAAAAAAACACCAAGTTTAAAAATGGGCAAAAAATCTGAATAGACATTTCTCCAAGGAGTGGCTGATGGAAAAACAAAAGGTGTTCAATGTCACTAATCATCAGGGAAATTCAAATCAAAACCACAACGAAAAATCACCTCGCACATGTTAGGAGGGCTAATACAGACATATTTTTAAAAGATAAGTGTTAATGAGGATGTGGAGAAAAGAGAACTCTTGGGCTGGGCGCAGTGGCTCGCGCCTGTAATCCCAGCACTTTGGGAGGCAGAGGCGGCGGATCGCATGAGGTCAGGAGTTCGAGACCAACCTGACCAACATGAAGAAACCCCGTCTCTACTAAAAATACAAAATTAACCGGGTATGGTGGCATATGCCTGTAATCCCAGCTACTCAGGAGGCTGAGGCAGGAGAATCGCTTGAATCTGGGACGGGGAGGTTGCGGTGAGCTGATATCACATCACTGCACTCCAGCCTGGCCAACAAGAGCAAAACTTGGTCTCAAAAAAGAAAAAAAAAATAGAAAAGAGAACTCTGGCACACTGTGGGTGGGAATGTAAACTGGCACCGGCCACTATGGAAAACACTAGGGGGGGTTCCTCAAAATGACTTTTGTTTTTGGACGATGAGTCTGTCTATTCTGATAAAAACGAATTGCAAAGAAATAAGAGAAAAGTAGGTAAATTGGTCAGTATGAATACACAAAACAATCTTCTCATGATTGTCAACTTACCAGCATTGAGAATGAAGACCAAAAAGCAGATGAAGGCTGTGAGATAAAACCCATCCTCTAATTCAGTGAGATAGCCACCGACCACGGGGCCCAAGATGAAGCCCACACCGGAGGCTGTGTTGAAGTGTCCGATTACAAGCGGCCGTTCCTTCTCTGGAACCACATCAGAAAGTAGAGCCCTTGAGATGGAGAGAGTGTGTTTAAAAATACCTGCAAGGGGATGAGAAACATGCTCTGTAACTTTTTCCAGACCATAAGTATCTTACTTATGATCCTGTGCTTAACCTCTATCCCTGATGGAGTTCTGATCTCTGGTTTCTTTGGAAGGCAGCTATGCTCACCACTATACCACCACGGCATCTGATCTTCTTTTTCTTTGAACTTCTGAGGTCTGCCGGTTCCATCCCACCGTAATTAGACTCCTGGCCTAGCACTCTGATCCTAGTCAGTCACCTTATCTCTGGCAATCAAGTCCCTTAACCCTCAGCTTGCCTACCTCCTGTCATGACCTCCCAAGTGCCTCCCAGTTACGCTTGCATTTCACGGTGGCTTCCATAAAGCGAGTTTTCACTCTTTACACATTAACTCATTGAGCCAATATTTACTGCATGCCTACTCTATGGCCAGCCCTAAGGTTGACCCTGAGGATAAACCAAAGAACAGAGAAACGGAGCTGGGGAGAGGACAAGGAGTGAGTAGAAATTTGATAGCACCATCACTGAACCAATACCAATGGATTTCCTACCAGTAAGAGGCCTGTGAATTTGTTGAACAAATTGAATGCTGTGATATAACTTTTAATAAGAAATTAAAGTAACTGACAACTATACTCCTCATATCTCTGCAGATGGATTTGACTCCTATGTCCCTAGACCCCCCACGTGCAGAACAACCACACTTGCAAACATGCTGACAGATTCTGGTAACCAGCGGCCCACTATTTTGATCAACACATAGTAGAAACTGAATAAATGCGGCTGGCGGATCTGCATGAATCACTCAAGTGTGATGTGACACAGCGTTTCTCTGTGATCTCCCGTGGGCAGTCTCACTCTGCACATCACTGTGCTGCCGCCGAGTGCTTCAACACACTCGTCCTACTAATCTATTCCCAGCTCTGCCTCAAAAGTAGTGTGGTTGTGTGCCTGACGGCCAGCCTTTTTGGAAAGCAAATGTATAAATCTCTTTTGGAATTAGGTAGATGGACTCTCCCTAGACCTGTTTCCTTAAATGTCAGAGAGGACTGGGCCAGAACATGATTTCCGTAGGTCTCGCAGGAATTCTATGATTCTTTTTGAAATTGTATTGATGTCAGGTTCACTTTACATACATGAGGGACGAAGACTGTGGTAAGAGTATCCCGTGAACAACCCAGCCTAAGCTTCTCTTCTCTTTCAGAGGTTGGGGTGGTGGACAGAGTGGAATGGAAAATGAGGCGTCCAACTCAGGCACTTAAACCTCAGGCACTGACTTGAAGTCAGTGGTTCCTTTTTAGGACACAAGGATCTGAATCCACAACTGACTTTGTGAAGCAGAACCCTGTGAAGCCCCCCGTGGCTTGCTCCTGTTCACAGACCACTCAACACTGTGGAGGTTACATGGGCAAGGAGGAGTTTTTATATATAGCTCTCATTTGTGAAGATCATAGTGACGGTTCATATAAGAGAACTCTCACTACTTAAGCTCAGGCTCACTTCCTATTAAATAAAACATTTTAATCCTCCCCACAAATCTCAATGCATTTTGTAACAACTCTACGTTCTTATTCATCTTCCCCATCTGCTTCTTTAGAATTATGAACAGTACACACCACATAATGGTGGAGTGTGTTATACTATAGAAAGACATGCTGCCCACCAAAGACAATAAACTCAACACCAGATGCATATACAATGGCTATCACTTGGATTTTGTGTGGTACTGGGGTTTGTAAAGACAACTGACCACATTTAAGCAAAGACCTTCACAAAGCATTTATCTAGTCAACAAAAAGGCATGGTTAAGAATGTTGGGGGGGCTGAACTCTACAGACTTTCAGAGTAAATGAAAAAAGTATATATTCCACAGAAATGGTGTGGAAATCCCAGGTGAGTCAGCTGATCATCACGTCTATGTTAAAATGAGTTATCTGATGCTCTATTTATTTGGGGAGTCAGTTAAAAGCAAGCAGTTTAACAAAACTCGAGATGGTGCCCAATGCCCCTGACTTGTCAAGCAGGGTAGCAAAGCCTGCCAGTGCTCTGACAGGTACAGTAAGAGAGACACTGAAACTCCTCTAATTCCTAAGAACGGCAAAGAGAGAACAAAGAGCTTCTACAGGAATAATATACCCACCAAGCGCTACGCCGCATTCACAGGAGGTGTTTCAAAAAAATGGACAAAATAAAAGCTAGTTCAAAATGTTAAAAACAGTCCAGACGAGCCTGGAAACAGCAAACTCGCCCACAAGCTGCTGTATCATAATCCCAGTGTCCCCGCTAACTGACAGTCAGACAAAAGGAGGCCACAGGAAAGCTAAAGAAGTGAATCCCAATTTGATGTGAGGAAGCCCAGTTACAAAACTACAGGCTCACCAAGGGACAGAACAGGAACCTCAGTGCTGGCCAAAGACACTTAACAAATTCTTACTGAATGATGTAGAGTAAGATAAACAGGAAGGAGACAAGTCCCAATACAGTAGTGTGATCATTCACGCTGACAGGCTCTGAGGGGCAAGGGGCTCTGTCAAGTACGACTCCAGGTTTGGTCAAGATAGCAGAGTGCCTGGCCCATGCTAAATGTTCAATGGCCAGCAGCTGCTGGTGTCAGTTATAGTCACAACTGCCATTGTAATTAGCACTTTAGGTAAGTGCTAATCAAAGAGGCAATGTCCAGCAGGAACAGGCTTTAGATATAGACATAGACACACACACATGCTCGCGCACGCACACACACACACACAGGCCAGCATTTCTGCCTGTTAGAATTCCCACATTTGGGAAGCCTCAGAGACTTGCCAGGCACGGCTCCCTTCTGAACACTCTTTAAGCAAGTAAGGATGTTGAGCAAGACCACAGAGGTGGCCCAGGAGGAAGCGTGCAGTTTCACATATTGAGGTTCTGGGGGAAGCTACGTTTGAAAAAAAAAAAAAAAAAAAGTCACTCACCTGCCGGGACTCTAGCCAGGACAAACAGAAACACATTGGTGGCTGCTCCGAGAAGGAGATAGCCCAGAGCACTGAGTAGAATGCATGCCAGCAAGGAAGACCGTCTTCCCACTACATCGCTCCAGCAGCCCTGAGGAAAGTAAGAAAAAGCCCTTGGACCCCATTCACAGTAACGACTACCACCATGCAAATGACCAAAACAAAGTGACCAGGGGAAAACAATGGAAGATTCAGTGTCAGATCCTCAGATGCTCAGTTCCATGATGCCATTTGTCAGAGTAAGTTATTTTCTCTGATCTTCACACACAGTGAATGGAAAAACACAATGTATTTTTTTTTTTGTCCAAAAACAAACAAACAAAAAAGTCTGATGATCTGGTAGCTAAGAAAGGCAGGAGAGATGATAAAGTATAATTTATAAAGCCTCATTATTGTCTCCATTCTCATTACTTTATAAAACTACACTCTTCAGATACCATGTACATTTTTAAAAAATTTAGAAAATACTGAAAAACAAAATGACCAATACAAAAATACCTCATAATCCTAAATGTACCTATATTTTAACAAAGTGGTCATACAATATGCTCTATTTTGTAACTTGCTTTTTTACTTAATATGACTTAAGCATCATTCCATGTTATTAAAACTTTGCCTTTGTTACCATTTTAATCACATTCCTTATTCCACTACATACCAATATTTATTTAACAAATAGTTTTGTTAGATTTTTGCTCTTTAAAAATTTGTCAAAAATATAAATAACGCTACAATAGGCATCTTCATAGCAAATTCTCCACAGATACCCTTAAAAATTCCCTTAGAACAAACCCCTAGAACTGGAGTTGTTCCAATTCTATGCAGGCATTTTTTTTAGGCATTTGCCATATACTGACCAATTACTCTCTGGAAAGATTTGTAATCCCATATATACTGTAATTAGAACAGTAACAGTCTCCATTTCCCTGTATTTCAACCAGCACTGCTACTGTCAATGTTTAAAATCTACAGATTTGTTAAGCAGCATCTTTTAAAATTATGTTTGCCTTTTTTCCTGATAATTTTTTTAAAATTTGTGTACTATTTGCATTTTCTCTTGAGAGAGGCAGGTAAGGCAGCATTTCTGTCCCCTTAGAATTCCCACATTTGGGAAGCCTCAGAAACCTGCCCGGCGTAGCTCCCTTCTGAACACTCTATGCAAGTAAGGATGTTGAGCAAGACCACAGAGGTGGCCTAGGAGGAAGCCTGCCATTTCACACACTGATGTTCTGGGTGAAGCAATGTTTGAAAAAAAAAAGTCACTGCCTTAAAAGAACAATTACTAAACACTATACTATCAATGGAGCACTGTGTAAAAGGGTTAAGAAACAGGGTCCCCCATGCTGTGTGAAACCCTGGATGACCCCCAGTTCCAGTACAATGGGCTGGTCTCCATTAGTCCCGGCTAGGAGGTGACTGAGGCTGGTTCCTGCGTCCCTCCTTCCTCAGTGATGTTCCACAACCATTCCTCACCCTCTCCACTAACCATGGAAGGAATCTCACAGGCCACTACTGCATGCCAATTGCCAAGTGTAGCTGTTCATGCCCTCTCCCCATTTTTATTGATATGTTTATCTTTTTCTTAAGGGGCCGAAAGATCCCTTTACATAATGATGTAAACTTCCTCTATAAAATATTTTTAAGGTAAACCTTCCAAAATACTGTCATCCTTCTATAGGTGTCTTCAATCCTACTCCCCAATTTTCATTTCAATGAATTTTAGAAATTCCCCATACTCTTTTGATCTGGGGAAAGGGTTACTGGCCTCCTTGTACTCACAGGGCAGTGGTATAATCTGGGATTTACACCCTGGCCCTAAGCCTGGCTGTTTGGGCTCAACGCTGAACTCATCATTCCTTCCACCATGACCTCGGACATATGAGCTAACCTCTCTATGCCTCAGTCTCTCTACCTGTAAAACAAGAATAATATCTGCCTCAGAGATTATTTTCCCCACTCAACACTTTCTGTGTGCTTAATATAAAATGAGTCATTAAAGACCCATAACCACCCTTTGAGGCTGGTTATTATAAGGATTAGAGGAAATAAAGTTCTCAAAACAGGGGCTGACACATAGGTACTTAATAAGTGGATCATTTTTTATTAAAATACATTTATTTAAAAACATTAGCCAAATCTGACAGAATATACTTTTTCTGTATAAAGATTTGTTCTCAAAATTAAAAGTTTTTTGGTAAAATTTATAATTAAAATATGTGCTTACAGAAGTATGGGTTAAAAAGGAAATTTTAACTAGGAATTTCTGTATCTTAAGGCTTTCTAAGAAAGGTTTTCATTAAATTTCAGCTAAAAGACATATGAAATGTTCTGTGTAAGTACAAACATAAAACAACAAAGGAAAATCTGAAAAAAAGGGTAGAGTCATAGTTAGCAATAAAAATTTACATTTATAAAGTGCTAACTATTGCCAGGTACTCTGATAAGTAAGAGTATAAAAAAATTAAGCAAGTAAGCCTGGTCTGTATCTCAGGAAGACCAGAGTCCAGGAAGAGAAAACATTAAAAGAATTAACATACACTGTGACCTAATAGCTCTAACAGATACACACATCAGATATTTTGGGAGTGAGTTTACAAATAAAGAGAAAAGGTGTTTACTAAGATGTAACTCAAACTTTTCTCTCACAAGAAAGAACATGAAATACGACATTCTGCTTGACAAGCAAGTGCACTGCTCTCCTGTACAATCTGATAACTCTAGTTACCTATTTACCATTTTATATCATTAAGGCAATGACAGATGACTCTTAGAAAAAAAATAATATGGGCTTAGAGTCTAAATACTGAAATTAGGTAGCTTAGTCAAATTAACCTATGTGGGTCTTAATTGGTCTTAATTTCCTCCTATATAAAAGAAAGATACCAAACTACTTTGCTGGGTTACTATAAAGTTTAAATGAGGCTAAAACTATTATTGTAATGGAAATCTAATATATGAAATACTTCAATAAATCAGGAAGTAGCTGTTTACTTATTTAAGAATTTATTATGGAATCTGACTGAATTTCTTTTAAAAATATATTTTACAAGGAAGCAACTCTTGGGAAACATAAGTACACTTTGTGTTCATTAAATATGAGACCCCCAGGCCAGCTATTGAGACCAAAGTCACTACTGATCAATTGTGAGACTAAATAGACTATTCTACTGAACCGCCTGAACCACTGGACGCTGAGGTCTCCAGACCAGAGTGATCACAGTAGACATTACAGGGAGAGAGAAGGGGACATCAGGTAAGGTCTCTGAAATTCAAACAACTGAGTGGTCAGAAGTAGGGCACTGACAAGGTCGCCACTGAATCTGTGTTTCTTTTTTTTGATTTCTTAGAAACAGGGTCTTCCTTCCTATGTTGCCCAGGCTAGACTTGAATTCCTGGGCTCAAGCGATCCTCCAACCTTAGCCTCCTGAGTAGCTGGGACTGCAGATGCCAGCCACCATGCCTGGCCACCTCTGGATCTTTCTACTCCATGCTGCACATATACAATCAGCCAATCCAAATGTCCCCTTCTGTCTATACACTTAAGTCTTATAAAAAAGCTTTTATTTAGTTCAAAATACACAACTTTAAATAGAATAGCAGAAATATAAATGGATTTGATTACTGTCAATGAAGTGTAATAAATAATAAAATTGGTAATAACATTTTTTTTTTTTTTTGAGACAGAGTCTCGCTCTGTCGTCCAGGCTGGAGTGCAGTGGTGCGATCTCGGCTCACTGCAAACTCCGCCTCCCGGCTTCACACCATTCTCCTGCCTCAGCCTCCCGAGTAGCTGGGACTACAGGTGCCTGCCACCATGCCTGGCTAATTTTTTTGTATCTTTTTTTTTAGTAGAGACGGGGTTTCACCGTATTAGCCAGGATGGTCTCGATCTCCTGACCTCGTGATCCACCCGCCTCAGCCTCCCAAAGTGTTGGGATTACAGGCGTGAGCCACCGCGCCCAGCCTAAAATTGATAATAACTTTTGTTTACATTCTTTTTGTCTGTAAAAAGCAGGGAATTGTAGGAAGAACATATTACAATTTAAAGGTGTTCTCATCCCAAATCTATCACTTTTTGATAAACTTCAAGTCCCCAATTTTACTACATCTGTGATGGATGAGACATGTGATCATAACTTACCACCAATGTGCTAGAAAAGAGTTGCAAAATGCCATAGGAGGAGCCTGTAAAAAACAAATCAATAACAATAAAATCAGCTAGAGCTATCACAAAAATGGATTAATGTGATAACAATTACACAGAAACCAACAGAAAAACATTAGGGTAAGATACCTTTTTGTTTTAAATTATCTCACATCTTTTTTTTTTCTACTTGGAAAAATGGAAGTAATACAATTTCTAACAAAATGGAAGTAATACAATTTCTAACAAAAGGTTTTCAAAAAATTGAGGGTAAACAGAAGAGAGAAAAAAGGCAAAAGGTGACGTTATGGACGCTGTATGATTGTCCTTCCATCATATGAGATTGTGTAGCTTCAACTTATGAAACAGCATAGAGAGTACTCAGGGGAATAGAAATTTAAATTCTGGAAAAACCCTACTAAGCCTTAAAATCTTAACATTGTCTCTTATATTTCTAATGTGTACTGGTTTTATAAAATGATTTATTTTATAAAGAATTTATATTTTTTTTACAGAGCTCTTTTACCTCCATTATCATGCAATGTGCCCTATCTGATTTTCCCAAAAACCTTCACACTGCTGGGTGGTCCAGTGTAATTCCAAGTACATTTGTCGAGGGAAATACAAATCACGGCATGGACCATGATTTAACAAATATTATGTACAAGACTGTCCACAAACACTTGCTTGTTTGGCTTGTGAATGATCAAGAGCTGTTAGTCTCAACAATTTCCCATTAGTTAGCATAGTCCTAAGCCCTGCTGTCTCTTGCCTTTTTGGTAAATCAATGACTTCTGGATGGAATTTTTAAGCTGCACAGGCAGAGAAACTCTACAATATCTATGATGTGTTGGTGACGGTGTGAGAAGCTTGCAACTAATTGGCTAATGTTCACCGAAACCCTTTCCCACGAGATGTGATTTCTGTAGATTATGTTTCCCTGGTCTCTCACATTAGGTTAAGGGTTCCTGTAGGCAGGAGTCCACATGTACCTACCCTTTTATACACACAGCCAGCTCCTTGCAGAGGCTCCATAAGTACCTGTTGCCACTAGTGGCATGGGACTTGGTTATAGTGCTCAAATCTCAAAATCTCTTTGAACATACGTCGTCTAGAAAAAAAGGAATTGCATTTGCTATAGGGTAATATTTTAAAATATTCTGGAAATTTGTTTTATCTCATTTCCCACTTACCTTTGGATAATATTTGGATACAAAATTGAATTGTTTTCAGGTACTTGGTTCAGAGGATTTAAAATTCAGTGCTCTAAAAATGAGCAATATCGACCACTCACCTACTATTCCAGCAACTGTTGGACTTGCTCCAAGGGACTTGACATGAAGGCTCAATAAAGGCACAACCATGCTGACACCAAACAAATCCTAAAACAAAATAAATGCTGATGGACTCAAATTAGTATTTTTCAAACTAGTAAACCTAAAAATTTAAACTAATTTAAAAAATAAAACCAATATCTAAAATTTTAAACACGTAAGAAATCATAATTGGATTCCATAGCATGCCATACAAATCCGCTGCCACTTGCAAATGCCTGGATTAGTCTGACCTGGGATCCGTTTTAACTTTACACTCAAGGAGGATATGCTACAGAAGTTCCTCAAACAAAACAGACAAAAAACCCCATATTTTCTGTGGATAAGTCATAAGAAAAAATGCAGTCATAATTTGTATTTATTGGTGAACCAGCACTTGCTTAAAAATATGTTTCCTTCTGGAGTTGGCGAAAGTGGCTAATGTCCTAGGACCTGTAGTTTATAAGCTTATAAAATAATACCTGAGAAGAAAGGCTCAGTAAAGCAAGAAGGAAGAAGCTGGTGCACTAGGGAAAGGCCAGTGTTTTGCAGCTAAGTCATAGAAAGTGAATGGGCTTTGGGGTCAGGCAGACAGTTCTCAATTCCACCTCCATCACTTACTAAACATGTGTCTTTGGAAAGCTACTTAAAGTTACCAAGCTTCCGTGCTGTCATCTGCAAAGGGTAGAACAGTAATACCTGCCTGGTAGAAATATGATGAGCATTAAGTGGCATAATGCTTGAGAAAGGCCTAATAAAACAATGTAAGCTCAAACATGTCTTCTCCCTTCTTCAGTTCTGGGGATAAGGACAGGTCCTTTTTGCTAGGTATTCTGAGTTAATAGACAGACTGTTAACTTTTCTTTTAATTTTGTTCTTATTCTCACTAGGTTACCTGCTACAGTTGGTTTAGTGGGAGAAAAAACATTGCACACACACAGTTTTCATTATATTCGACCTGAATTCCTTCTTTCATACAGCTGGTTAGTTGGAAAGAAAGAACTCGCATGAAATATGTATTTTCCTTGAGCTCAGAGTTAATCTTTTGTTCCCCCTTCCCTGTCCTGGTAGCTGTACATTCATATAACTATAGATACATAAATTTCCACATACTCTTTTCAGTGGGCCTTTTCCATGGTTACATCTTTAGATGACCCTGTTATCTAATATCAAGTGACTATAATTAGCTCTTAAAATTACATTACCAGAGTGATGGTTTATTATTTCAATATTGCCATTACTTAAAATTTCCTTTGGGTCTGAGTCCATTTCTTTTGGGCTTTGCTGTCAGTTGCATCTCATCAGCCCACTGATGTTTACACATTTAAAAGACTCAAAATGTACCAGCCACCTATTGAATCTTCTGGATCTTTCAGAAAAGGAAACTCAATTGTCCAATAACCATTTTTTTCCAAAAAAAAAAAGTCCCAGTACAACATATCATTTAATAAAATGGGTATCCTAAATAAGAGATGGAGAGAAATATTTAGGTCAAGAGACTGAGCTCTATGGAAGGTAAGTATGAAAATACAGACTCAAAGGCAATAACTGATGATTGGTATTACTTTAGCACTTGGTGAGTCTGAAAAGTACTATATTCTTCCAAGGAGACTGGCCACTGAATCTTTCCTCTCAGGAAGTTCTGTTCTAAAATTGCCTTCTCCTTTACTATAAAAGGCAACTCCTTTCTGCTTCTCAATCCATAGCTTCTTCAAAATCGCTGCATTTGGCATCTGGTCATGTGCATGTAACCACTTGTAAAAAGATCATGTCAGAAGGGGCCACTTAAACTTTCACTGAATATCAACATTTTTCAATAAAAATTGATGAATATGTACACTCAAAAGTTTCAAGACTCTTTTCAGGGTAGGAACCCCAGTAATTATTGATTACTGGACTATCTCAATGAAAATGAATTATCACCTGAATAAAGCTGATGGGATGGAAAACAAATCTCACCAAGTATCTGGAGGAAAAAAGTGGTTGAAATAATAGATCTCATCACCATCTAAGCATCCTAAACAAAACGGGCCTCAAGGGTCATCTTGGTCTTCCCTCCTAAACAAATTAAAACTTGGAAGTACGGATAACTGCTAAAACAGAACAATTTGGCAAATGACTTCTCTAAGCTTGTTCCCTTCCTCTCCCATTCAGAAACCATTTGTCCAAGAATCTTAGAGGTCTCTACATCCCTAAATATGTCAAAAAAAAACTAAATTATGTATAATGTTCCTTAGATGTTACCTAACAATCATCTGTTAGGTAGCTTTATGTGACTTTCATGTAAAGCTTCATATATTTAATTGTTTACAATATTTTCCATTAAAAAAATCCCTACTCTTTCAACTTTTGGGAAACCATAAACTTTTCCCTTAAGATATGAGACACCTAATGGTTCTCTTGAATACATTATTAAAGTTATTAAAATTCTGTATCAGGCTTGCTAGATTAGACTTGCCAAATACACAGCATAAAGAAAACATATGATAAATTGTGAATATTCAAATCTGTATTGGAAGGCTGACCTTAACAAATGATCTGCGAATTGCTTTGTTTTATTCTAATACTAAAACTACTTTGAATTCTAAGTCAAATTCTCTGAACCCTAGTCTGGACTTTCCAGGTAAGGGCTCAAATGTTTTCATCTGGCTGAACCAGCCCAAGTCCCTTCTGAGACAGGACAGCAGTAGCTTGGGACCCATAACTAAAAAGGCTGGATGTCAGCCAACTCCTCTCCAAGAACCACCCATACTCACTGGTTGTGAATTCTAGGTGCCTAGACTGAAAAGTAGAAGAAGCATCCCCATGCTGAGAATGAACTACTAGATTAAAGGAATAGTGGTCAGAAGGAGTGCCAGTCTCTGAAGTTAAAGGCATGGAGCTGGAGGGTGGATCCTGCAATGGCCTAGAGGCAGAGAAATCCTCTCTAAAAAGCCGCCCTCCCTGAAGACCTTGTGTTTCTGGGCTTGCAGCAATTTGATGAACATGCTTTCATGGTGATCTTAACTATTAACTCAACATAGAGTTGCTACCAACTGAACGCCTTGCATGGAGGTGGTGGCATGGAGAGTGCATGAAACTGGGAGAAGTGGTGGTCTTGATCTGCATCTGGGCAGAAAACGATGACTCCCTGCCAGGGCCCAGTGCCATCAGATACTATCTTCAAGGCCTCAAAGGCAGCCTTCTCCCATTGACACTTATCGCAGCTTCCTTACCCTCAAGATACTGGATTAGCTCACACTCAGGGCTGAATCAGGCCTAGCCTTGGAAAGGGAGGAGTGCAGAGGTGGATCTAGGGTTCTTGCAGATAATGGCCCAGAAACTACCAACATCAGCTTACTTGTAAGACTGAATTCTTCTGTGGCAGAACTGTGGATTACAATAGTGAAGCTCCGCAGCACCTGCCACATGGCAGGTGTTCAGAAATGCCATGAATCAGCTTACTAAACTTTCCATTCTACGTGGGAAATTAGCACTCAGGGAGCAAACCAGGACACGCGCGCGCGCACACACACACACACACACACACGATGAAACCAAACCGCCATTGTGCAATGCACACCCTTTGTCCAAAGGTAGATGGGTACAATTCACTCTGATCTGCATTTTTAAACATTCAAGTCAACCGAGAGCTCTAGTGAAAATGCACCCAATTCTGTACAAGTGGGGTCATCAACAGCGGCTTCTCCAGCCTGGTCTGGTAAAAAAGCAAACCACAGGCACACACATCATGATGAAACCAAACCTACGCTGTGCAATGCGCAGTTTGTCGAAAGGCAGATGGGTAAAATTCACTCTGATCTGCATTTTTTAATATTTAAGTCAACCAAGAATCCTAGTGAAAATGTGCCTAAATCTGTCCAAGCGGGGTCAAGAGCGGCCTCCCCTGCCTGTTCTGGTAAAAAGGCTTGCGTGTCCCTACCTCACCAGCAGCCGCACAGCAGCTGGGCTTTTCCAAGCTTGCCCACACCCCTGTTCTCCGCCCTGCAAAAGCTGCACCTGCCACAGCATTTAACACCTGGTCACACCTGAGGTTGGTACCAGGGCTTCTCAAAAGGCAGGGAAGGGAAGACGTTCCGCGAACGGGGTGCAAGAGAAAGCGCGAGGGGCAATAAAGCAGTGTGGCCAGATGCAGACTGAAGTGGGTGATAGGGCAAGAGGAGAGCTTGATAGGTAGTGAGGCACTCACCAGGCGGACTGCGGGTTCCCACTCCCTGGGAGCTCCCCGGAAGCTCCAAGAACCGCCTGGGTCCCCAGGCCCGAACACAGTCAGCACTTGCTCCCAGCCCCCACGCTCGCACTCACCAAGAAGCCCACCAAGTAGAGACAGAGCAGGAAGCGGCGGGCTCCGACGGCACCGGAGTCGGCAGCCTCCGCCTCGGTTCCTGTCTTCTGCTCCTGTTTCCGCTCTGCGGTCTCCGAGACCAGCCTCGGGGCCGAGTTCATGTCCCAGTGACCCCCAAGCTCCATACCCGCGCCGGCCGGGGGTCGGACGCAGCAGCAGCCGCGGACCTACCCCGGGAGCCCAGCCCCGCCCCGAGCGGAAGCAGGAGGCGCGCGCCTGCGCAGAGAGAGGGGGCGGGTGCTACCTGGCAGCTCCGCGGGTGCGTGGCCGGTGCTGGCTGGGAGTTCTGGTCTCAGGCAAGGTGGGGACTGGGCACATCATCAATACGGTAAGCACACACCAGTTTGTGATGATAATGATGATGCTCTTTGTTTCCTCTGGGTACAGACCCTGCTGCCCCTATCGTTGGAGGACAGGAGGGAATTGTATTGAGCTTCACTTCCTCCTATGGAGTTGTGCTAGGAGGTGACCAACTCCAGCTTGAAGATCCACAGACCCTGGCCACCAGTTGGTTGTGACAGACCTAGGATACGTTAACGTGGCTCTCCAAGCTTTCGTTTGCCTATTTAAAAAGCAGTAGGAAATAATGTAGTCCAACTTCTAGAGGTGTGAGAATTCTACACATGCTTCTTAAGATCCTTTCTGGTGCAGTGCAATGTGAACAAACCATAGATGGTCTATGCCTGAGTTGAGATTACAGTCTCATGGAGTAAAAATAATAAGCACGCAGTAAATAAACATAAATAAAAATACTAAACATGCAATGAAAAAGCATAAAATAAGTAAAATAATATGGTGATAATATAAAGAAGCACGGTCTTGATGTGGAAAGTAATGAGGTGGGGAGTGAGCTACTTTAGAAAAGCAGTTTGGAGGAGGTGACATGTAAGCTGAGAAGAGTGGAAAGAAGATATGTGTGGCTGAAACTTCCTCATCAAACTGAGAGGTCAGCAGGAGTGCAGACCATTTAGGACCCAGAAGGCCATAACAGAGATTTGGGGTTTATTCTGAGTGCAGTGAAAGGAATTAAGTGAGTGCATGACACCAAAAGATGCCTTTAAATTACTTAGCAAAGCCCATGACACATGGTAAGTAATAAATGTTAACAATAGTGACTAGCCCCTCTTTTCTTTAGAACTTGTTATTTATTCCTCTTTCACTGTGGGATCAAGAAGACTCTGACATTTTACTGAGATTTTGCTCAAAATCTCAATTTACTTGTGTAGGTTGCTAATTCTGAGATCTGTTAAATTCAGTGTTGCAAAGTTTCTCATGGGAGGTGGCACTGAATAGGGAGAAGTGGAATACTGATACTTAGAATTAAGACATATAATTGAATCCAGGTGAAACTGTCAATCGTGAACCCCCAAGTTATTCTGAGACTCCTTTGCAGGAGAACTAGTTTGCTCTCCTATAGCTGAGGAAACTAGTCTTTTTGTGCTTGAAATTTTGTGAGTAACTCATCTGGGAAAGGCGCCTTGAAAGGGCTGCTCATGTTAACCCATTAAAACCACTCACTGTGGCTACTAAATACATAGCTAGGGTGAAATTTTAGCATGCTCTGGTGACAGGTACACATTATAACCTAGGAGGACATCTCATACACGCCAAAAGAATTGGAAGTCACGGCCAGGCGCGGTGGCTCACACCTGTAATCCCAGGACTTTGGGAAGCCAGGGTGGGCAGATCACAAGGTCAAGAGATCGAGACTATCCTGGCCAACATGGTGAAACCCTGTCTCTACTAAAAATACAAAAAATTTAGCTGGGCGTGGTGGTGCGCGCCTGTAGTCCCAGCTACTTGGGAGGCTGAGGCAGGAGAGCTTGAACCCGGGAGGCAGAGGTTGCAGTGAGCTGAGATCGCCCCACTGCACTCCAGCCTGGCAACAGAGGGAGACTCTGTGTAAAAATAATAATAATAAAAGATTTGGAAGTCTCTGCTAATATATAATCAATGTAAACTTTAGAAACCTGGGGGAGAGATTTCTAAGGGTGTCAGACAAAAAAAGGGAATAATATAACACTAAATTAGGCAGAATTCACTAGTATAGATGCATTTACAACATATACCGATGTAATATGTTAGCTTGTGCAGCTGGAGGCAGCTCTAGTAGTTTAGTCAGTTGGTTGAAATTTAGACTCAAAGATGGCCTATATTTAATGATGTTCAGATGCCAGAGTTTTCCTGGCAAAATGTGGATAAAGGACTCCAAAAGTTTTGGAAAAATGACAATGTCAGAGTGGATTTATTATGTATGACTTGCAAGCCTAATACTCAAATATATTCCACGAAGAGGCCAAGACGACACTTCCTGCACTAAGGCACTGAGGAATGTATTAGTGAGAGATGCACTTGCAGTTTTGAAAAGATTTGCGATTGCTCTCTTTTGTAGGCCAGGTATAGCCATAGAGGATACCACCTTTAAGATAAGCTCTCTGATTATATGAGGAAAAGATTTCCAGATTATCAGAGGCCAGGTCATAGCACTTAAACTCAGAAGACAAGGTGGACACATTTACTTTTAAGGTCAGCAGGAGTGTACCAGTCACCAGAATGCCTTGACCTGCAGGGATCTTTGACTATGGCTAATTGATTATAGCATCCCTGGGAATGAAATAAACAGAAAGCCTACCAATGATGAATACCCCAAGCTCAGTGTTCCTCAATTTTGATGTATAGCGTTCATATGGGTCCACTGCTGACATGGTTTGGATCTGTGTCCCCAAGAAACCTCATGTCGAATTGTAGTCCCCAGTGTTGGAGGTGGGGCCTGGTGGGAGGTTATTGGATCATGGGAGTGGTTTCTCACGAATGGTTTAGCCCCATCCTCTTGGTGCTGTTCTCATGATAGTGAGTTAGTAAGGGAGTTCTTGTGAGATCTGGTTGTTTAAAAGTGTGCAGCACCTCCCCTTCATTCTCTCTTGCTCCTGCTCCTGCCACGTGAGATGCCTAGCTCCTCCTTTGCTTCCACCATGATTGTAAGTTTTCTGAGGCCTGTCCAGAAGCCAAGCAGATGCCTCCATGCTTCCTGTACAGTCTGTGGAACTGTGAGCCAATTAAACCTCTTTTCTTTATAAATTACCCAGTCTCAGGTATTTCCTTATAGCAATGCAAGAATGGACTAATACAACCTCCATGAGATGTAGAGGCATGGAAAACTCATGCAAATATGCTGATGTTTATGCTGCTCGCTGTGTCATGAGTGATAAAATCCTTTGTCTCTGATCCAGTCGTCCTATGTCTTCTGCTGGCATTCATGAAATTGTAATAGGCTAACTTAGTTCTTACTTGGGGTGAATGGGATGAGATAAAATCAAAGACCCAAGAGAGACCTGTACACTGAAAAATATTGCTCAGAAATGGGAAAAATTTCAAAATAAATGAAATATAACGTGATTGTGAACTGGGAGACTAGATATTATTAAGATGACCATTCTCATTTATGGTGTACTGCATGTAACTATGTGTCATTTGATTTGTTAATGAGTAAAATACTGTAGCAAGAATTGGTGGGAATATGAACTGATATGTTTTGGCTTTGTGTTCCCACGCAAATCTCATCTTGAACTGCAGTTCCCTTAATCCCCATGTGTTGTGGGAGGGACCAAGTGGGACATAATTGAATCATGGAGGTGGTTACCTCCATGCTGTTCTCGTGATAGTGAGTGAGTTCTCAAGAGTACTGATGGTTTTATAAGGGGCTTTTCCCCCTCTTGCTCAGTACTTCTCCTTGCTGCTACACCCTGTAAAGAAGGACATGTTTGCTTCCCCTTCCACCATGATTGTAAGTTTCCTGAGGCCTCCTCAGACTTGCTGAACTGTGAGTCAATTAAACCTCTTTTCTTTAAAAATTACCCAGTCTTGGGTATGTCTTTATAAGCAGTGCGAGAATGGACTAATACCTGGGCCAATAATGCTGGTGGAAATGTGCAATAGCATAATTATTTTTAAAAAGAGCTTAGGAATGTCTTAAAAAGTTCAAAGTTAAATGCACACCTACCCTGTGACCCAACTATTACACTCTGAGATATTTACCCAAAAGATAGGAGAACATATATGTAAACAAGGTGTTGTACACAGATATCCATACAAGCCTTATTTGTAATAACCCCACAATGGAAAATCCAAATATTCATCGACAGGTGAATGGATAAGCAATTGTGGTATAGCCATACAATTCAGTATAATTAGCAATAAAAATAATGAACTCTCAATTTCTATAACAACATGGATGAATCTCAACATAATTATGCTGAGTGAAGAAGCCAAATGAAAAGGAACACATGCTCTATGATTCCTTTCATATAAAAATTATAGAGGGCTTCTGGTATCTGTGCCAACATATAAAGAGCTTGGGAAGTTGCCACTTCCATTATTAAAACAAACACACATAAAAAGATAGATAAACTGAAAACCAACAACTTTTCATAGATACCTAAGAGAATTGGGGATCACTGGAAATCTGGAGAGACAGACTAGCATATAGAATTACAGTCAAGATCAGCTTACTGGGAGCAGAAGCTGCTGGGACTAGTAACTAGTAGGATGACTTCAGGGGTAATTTTGATGAATTACTTGACCTAAATGTGGCAGGCATGAGAGTTAGAAACTCTTAGAGAGTTAGTTTTAGGGATACCCCCACAATTTAATGGATGTTACGTACAGAAGATCCACCAGGTTCTTATGTTGAAGATCTGAGAAAAATTCCGTCAGGTTCCCAGCAGAAGGAAAAGAAAAGTAAGCATTTAACAATACATCCAGGGGAAAATTAACCTTATTGAAATACACCAAGAGCATTCTCTGTAACAAAGGTGAACCATGTGAGGGAAACTACTAGCCAGAATCTTACGTTACTTGGAAAAGGGAAACTTGGTAACTCGAGTCTCCTCTATCTTTGTTTCATATGAAGGAAGAAAAAAAGCTAAAAATGTTTTTAAAGGTTAAACCCCAGACACTTAAGCCCACTAAAACACTGAAATTTAATCATAAGATTATAGAACCTTTCCCCTACCCAACACCTTACAAAAATATTAACAAGGTTCCAGTATAATAACAGTGAATTACAATTGAGATGCAAGATGCAGACTAATTAAGAAGTTTCTAGGGACACCCAAAGGCAAGAGGGGAGAAAACACACAACAAGGAACTAGAGGAAACTGAAGCCTCTGGAACCCCCAACTATGAAAATATTTAACACAGCCTAGCTTCTAGCCAGATTAACATGAAACCTCATACAAAAAGCCTGGTTACCTGAGATCCTATGACTCAAGACATTATGTCTGGCTTTCAACAACAAAATGTTTACGATGTGTGCTAAAAGACAAGAGAAAACATAATCTGAAGAGACAAAGCAAGCGTTAGAACTAGACTCAGATATGACACAGGTCTTGGAATTATTAGACATGGAATTTAAAATAACTATGCCTATTATGTTAAGGGCTTTAATGGAAAAGTAAGCAACATGCAAGAATGGAGGGATAATGTAAGCAGAGAGATGAAAACTGAAAGAATCAAAAGAAAATTATAGAAATCAAGAACACTGTAACAGAAATGAAAATTGCTTTTGATGGACTCATCAGTAGATTGGATATAACCAGGGAAACAATCATTGAGCTTGAAGTTAGGTCAATAGAAAATTCCTAAACTGAAAAGCAAAGAAAAGAACATAATAAAAATTCAAAAGAATTGAATATTAATGAATTGCGAGATAATTTCAAGAGGTATAAGATACCATTTGGTATCCTATACCAAAAGGGAAAGGTGTAAGATACCCTCTGGTATTCTTTTGGAATATCAAAAGGTTAAGAAAGAACAATTACTTGAAGTAAATAATGGACTAGAATTTTCCAAATTTAATGACAGACACCAAACCACATGTATAGGTAGCTTAGAGAACACCAAACAGGATAAATACCAAAAAATCTCCTCTGAGGTATAGCATATCCAAAACACAGAAAACTGAAAACAGAGAAAATCTTGAAATAAGCCAGAGAATACAAACATCTTACTTATAGAGGAGTCAGGATAGAAAATACAACTGTTTTTTCATCAGCAAACATACAAGCAAGTAGTGAGATATTTAAAGTGTTAGTAGAAAAACTCCACCAACCTAGAATAATTTTATATCCAGAAAAATTATCCTGCAAGAAAGAGTGAAGGAAAAATAAAAATTTTCTCAGGTTAAAAAAAAGCTGATGAAATTCATTTCCATTAGCCATGCCTTTCAAAAAATGTTAAAAGAAGTTTTTCAGAGAGAAGGAAGATAGATCAGAAACTTGAAACTACATAAATTAGTGAACAGTGTCAGAAAAGGAATCCATGAAAATAAGATCTTTTATTTTTCTTATTATTAATTGATCTAAAAGATAATGGTTTGTTCAAAGTAATAATGTAACAGTGTACCAAGTGATTATAGTATGAAAATAAATGTAATGAATCACAGCAATATTATCAGGGAATGAGGGAGCATTTCGAAATACAAAGTCATAAGGTATCAACAATACCTGCAAGTCAGTATGTTATTTGAAACTAGTCTTAAATTAGTTGTAAATGTATATCGCAAACTCTAGGGCAACCACAAAATGTTTTGAAAAATAAATATAATTTATATGGAAAGAAAAGAGAGAAAGTAAGATTATAAAATGCTCCCATTAAAACCAGAGAAGGGCCAGGCATAGTGGCACATGCCTGTAGTCCCAGCTACTCGGGAGGCAGAGGTGGGAGGATCATTCGAGCTCAGGAATGGGAGGCACAGGGAGCTATAATTGCTGACTGCACCTCAGCCTGGGCAATGCAGTGAGACCCTGTCTCAAAACCAAACAAATGAACAGAAACAAAACAGAGAAGGCTGGATAAGAGCGGAAGATTAAAGAAACAAGGAACAGTGCAACAAGTAGAAGACAGTAACAGATATGGTAGGTATTCATTCCACTATATGAATAATCACTTTAAATGTGATTGGTCTAAATATGCCAATTAAAAGAGAGACTGTCAGAGTGGATTAAGAAACAGGATGCAACTATATGCTGTATACACAAAAGCCACTTTAAATATAAAACATATTAAAAATAAAAGGCTAGGGAAAATTATATCATATTGACACTAATCAGAAGAAAACTGGAGTAGCCATATTAAGTTCAGACAAGACGTATTTCAAAACAAAAAAAGAATAATGGGTAGAAAAGAGTACTGCATAACGATGAAAGGGTCAATTCTCCAAGAAGACCTAACAACCTTATTGTGTATGAACCTAACAAAGTACTTGAGGCAAAAACTAATAAGATTTCAAAGAGATGTAGACAAATCCACGATTACAGTTGCAGACTTTAACACCTCTCTATCAGTAATTTATAGATAAGATACCATCTTACATCTGGGTTTAATTGACATTTGTGAAATACTTTAACATCAGCAGAATACCCCTTTGTCTCAAGCTCAAATTGACCTTCACAAAGGTCAAAGACCACATTCTGGGCCATAAAATACGTTTTAACAAGTTTAAAAGAATAGAAACAATAAAAACTATACTTTCAGATCACAGTGAAACTAGCAATCAGTAACAGAAAATAGCTTGAAAACACTCAAATATCTGGATATTAAACAATACGCTTATAAATCGCACCTAGCTTAAAGAAGACTCAAGAACAATTTGAAAATATTTGAAACAAACTACAAATGAAAATGTAACTTATCAAAATTTGTGAGATGCAACAAAAATGCTGCGTAGAGGGAAATTTATAGTATTAAATGTATATATTAGAAAGAAATTTTAAAATCGGTAATTTATGCTGCCATCTTAAGAACTAAGAGGAAGAACAATTTTAATTACTTTGCTTAGAATCAGATCTCTGACCTATATCATATTCTTTCTTTCTGAAGAAATTCTTTTAGCGTTTCTTATAGAGCAGATCTTCTGACAATAATCTCCCTTTGTTTATGTTATATAACTAGGCTTGATTTCTCCTTCAGTTTTGAAGTGTACAGAATTCTAGATTGACAAGTGTTTTATTTTTTCCTTTAGCCCTTAAAATATTTCGCTTATTGTCTTCATCCTTATATGTTTTCTGATGAGAAATCTGCTGTAATTGTTGCCCTTATTCCGAAAGCAATTTGTCTTTTTTGCCTTTGACTGTCTTTAAGGTTTTATTTTTGTCTTTGACTTTCAGCATTTTGAATATGAGATGCTTACATGTGTTTGTTTTCTATTTGGGCATTAATCCTACTTGGTATTCTCTGCATTTCCTGTCTCTGTCATTTGATGTCTATCTATAATTCGGGAGTATTCTCAGCCATTGTATCTTCAAATATTTCTTCTTTCCCATTTTCTTTATCTTCTAATTCTAGAACTCTAGCAACACATTGGTTAGACCATTTGCTGTTGCCCAACAGATGTTGGATAGTGTATTCTTTTTTTCCTTTGTCCCCTCACTCTTTTTTCTTTATGTTTTTTTTTTGTTTAGATAATTTCTATTGATCTGTGTTTACGTTCACCAATTCTTTCCTTGGCTGTGTTTAGTCTGATGATAAAACTGTGAAAGACAATCTTCATCTCTGTTACTTTGTTTTAATATCTGGAATTTACATTTGAATCTTTCTTAGAGTTTTTATCTCTCTGTTGAAGATACCTATCTGGTCTTGCATGTTGTTTAACTTTTCCATTATAATCTTTAACATATTAGTTATAGTTATTTTAAGGTGATTGTGTGATAGCTTCAACATAGGAGTCATATCTGGGTTTGCTTGTAATAATTCCTTTGTCTCTCAGACCCTTCTCTCCCTCTCTTTCCAACATTATTAAGATATAATTCACATACCATGTGATTCACCTACTTAACACATACAATTTAATGGCTTTTGATATATTTATGAAGTTGTGCAACTATCACCACAATTTTAGAATGTTTTAATCCCTGCCCCCCAAAATACCTATATATTTTAGGCATTACCCTCCAAACCTCCAGTCCCTCTCAGCCCTAGACAACAGCTAATAAACTTTCTGTCTCTATATATTTATCTGTTCTGTATATTTCATATAAATGGAATTATACAATAGATATTACTTTGTGACTGGGTCCTTCAGCATGATTTCAGGGTTCATCCAGGTTGTAGCATGGATTCCCAATAACGTTCCACTTATGGATATACCACATTTTATTTATATATTCATCAGTTGATGGGCATTGGGATTGGTTCTAATTTTGGGATATTATGAATAATGCTGCTATGAACATTTGTGTATAAGTTTTGATGGTAACATATGTTTTTATTTCTCTTGCCATAGAATTAGTGGGTTGATGGTACCTCTATGTTTAAACTTTGGAGAAACTCAAACTGTTTTCCATAGTGACTACACCAATTTACACTCTCACCAGCAGTGTATGAGAGTTCTAATTTCTCCACATTTCACCAATACTTTTCATTTTCTGTAATTGGATTATAGCACATTCTAGTGGATGCGAGGTAGTATCTCACTATGGTTTTGATTTACATTTCTCTGATGGCTAATGATATTAAGCATTTCTCATGTGTTTATCGGCCATTTGTATATCTTGTTGGGAGAAATACCAGTGTAGATAATTTTCCTGTTTTTTAATTGCGATTTTTTTTAAATTATTGAGTTGTAAGAGTTCTTTATATGGTCTAAATACAATTCCCTTATCAGATATGTAATTTCAAAATGTTTTCTTCAGTTTTGTGAGTTATCTTTTATTGATATCAATGTCCTTTGATGCACAAATGTTTTTAATTTTGATAATGTCCAGTTTATCTATATTTTGTTACTTATGCTTTTGCTGTGATATCTAAGGAAACATTGCCTAACCCATGACAATGAAGATTTGTTTGTAATTTTTCCTAAGAGTTTTATACTTTTAGCACTTAAATTTAGGTCTCTGATCCCCTCTGAGTTACTTATTTTTTTTTTCTCCAAGATGGAGTCTCGCTCTCTCACCCAGGCTGGAGTGCAATGGCGCGATCGTGGCTCACTGAACCCCTCCCGGGTTCAAGCAATTCTCTTGCCTCAGCCTCTCGAGTAGCTGGGATTACAGGCAGCCACCACCACACCCGGCTAATTTTTGTATTTTTAGTAGAGATGGGATTTCACCATGTTGGCCAGGCTGGTCTCGAACTCCTGAACTTATGATTCGCCCGTCTCGGCCTCCCAAAGTGCTGAGATTACAGGTGTGAGCCACCATGCCTGGTGTTAATTTTTGTATATTTTTTGATGGAGGGAAGAACACAGACTCTTGCTGTTCTTACTGAATTTTAAAATATTTTCTTTAACGAATGTTTTACAATTTGCTTTATGCCTTTAGGACAAATTACTTAGACTTTAAATGATTGGATATCTTAAATGGTTTTCATCAGTTATACTTGTTCTACTGGGGAGTGGGTCATGGAGTTCCTCACACGGTCACCCTGGGAGTGAAACTCGGACTGTTTTTATTTTTTCCTTTTTTTGG
The DNA here is from genome assembly GCF_000001405.40 of Homo sapiens. Lineage (NCBI taxonomy): Eukaryota > Metazoa > Chordata > Mammalia > Primates > Hominidae > Homo > Homo sapiens. The sequence goes on from NC_000002.12 coordinate 102,747,146, forward strand.
TATATTCTGTAGTATTTTGTTGAAAGCTTAACATGATGCATAGGACGGTACATAGTGAGATGTATACATATTTTCAGTTGGAGATGAGTCCTTCCTTTCTGCTGGTCCTTCCTTTCTGCTGGTTCTTCAGTGTAAGGGTGTGTGTTTATCCAGTCTCCCTGGACATTGTCTTTGCCAGGGAAAGTGTCATCATCTGTATAGTCTCAGTTATGACAGGTGTAGAAGATAATACAGACCCAACTAATTCTATGCCTTTGAGTACTGTTTTAAATATAGGCATGATCACTATCTCAATATTAATGAGCAAGGAACATGCATATTAAACTCATGTCTAGTCCAGGATGATACTGACATCCAAATTGTTGAATATGGTGGCAGAGGTCATGACAACAGGAGCCTCTGCACAGTAGTTAGTCAGGTAGGTATATAGTAGGTAGAAAAGTGGTCTTCCCATGTTTAGTTGAGATGCCATGTAACCATGAAATGTAGAGCCTATGGGAAAATAAAAAAAACAACAACAGGATCTTTAAAGGAAAAAAATGAGAGAGAGCTAGATAGGCTGCTAAGTGAGTCCAGAGGGTCTTGTATAGACAGATTTGTCTGTGACAGAGTTCTGGTGGTTTTAAACATCTTAAATATCTGACACTGCTATTATTAGGCATTTCAGTAACTATTCTTTGTTCGAATAATATGAATCTTCAAGAGCTGTTGAGATGGAAAATGCATTTGTCAGAACAGGCTACCTCCTCTGCTGCCTTTATAAATCAACCCTTAAAACCTCAGTGATATAAGACAGAAAGTGTGTGTGTGTGTTTTTTTTTCCTTCTTGCTCATGTAACACTACGAAGGTCAGGCAACTCCCCCAGGTAGCTTTTTTCCCTATGGTGACTTAGAGGCCCATGCCCCTTCCATTTCGTAGCTCTCGTATCTTCAAGGTTGCCTTCAGAGGCAAAGTGAGAGATGGATAAGCCCCATTCATTCTTGAAATCCTTGGATTGGGAGTAACTTTCCGTGTAGGCACAAACAACCAAAATCCAGAAGTGCAGCTCCAATCTAATGCCAAGGAAAATGGGAAATCCATGGACACTGATAGTCTGCCACAGACAGTTCATCTGCCCCGCAATGAAATGCCCTTGATCAGCTGGTTCTCTTGGCTCTGGGTCTATCTAGTCCTGTGAGTGGCCCTCTCACTGCTGCTGTCATTGGTCCTACTGCTCCTAACCTGTTGCTCTGTCCTATGTATAATTCTAAGTCAATTTGATAAAGCGTATGTTTTGGTCTAAAGATAATTTAGACATACTCGGGTTAGAATGAGAAAAGGCACAAAATAACTTTTTAATAGATTATCTGCAATGTGGTGGGTCCTATGCTGGGCACTTTACTAAAGTTATCTTTTGTTAATTGCTTGAATTCTATTTTTTAGTCTAGGCTGGATTTAACTATGACTAAAATAAACAAAACAGAGTCCTTAATTGCATTTCACCTCAGTTTTCCTGATGTAAGATATTAGCAATGTCAAGAAAGAAGCATTACAAGTGTTGTGACCTCCTAAGTTAAAAGGGTATTTTCTTCTCGTCTTTTTCTCTGTCTTTTCTTTTTTATTCTGAGTTCTCAAATTAAGCTGATAACATAAAAATGACATTATCTGAGAAAAATTTACATAAATTCTAACCCAGCCCTCTTTTTACTCTTTCATTAAGATTGATCTTAAATTATTTCTCCAGTTATCGAAGCTTTGATTCTCCACCACTCTTAGAGCTTTGGAAAAGAAGAATGTAATTTCAAGACGTCTGCAAGTTCAAGGATAACTCTAAAATAAATAATGTATGACACAGATCCAAGATTACTGGAGGAATTTATCACAATAAATGGATTTATGCATTTTAAATGCATTTTAAAGAGATAAATTTAGTACCCTAAAATTGGACATATTTCCAAGAATTAAAACTTTATATTCTTACTTATCTCACTTTGGTTTACAATGTAAAATCCTGAACCTATTTTCTAAAAAGTAGAAGAACACTTTAGCTTTAAAAATATAATATTATTTCTAATAATATTAGTAGCATATAAAACAGTAAAATATCAGATAGTAATAAGGAATGAAGTAGTGACACATTCTACAACATGAATGAACTGGGGAAAATATTATGCTAACTGAAAGAAGCTCATCATAAAAGACCACATATTGAGTGTCCTCTATATATTCCATTTAGATGAAATACATGGAATAGGCAAATACCTAGAAACAGAAGCTAGATTAGTGGTTGCCCGGACCTGAGGGTGAATTGGGAATGAGGAGTGACTGCAAATAGGCAATTTCTTACTGGGAAAGATGAAAACGTTCTGAAATTAGATTATGGTGATGGCCACGAAACTCTGTAAATATACTAAAAATCATTGACTTCTATACTTTGATCAGGATAATTTTATGGTATATTAGTTATATCTTAATAAAGGTGCCTTAGAGAAAACTTTGAACCAATCATCTGGTGTGAAACAATTTGGAATCATAAAAGTACATAATTATGTACAAAAGAGCATTTATAATATATATACCTGTACATATTTCACATGGAATTAATTTCATCCTGTTCAAGAAAAGATCATTTTCCCTTTGTATGACAATATAAAGTTTCAAACACAAACTGCCTCTGTAAAATTTCAAAATTAATTATAATTTTTATGTAAAAAATACAAATATTTGCTTCCATCCTGTACAAAAAAAATTAGATGTATGTTTATATGAATAATACAAGGAATGAAAAACATACTTCAAAATGTTTCTGGTGATTACGTCTAGGTGGTAAGATTGCCCTTTGTTTTCTTTCTTTGCATATTTTTCAGTTTTCTATCTGGCGATCATATTAATTAATTTATAATAAATAAATGTTTTTTTTTAAATGAAGCAGGAAAAGATGGCTGCCTAATACCTCAATAATGAAAAAAAAGCATTTTTTTGCTTAAGTAGTATGCTACTTGCACAGATTCACTTTCGCTTCCCCAATGTTCCATTTTCTGGTTTGAACTCTGATGCAGTTGCTTTCTGCTTATTGGTCTGCTAGTGAAAGCAGATTAAGCATTTCTGCTATCAAATTTTAAAAATTCAGTGTTTAAAAAAAAGTGGCATAACAGAAGTTTTGCTAGACCTTCCCAGAACTTTATCATTGTATAATGTATGAGATTTGAAAACTGAAATAGACCAGCTTGTATGTGCCTCCCATGGTTGTAAGTAGGACCATTATTCCTATACCTGTTTTTTGCCGATGTTGCTTCTGTCCTAAGGAAATTCTGCCATCTGAGTCTTCCTTAAAGCAAACGTACACCTTCCCAGAATCATCTTTTATTTCCTCCTTTTGTCCATCTCCCTGATTGGCCATAATAGGGCATTCTTCCAAATGTCAGACAGTCAAAACCTTATGAAGGTCTTTCCGGGTATTCAATGGGTGAATGAATAAGAACTTGAACACATTTGGAGTCTGCTACTGGGATGAGTGTCACTTCAGCTCATTCTCTCTCAGACTCTGCAGAAATCAGTTTTGTGATGATTGCATAGAACAGTGGTTTCCAACCTGTTTGGAAACAGTGGTTTGGCAACCTCTGCATGTATTTTTTATTGTGCCTACCTGGGTGAGGTGTGATTGTCCTTTTTACCCACCCACTGTGTTCACAGTGATGTATGAGTCCGCTAGGACTGCCACAACAAAATACTACAGACTAGGTGGCTTAAAAACAGACATTTTCTCATAGTTCTGAAAGCTGGAAGTCCAGATCAGGGTGCAAGCAGGGTTGGTTTCTGGTAAGGCCTGCCCTGCTGGGTTGCATATAGCCGCCTTCTTGCTGTGGCCTCATTTAGCTGCTTCACTGTGCATGCTCAGAGATTTCTCTGGTTTTGAAGCCACGTTGTTGTCTGAGGTAGTACCCAAGGTTCATTGCCTCATGCCAAGAAAGTTAAGGACATGGACATACAAGGAGTGAGTTTAGGAGCAGAGGTTTAATAGGCGCAAGAAAGAGAAAGGAGAATAGCTCTCTCTCGTGAGAGAGAGGGTTGCCCGAGTGGGTCTTCCGGCCCACTACGGAGTTCACCGGATTTTATAGACAGGCTTGAGGAGGCGGTGTCTGATTGGCATAGGGCACACAGATTGAGTGGACCAGGTATGACGTTTACATAGTGCACGGGGAAGCTGGCCACCCCACCCTTTTCTTATTATGCAAATAAGCTTTCACTTGGCCTGGGCTGTGTCATCTGCTGCCTACTGCAAATGTGGTTGGAAAGGAGAAGGAAAGATGGAGCCGCCATTTTGAACATGCATAGTCCTAGGTGGCCCTTTCCTATTGGCACAGCTGCTGGCTTTCTTCCATGCAAGCTTCCAGCCTGCCCTTCTATGTCTGCAGCTTGATTTTACAGGCTACTCTTTGTTAGCAAAGAAAATGATTTTGGGGCTGCTTTTCATTAAAAGGAAAACCTTACCAAGGACTTTCCTACCCTCACTATCTGCTACATAACTTCTTCTTAACTCCTGTATCGTTATGTCCTTTTTCTTTCTTTCTTTTTAGAGACAGGGTCTCACTCTGTTGCCCAGGCTGGAACTCACTGTCACCTTGAACCCCTGAGGGCTCAAGCGATCCTCCTGCCTTAGCATCCCAACTATCTAGGGCTAGAGGTGCATGCCACCATGCCTGGCTAGTTTTTAAATTTTTTGTAGAGATGGGGGTTTCATTATCTTGCCCAAGCTGGTCTTGAACTCCTGGCCTCAGGAGATCCTCGTACCCTGGCTTCCCAAAGTGCTGGGATGACAGTTGTGAGCCACTGTGCCCAGCCTCTTCTTATGAGGATACTAGTCTTGCCAGATCAGAGCCCACCCTTTTGATCTCATTTAACCATAATTGCCCACTTATAGGTTCTGTCTCCAAATACAGCCCCACGGGGATTAGGGCAACATACGAATTTTAGAGGGACAGGATTTAGTCCATAGACAGTGCTTAGGGCAAAAAGCCCTGCCATAAAGAGATTCAGAGTTGTCTCAATTTCCTCATCAATAAAATGAGAGCAATCCTGATGCTTATTGCAGTGGATGATTGTGGAGAGCAAAAGAGCTGACAAACCTCAAGCACTTAGAACAGAGCTGGAGACAGTGTGAGAGCTACCTAAGTGTTGGGCATTGTTACTTTGTTACCTTTGACATTTTTGTTATTTAGTTGTTGTGTCATTTGGGTATCATGATATGCTCTAATTTTTAAGTGCTTACCCCATACCACATATGTATAATAATTAAGCAGAATTTAAAGGACCTGGCTGAGCAGAACGTGAGGAGAGAGCTGTGGAGCCGTCTATGTAGAATCTGTGGCAGCACCTTCAGCAGGCCTGGGACAGTGGCCTCTGCCTGGACCACTTCTGACTATTTTACAGTGATGCAACAGCAAGGGCTGTTTCCTCTTGGAGACATGGTGGCACTCTGGTTACAGCAACGTGTCTCCTTGCATTTCACTCTCTTTCTCACTGATTAGGTTGTCTTTCCTTTGGGCCATATGACCTGAACTTGCTGGGTCATTAGAGCCTCTTACAAGCACCTCGTCTGGAAAGTCAGTTGGAAAGGAGTTTGCAAGTCCATTACATGTTTCCTGATAAAGAAGGAACTAGTAACATACCCCAGAGACAAAGATAAATCAGAATTTTTCTTTCTCTAAATTAAGACTCAAGTCATTGCACAAAAGAAATGTGCAGAGCACTTTTATAACTGAAGGACAGAAGAGGAGAACCTTTTCATTCACACAGCTTCTGGCTTATGAAATGTAATATGCAAGCTTAGAAAGAATTATTTTAACTCTAAACGAATGAGGAAATTAAATTGAAATTACAATAGTTTAAAATGTATATTTGTTTATAAAATAGATCTATCTCTGTAAGTTACATCATTTTGATTTCTAAAATTCCCCAAATTCTGTATTAAATGATTTCACTCTTTGGTCCCCAGTTTTGCTTATGAAATGTTTTACTGTGTGCTTATTGCATTTGAAGGCAGGATTTTAACAAATGAGTTTTAAGCTTCCCCCCCCCACTGCCTTCAAGAGTTACTATACTTAAATGTATTAATAGAATCCTTTGTGAAATAGAGGCTGGAGCTACATAGCAAACCCTTTTGCAGAGGGAAGGGTATTTTTGTTATAAAGCCCCCTTGGTGTGAATTACTTGTATAGGTGACTCTCAATTTAAATAAGCATAAACTGCCTAAATTAATGAGGTGAATGAGCTTATGGATCTTGCTGTAGTCATGTTCAGTGTAAACTATTCATTGGGGTCTAGATGCTTAGATGAACTCATCTTAGTTAAGGCTATTCGGCATCAAATAATGTGAAACTAATAAGTCGTTGTTCTACTATATGTATTTTTATTTTTTAAAAAAAAATTGAGATGGGGTCTTGCTATGTTGCCCAGGCTGGTCTAGAACTCCTGGGCTCAAAAGATCCTCCTTCCACAGCCTCCCAAAGTGCTTGGATTACAGACATAAACCACCATGCTCAGCCAGTTCTTCATTTTTGATAGATAAAAATTCCCAACAACTGACTGTAATGTTCGTTGGAATGCAAATTTTGCCTATGGCCAGCAGGTGGCAGTATTCAAACCAATTTAATTAAGCTCAGTAAGATGAATAGCTGAATTTTTACTGAGCACCTACCTTACAGCATTGTGCTAGGTGTAAGAGATGCAACACTAAACAAAAACCGAACCACTTATTGTCCTATATAGTTTATTTGTTGTTCTTGTACTATATGTAAGACTAGAAAACCTGTGAATAATCCCTGAAAATGCTTACAATATGACCGTGTTTTATATTGATGGGTAAAGGAGGTAGTAGAGAGGACGCCACACAAGAATCACAAACTGTAATACAAAACTAATATTAAAGGGTCAGTAGAATCACAGAGACATGCGGCTCATAGGCAGTAAAAATCTGTTTCAATAATTATCATAGGGAAGCAATTGTTCTTCGGGTCATCTCTCAGTTTACCGTCTTGTGTCTAGGATGATGGGCCACAGTCCCTTATGTGTAATCCTTTGGGCCAGATGTGTTTAGAACTCAGAATTTTGGAGATTTTAGAAAAGTAACACAATACATATACTGTGCATTACCTAACACCCACTCGTGGAACCTGGGGAACCTTGAAATAAATCAAACACATTCGTATTTATGCCATAAAATATATGAGAATCCACACTGTATGGCCTCATGTTGGTCAGATCTGCTTTGCCAAAAGCTTTGGGTTTTCAGAGACTTTTGGATATTAGGGTGGCAGATGAAGTATTGTACACCTACAACATACTATCCTATGAAAAAAAGAATCTACACTAAAATCTCCAAAAAAGATGTCAGAACTTTCTTTGGTAAACCATTCCAGTTTTCTAGAACATGGATTTGCAGTGTGTAGAAGCTATGGGAGTTTGATTTCTGCATTTGTTTAAAAATTTGTTCTGCATCGTTAGGTGTTGAGCAATGGCATGCTTGTGTTTTTAAACAAAAGTAGACTAGAATTAATTTTGTTTTGGGAATGTTTAAATCATTTCATCAGATATTTTGAGCTAATTAAGAATATTGCAACATTAGGATTAGAAATTTTGACTATAGAAAAAGAATGTTTTGCTTATGATCACTTAATAACGTGACTTGAGATTTCTGCTGAGTTTCAGTGTACCTACTGATAATATAAACAATTTAATAAAAAGTTAAGTAAAAAGATACTGAATCAAAGCAGGCAAAGCCTTCTGTTGCTTATAGTCATCCAGCTATTGCTTATCCAGTTTTATTTAACTTGTGAAAACCAGGGTAGAATTTACCGTAATGGAATGTTATTGATCTTAGTGGACTCTAGATTTTAACAGATTGCTTTTTAATTTTGTAATTTAAGAAACAAACTTAGAACATTTTCACTGCAATTTCTCTAAGTGAATAGAGACCCTAAAAGAAATATTATTTCCAGGAAGCTGGAAGAATCTCCAAATGAAGTTATGACTGAAATAAACAGGATAAGAGGGAAAAAAAGGATAACCAGTGAGGTCACAGAGCTTTTCAAATGAAAGAACCATACCAGTGTTCTTAGCCAGGCACGTTATTCCTTCAGATATCTGATTTTACAAATTGACTTTGTTAATTTGTTTTATTGTTGAGTCCTTTCCTTGTTCGCAAAAGTATTCCAAGCAGTGCATATAAACACATGCAAAAATGTGAGGAGCACAGGAAGGAAATTAGGGAAGGCAGGGTGAAAGCTAGCACGTCACCGTTTGTATTTAGCCTCCGATCTTACCAGGTTCCAAAGTGAAGAGAGAAGCACTCTCAGTTACATGAGAGTATTACCTCACTGAGGCCAGAGAGCACATTCTAGTCACTGTATCCACCCAGGCACAGCATGGTATGTCTTGGAGCAGGCAAGTGATATATGCTTGATATTATGAATATTTGTCAAATGAATCAAGATTTATAGTGTCTTTAAGATGAAAAATAACAGTAGTGCTCTGTAGAAATTCAGCTTGTATTTAGCACTCAGACACTTCCCTCTGGCCTTTGTAAGGGGATGCTATTTGTAGGGGCCAATGTCCCCAGTAACGTCGTTAAGAATAAGGGGGCAAATTGTATATGGGCTTTTCTTCATTTGCTCATTCATTATTAAACTGATTTGATTGTTGAAGAAAACATTTATTGACTCAATTTGTTCCACAACATGTGGATTCTAAAAACCGTCTAGGAAAGGGAGAGTGTAATTAAACACATATGAAAACTTGTATGAGTTATGTGAATCTCCTTGCAGAGTGTTGCCGTTAACACTTAAAGAACATGTAGTTCATAGTAGGCACTTGGTAAATATTTATTGAAGGAACTAATGAAGAGGTCATCAGGTAGATGGAAGAAAAAAGCATTCTAATCAGATGGGGAACAAGCAAAGATTTGAGGAGCTACTGGTGCTCCAGGAGGAAGGATGATGTGTGTGTATTGGTGTGGGAGCAATGGGAACACCTGGTGAGAAATTAGTCTGGTTTGGTGAAATAGATTTAAATCAGATTTGCAGTGCTAGCAAAGGCAGTTTTATTTTATTGTGTTTTTTGCTTTTTAATTTTGTTTTATTATTTGTTTTTTAATTTCTTTGTCAGAAATGTGATCTCCACCTAAAGTGGAATATAAAGCTAATACATAGAAACACCGCTCATTTGACACACGTCATCTTACCAAGTACCCCTAATAATCCTCTGAAGCAGTATTCCCATTTTCCATATTAAAAAACAGAAATCTGCCGGGTGCAGTGGCTCACGCCTGTAATCCCAGCACTTTGGGAGGCTGAGGTGGGTGGATTAATTGAGATCAGGAGTTGGAGACTGGTCTGGCCAACATGGTGAAGCCCCATCTCTACTAAAAACACAAAAAATTAGCCAAGTGTGGTGGTGCGTGCCTGTAGTGTCAGCTACTTGGGAGGGTGGGGTGGGAGAATCACTTGAACCCGGGAGGCAGAGGTTGCAGTGAGCTGAGTTCCTGCCACTGCACTCTAGTCTGGGCAACAGAGCGAGACTCCGTCTCAAGAAAAAACAAACAAACGGAAACTCAGAGAGTTGAGCCATTGGCTCAAGATCACTCATTAATGAAAGGAAACTCCAACTCTTCTTAATTAAGCACAATCCCATTCTTTTTTCCTTTTTTTTTGAGAGGGAGTCTCACTGTGTAGCCCAGGCTGGAGTGCAGTGGCATGATCTTAGCTCACTGCAACCTCCACCTCCGGGGTTGAAGCAATTCTCTGCCTCAGCCTCCCAAGTAGGTGGGATTACAGGCACCTGCTACCACGCCTGCTAATTTTTGTATTTTTAGTAGAGACTGAGTTTCACCATCTTGGCCAGGCTGGTCCTGAACTCCTGACCTCGTGATCCACCTGCCTCGGCCTCCCAAAGTGCTGGGATTACAGGTGTGAGCCACCGGGCCTGGCCAAAATCCTATTCTTAAGATTGGCAAGGAGGGAGAGTAGAGTATCTACATGGGGAGCAGACCTGCTACCTATTCTTTCCCCCAGGCTCATCTACTCTTGGACAATCACTCCACAGTCCCTACTCAGCCCCTTTGCCTCCTCATTTAGACTTGGGAGCACAGGGAGGACAGGCTGAAAGTCTTAAACAAACATTTAACATTTAGGAAATTAACATTGTCGTTACCCATAAATTATTGTGAGTTGCCTTTAGTAGTGGGACCCCATGAAGATCCCTCTTTGCTTACCTCTGTCCTTCGTGTCACAGAGAAGATCTTTAACTCCTCCAACCATGAAGACCTTCAGAAGATGAAATTCCTGCCCAGGAGAGTGGATGCCCACAGAGACACTGGTTGTTTCATATTCTGCCTACTAAAGACTTATCTGTATTCAAGGTATTGGAGTACTCGTCATGGTGCCTGCCACTTGGTAGAGTCTTATGCATATTAGCTACTATTAGGCACCTCAGTTTACATTTTTGACAATCAACTTCTTCTACAGTATTGATCCTGAGACATGATGCTTATTCTTGTGGCCCTGATGACTCAGTGTTTTATTCTGTTCTCACGCTGCTATAAAGAACTGAACTACCAGAGACTGGGTAATTTATGAAGAAAAAAGGTTTAGTTGACTCACAGTACTGCAGGCTTAACAGGAAACATGACTGGGAAGCCTCAGGAAACTTAGAATCTTGGCGGAAGGCAAAGAGGAAGCAAGCATCTTCTTCACAATGTGGCAGGAAAAAGAGAGTGAAGTGGGAAGTGCTACACACTTTAAAACTATCAGATCTCATGAGAACTCACTCACTATCATGAGAGCAGCAAGGGGGAAATCCATCCCCATAATCCAATCACCTCCCACCAGGTCCCTCTTCCAATCTGACATGAGATTTGGGTGGGGACACAAATCCAAACCATATCACTCAGTGTGATAACCTTATCAATGTAAAGATAGAGTCAATATTCCCATAAGGAATAGATACATAGACTAGCAATGGAGCCGTTTTATTATAGGATTATTAGGAGTTGAGGTTGAGGCTTAACCAGCCCTTTCTATTGAAAGGCCCCTTTTCCTGGCCTTTCATTAAAAAAGAGAGAGAAAGGGAAGAGAGAACCTATGTCTCAGTTTGTAAATTTGTGAAGAACACCACAGCTGCTTAACAGCCTTCCTAGTGCATGGACATTTTCTTAGGCTTCTAAGATTACTTGGGGAAGCAACACTGAATGGCTGTTAAAATTCCTTAGGAATCATGGAAAACTAGAAGAGTTTCAAGTGACAGGCAAATGTCCAATTTTCTGAAGAAAAAAGACACCTTTTACCTCCTCCATGGTAAGCTCCATTTCATGTCTTCATTAGCAAAAGTCTAATAAGGATTTGTTAAAAGATGGTTTGAAAACATCTGTACAGGAAACATGCACCCTGCTAAAATCCAGCTCTCCAGAGCTTAACAAGTACCAAGCTGGGCCAGATCAGCACTGTTTCTTTTGGGGGTAGATTGCCAGTTGGATTGCTCAGGAGGTCATGTATTTGCATCTCAGCCAAGACTCCTAACACAAATTGATTTCTATTTTATTTCAGTGCCTGTTGTGTGCCAAGTCCTATGCTAAGCATTGAAAATTATCAAGCTAAAATGGCTCAGTTTTATGATAGCAAAAGTATTCTATTTTTCTCAATAGATGAACACATATGAAAGGTTGGAAATTCTGAAGTTAATAAAATTAATGGCTGATTTAATGTATTGAATACACATACCTAGTTCCTGAGGCAATGCCCCCCTAGGGAGTGGTCTTTCATGGCATTTATCCGGGCTCTTCCCTGTCCTATAAACACTCTAGCTACATTTTTATGGTGATGTTTATATATTTTTCATAAACCAAAAATGGTGAGAAAATGTTATTCATTGATGAACCTAGTCCAGAAAGATGATCCTTTTCTCTGACAAAGACCAAAATTGTGATAAATAGTAACAACAAAGTCTTATATTCTTTTCCCCTAATTAAAAAAAATCTACTTTTATATATGCATGTGTTAAAGATTTAGTATTATTGCATGGAATTTGAACCATAAACCATTGAAATATAAATAAGATAAATAAAATCTTCCTATCCAACAGATTGCTCCTTCTTTCCAAACAACAACACTGTCACCTACAACCACAACTGTACAACCACTGCAACCACAACCACACTAATCCAGGGAGGGGGCGTGTGGGGGAGCAGTAAAATGTGTACAGGATGACCAGAGCTCATTATTAAACCTCCATATATTTTGTTCTAACAAATCTTTTTTTTACCCCCACTAGCTTATGAACTCCTCAAAGTCAGGGCCTATATATTGTAACCTCAATATCTGATAAAATGCCTGGACCCTCAAAAGTCCACAATAAGCACTTCTGAAGATGTATTCCCCTCCCCTGCAGAAAACTTAGTTTGCTCTAATATTGCATTAATTATAGAATAGCATGTGTATTAAGTTTATATTGCTACTATAACAAATTGTCCCCAAAGTAATGGCTTAAAACAATACAGATTTGCTATCCCACAGTTCCAGAGGCCAGAAATTCCACAGGGATCTCACTGAGCTCAAATTTGTGGACAGGGCTCCATTCCTTCCTGAAGGCTCAAGGGGAGAATCTGTTTTCTTTCCTCTTCCTACTTCTAGATGCACTCTATATTCCTTGGCTTGTGGTCCCCTTCCTCTGTCTTGAAACCAGCAACTGTCTGACCCTTTTGCTGTGGTCACCTTTCTCTCTCTGGCCACTCCGCTAGGACAGGTTCCCGGGTTTTCATGTAAGGTTTCCTGTAATAAGATTGGGACCACTTGTGTAATCCAGGATATTGCCATGTAAAATAACATATTCATAGATTAGGATTAGGGCATGAACATTGTTGTGAGGCCATTATTACTCTTAGCCAGCATCCAGGTAAGAACGGCTAGAATATACCCAGAATATTTTACTATGTCTCACTTCAATCAAGCACTTGAAAATTGTAGGAAAAAACCAGAACGGAGAGGAGGAGGTCTGGAGTTATACCAATCTCAAGGCGTTTAAAGGAAGAGAGTGTTTGGCTTAGAAAAATATAGCTTAGACCTCTATATAGGGGTAGGGAAGGAGTGTGATTGATGAGGCGTGGGTGATGGCTATCTTTAAAATATCAGAAGGTTCTGTCACAGACAGAGGATTGAAACTTGTGCTTCACAATCTCAAAGGACAGAATAGAATAAATATCTGGAAACTCCTAGGATGCAGCTTTTGGCAGAAAATCAGGCAGAGCTATTATGGCTGTTACTGATGTCCTTAAATGCCACAGGCTGGAAATGTCATAGCTTGATGGTGTGGGAAGTCTTATAAAAAATATTTAAGCATTAGATGAGGGATTAGCTCAGATGACCCCTTAACTTAAATCTAATCCTTAATGATTGTGTAACATTCTATATGGCTTAGAATTCTATTCATGTTTTTTTTTGTTTGTTTGTTTTTTGTTTTTTTTGAGAGTTTTGCTCTTGTTGCCCAGGCTGGAGTGCAATGGCACGATCTCGGCTCACTGCAACCTCAACCTCCCGGGTTCAAGCGTTTCTTCTGTCTCAGCCTCCTGAGTAGCTGGGATTACAGGGGCCCGCCACCATGCCCAGCTAATTTTTTGTATTTTTAGTAGACATGGGGTTTCACCATGTTGGCTAGGCTCCTGGTCTCCACCCGCCTCGGCCTCCCAAAGTGCTGGGATTACAGGTGTGAGCCACCGCGCCTGGCCTTATTCATAGCTTTTGAATACCTCTGATTGCATATAGCTACATCCTAACAGGGCCCTTCATCTTTATTGAGAATCTTTTTGTTCTCACAGAATCCATTGTAAGGATCTATCCCATGCCACAAAAAAGAAGGCGTGAAGAAAGCTGGTAGAGTTGAGATGCCCCCTTGGAAGATTAAGTATTCCAGATTATTGTTGAGAATATAAAAACAATAACCAAAGGAACGGTGCAAGATTTTAAATGCACACAAATACTTAGAAAAATACTCTCCTCTGGCATATCAGACAGAAAAACAAAACAAACAAATAAGCTGTAAAGAGTTAAGCCTTGAAGAAAGTGTAGATTCATTGCTATTAGGTGGTCTGTGTGAGTATTAAGTATGATTCATATTTTGAGGAAGTGAGATATTTTAAAATGAAGGAAAAAGAAGTCGATCAGGTTATTTCATCTTAATTCAGGAAATAATACATTTTTGAGACTTTTTTCATCAGTCCACTTTGGGGATGATTATTTGGAATAACTTGTATAAGACTCATGAGGCTGCTGCAGAAAGTGTTGTTTTTATGTCACTAGTGTATGCTGCATAAAAGCTCTTCTTTATACTTTCAACAATTATGTTACCATGAACATTCTTGACCTTTTAAGTATACCTCTGAATGTTTAGATTATAAACGTGAACTGTACTGTGTTATGTTAGACTATTTGACCAAAAACGTATTTTCTACCACAAAAAAAGTCCAAAAGGAATTAAGTTAATTACAACTTCAATTGTGTTCAAGATCGGTCTTTGTGGTTCTTTATATCTGTGATTTATATATCTTCAAAGAGAGTCTTAAGTGTCTTTGGGATTGTAATGGGCATTCTAGACTAAGAGGAGCTTGTTCAGACACAAGATTTGGGGCCAATGCTTTCAATGACTTCATAACCATTCCATCTTCTTTCTACTTCTGTGGATTACCCAACAGCAATAATGATAATCTGAGCCAGTTCCTGATACTTCTCTCTATAGTCAAGAGAAGGTCAGCTATTTTTTGATCCCCATGGGAGAAAGACAGCTCCTCAATCACTATCTTAAAATAGCCAGCAATTCTCAGCTGCTGGGCTGGAGTTCCTCCAGGGGCGAGCAAAGGGAATATGAATCTGCCGGTGGGGCGTGAGCGAGAAGCCACCAAAACATGAGCTAGGACAGCCTTCTCAAGAAGATTCTGCCAACTCAAAAATATTATTCTTTTTTTTTTTTTTTTGCTGTTGTTTCTGAGAAACTAGGTGTCTTACCATTTTAAAATTTCATATTTTATTTAAAAGGAAACCAGTGAATTGAAAATGAGACTAAATATCGCTATCTTCTTTGGAGCTCTCTTTGGTGCTTTGGGGGTGTTACTCTTTTTGGTGGCTTTTGGATCGGATTATTGGCTTCTTGCAACTGAAGTGGGGAGATGTTCAGGTGAAAAGAATGTGAGTCTCTTCTTCAAAATAGTGATGCACATGGTAGTTATGAAGATACCCTTATGTATGCTCTTGAAATCAGAGAATAGTAGTGGAGTGTCTATTTCTTCATGGAAGAGATATGTAGAAAGCTACTGAGCTTCATTATTTGGGATAAAATACATGTCCTTAAAAATTTACTGGCTGTAATGATTTTGATTATATTTCTTGTATTGATGGCAAGTTACTTCATTTTGTTCTGTGCAGATAGAGAACGTCACTTTTCACCATGAAGGGTTCTTCTGGAGGTGTTGGTTTAATGGGATTGTGGAAGAGAATGACTCCAATATTTGGAAGTTCTGGTACAGTAAGTACAATTTAGCTTTATTTTCCCTCTTGTCTGTAAAATAAAAATGAACAGTTTCTTACATAGTATATGTCACTTCTAGCGGACTGGATTGTGAGTTACAAAATCTCAATTAGATGTCTTTAAAAGGTTCATCATGTAGAGATTCCTTTTCAGTAAGTAGACATGGCTATAGGAATAATTATTTTATCTTTTAGCATAAAACAGGAGTCTGAATATTTATGGCAAAACTGAATTATCCATTGTTTCACTGCTCCTGTTTAGAATACACTAACTCTAACAAACAGGACAGGTATTGTCTATAGCATTTTTTCAAGTGTGTGAATACTATGTTGCAAATAAATAAGATTTTTTTGCTATCAGCCCTTGAAATCTCAAATGTAAAAATCCATAAATAGAGATGTATTATTTTATATTCATAACTTCAAAGTTAACAGTATATTTTTTTTAAAAAAATCATGGAACTTAATTACCAGCCATGGCAGATGAAAGCTTATATTATTTGAGCTTTAACCAAGTTTGTTGGCACTATCAAGAAGTGCCTTGCTTTTGATGTTTGTGTTCTCATTGAAACTTTAAAGTTCTTTTTTAAGGTAGCATAACTTTTAAAAACTATAATGCATTTGTTCAACTCTATTCTTTATATTGAATTAATCTTTGAAAATCAATTTATTGAAAATAGCTAGCGCTTATTTCATTGTATTCAACAATGAAAGGGCTGTTTATTAGCCTAAAGCTTATTGAGAATTGAAATTATTAGTCTTCTTATCAAAAATCAAAGTATGGTATTTACATAATAGTCAGGATTATGGAATATTTAATAAAAATAGGAGGTCCCTGAAGACTTAAGCAAGCTGGTGATAAGTTGGCATATATAAGGAACAAAGTAGTGATGAAGCAGCGTTTTGAGGCAAGTACCTGATAGACTATCTTACAGTGGATTTGGGGGCAGGAGAATAAGCATACAACTTGCCAGTGGAAATGGTTTAGACTTTAGTAAAGGGAAGTAAGTCAGACTGTGCAAGAGGAAGATTTTGCCAAAGACTTGGAGAAAGAAAGAATATTTCAATATTTCAGTCCACCTTAAAGTGTACATATAAAAATTTTAAGTTCTCAGACAACATAAAAGTGCCTTCTTGTGATGTTTTCAAATATTAAAAATTTATTTGAATTATTGTATAACTTATCATTTGCATTCTTCCCTAAAATAAAATGGATATAGAAGAATTTTTTTATTAATTTGAACTAATCAAGGTTAAACTTAAGTTTATTAGATTTTTAAAACAATTATTTTTTATTCCCTACTGTGTGCTAGACACTGTTGGGTACTGGAGAGTATGTGAAAAAAGATGAAATGTGGTACCTTAAATCGTAAGGTGATATAAAGGGCATTTGCATTTATTCCATTGAATTATGTCATGTAGCTAGATGTTCTGGATGAATCCACCTTCGTCTCATGTGCATCTTGATATGAGTTTCCTAGAAGGCCTTCCTCCTCACAACAATTCGCTGAATTTGCTGATGGAACCAGTAGTTTTGTTTTGCTTGTGTAACCCTTGTGCTCTGTATTTCTGTTCCATTAAGGATGAGTCATGACTGAGCTTTTCAATAACAAGTGCCATTGTTTTGCTGTTCTTCCTAGCCAATCAGCCACCGTCCAAGAACTGCACACATGCTTACCTGTCTCCGTACCCCTTCATGAGAGGCGAGCACAACTCGACCTCCTATGACTCTGCAGTTAGTAAGTACCCTCTGTCCTCAGCCTACTTCTAAAAGGGTCTTATCTTTCTGAAGGATGCCCAGATCAAAATTGTTGTGAGCAATTAAAAAAATAATTTAAGACCTGTAATTTCAATATTTTTGATATCTGTTAGATTAAAAAATGTTATTTTTAATGTGCCATTTATAATTTTAAAGAACATAACTTTGATCTAAAAGTAAAGTCATTGTAATTTACTAGCTGCCTATAAAAGTATTTTTAAATGTGTTTTCCCATATGAAGATAGTAATATTTATTAAGAAGAACCGCTTCTTAAGGTTTTAACAGACCTAAAACGAGTCCTACAGTTGAGAATATTGTAATATACATCATACTTCTAAAACTTTATGTCATCATTACACATGAGAATATCACAGATAAATATATAATATGTATACAATAAATATATATGATATAAATATGTAATTATGCTACTATATTTATACAAAATGACTGAACTCTGTGTGTGTAATATCCCATAGGAGACAGACAGACAGATATCATTAACTTAAAATCACATTAAGAACATGAAATTTGTAATAACTTGCTAAGGGTTGATACAGACTATCAATGTCATATATAGAACAAAAAAGTGTTTTTCAAAAATAGTAGCTATTATATTTAATGTTCTCAATAAATTAATATTAGTCAGGGTTCTCCAGAAAAAAGAGAAACAATAGAACACATAAATATATATTATATACACACATACATGTATATACATATGCATGTGCACATACACATACACACATAGAGAGTGAGAGAGAGTGATTGTAAGGCCTGGTGAGTCTGAAATCTACAGGGCAATTGGCAGGCTGGAGATTCAGGTCAGAGCTGATGTTGCAATCTCCAGTCTGAAGGCTGGACACTCCAGTAGAATTTTTCTTCTGCAATCTGGAAGCTGACTTTCTTTTTCCTCAGGACACCTGTTTTTTCTCTTTAAATCTTCAACTGATTGGATGAGGCCCGCTCATAGTATGGGGTAGGGGGTAATCTGCTCTACTCAAAGTCAAGGGATTATAAAAGCTAATTGCATCTAAAAATACCTTCACAGCAATATTAAGCTGGTATTTGACCCAACAACTTGGCACCATAATCCAACCTAGTGGATATATAACAATAACCATCACAGAACTCAACACATCTTTACATGGAACTATTTTTCATCTTCCTGTTAAATATGTAATTCCATACATTATAATTTTTAGTTTTGTCAAAGAATGTAACATTTGCTTGTATTACATCATTAATAGGACACTTATAAAGAGGGTATGAGGTCTGGATAGGGAAAGAGGTGAGCTGACCCACAGCTGTGCTTGTCCACCAGGATTCCTTGGGTTCGAAGGACTGGGACCATTTTCCTTGAAAACATGTGTGGTATGGATGCTCCTTCCCATTAAAAACTGCAGAAGGCACCTCACTCACATTTGTCAAAACCTTTGTGTCATGTCTAATGGACTTAGAAGTATACAAGCCTACCTGTCACTAGTAAGGGAAGAGATGGATGGCATAGGAAAGAATAGGAGAAACTCTTTTGTTTTACAGACAAGCTAGAAAATGATGCTCCTTCCCCAACATTCTTACTTTTATAAAATGAACTGAAAAGTAATACAAGGTTGGCTTTCCAGAACATTAGGTATTAGCATAAATACTAGTATTGTTGTTATTCATATAATGAGGTCCTGTGATAAGATAGGTATTGTAGGCACTGTATATTTAAAAATGATCCCATATTTGAAAAGCCTGCACTTCAAGGAGATAGTGGAGAACTTGAAAAACAAAGTAACATAATCTGTGCATGATAATTATGATGGAGATGGATTGTAAATACATGTCAGAAAAATTATACTGCAGTTACACTTAAAATTATTATGTAGCACTGCATTTAATTAGTGTGTCACTTTTTTGATCTAGTGACAAAACCAAATCCAATTTTTTTAAATTATCAAATTCCTCATTGGCACACGTATTGGAACTCATTTACTTTCAGAAACTTTGTCAATCACTTTAGGTAGAAATGATTGAGATGTGCAAAGATGTGTTCTACAACAGAAATACTATACACAAGTTTCACTCATCTCCATAATAATATACAAGGAAATTTGATATTATCTTTGTTAAATTTGGGGTTTTTTTGTTTCTTTCCTGTATCCAAGAGAAAGGTATAGATTTCATTGGAAGCTTTGTACCTGACTTTTCAGTATGGTTTCCTAGTTAATGAGACTATGTATACTTCACTATGCTTTAGAGCTACTATTAAGTTTCATGTAGCTTCACAATTACCCAACATCAGATACTTGCCAGGTCACCTTTGGTAAATTGAAAGTATCATTTATAAATTCTGATGTATTGTGGCCTGGCAAATTGTTGGTGAAATGGCTTTATAGTGTCCTGAGTTTTTACAATTGCAGTTAGCCAATATTGAATTCAGTGAAAATAATATAGTGGTGTATGATTTTTCTGGAGTAACAATTTTAGAATTATAGGACACTACCGATGAAATTATCCTTTTATAATAAGGAGACTGGGAATCAGAGAAATCATGTGACTCTGTCTTCATACAGCTGCTTATTGGCAGAGCCAGTGCAAAGAACCAAGTCTCTGGCTTTTGTTTCATCGATAATCTACTAAACTACAATGAATGAAAAGGCTAATTGTAGTGCATACTATTAAAAATATGTCTTTAATTTGTATCTTAACAAAAGAACAAATTAAACTTACATTGGCTCTTTCTACCTTTATATTCAATTCTGACTTGTGTGTATGATCAGGTCTAATTCAGTGTTTTCTTTCTTTTAAAAGAATCTCAAATACATATTCTGAAATTCAATTATCCTCAAATCTAGTTATTTGAATGACTGGCCAGGCCTGGTGAGGGTGGTCTAATTCACAGAATTGCTTTTGAGGTAGGCTTGTGTACTTCTAAGTGCATTAAACAATTCTATTACCTTTGGAGAGTTGTCAGAGTCTAGATTTTCTGGTTTGTTTCATGTTTACATTCAGTCACAGTTCACTTGTTTGGTATCATTTGGCAACGATGTACTGAACATAAATGAATTTTCAAGACAATTCAACCCTGAGAGAATTAATTTTTTGCCTTCTCAGTGTCCCCATAGCCTTTGATGACCCCTCTATCAGAGTGCTCGTTATGCTTAACTGGAATTGTTTGTTTACTTCAGTTCCTTCATTATTTATTTGAGCTCTCCAAAGCATAGTTCCTGGTAATTACTAGATGCTTAAAAATATGTCTAGAATGACTTTATGCAAAATTACAGTTACTATTTTCTGCAATAAACTAGTTTGATTTTATTTTTCCAAGTGGAAATGTTTAGAAACTCAATTGCATACTTTTAGTTTCTTCTGAAGCAGAATGCAATGAACACAATTTCATCTTTTCTTGATGAGTGGGAACAAATATATACTTATGGGGGTGAGCCATCTGACCTTCTTTAAGGTCCTCCATCTCAGTATCTGTCCCCTTGCCCCAGGACCTGCCCTAAACTTCCCCAAATGCTGTTCCTCTCTTCCTTCCTCCTCCTCTGTTCATTTTTCTAACAGAGCGGGTTTATCTCCAGCTAGTTCAAACTTCAGTTTCCCAAGGAAGACTTCCTTACCTGCCCCTACGCCACTGGTACATGCACTGGGCCATGCTCTCCTTTATAAAACCCAGTCTTTAATTTGATAATTCATAGCACAGTTTTAAATTATTTACTCATGTAATTATCTTGTTCATATACTTTTTTTCTAGTTCAATTCTAAGCTCCATGAGAGTGGGAGTCTTGTATGTTTGACTCACTATTTTATCCACTGTAGACCAAAAGCTGAATGCATATTTTGGGGAGACTTCATTATTACACTGTACTGTGGTATTAATACTGATGCCCTAAGTCACTATTGATGTGCAGAATTTCTTTAGCTCTTTACTAAATGGACCTACACAACTCTTTAAAAAATTTGTTTGGCCAGGCATGGTAGCCAAAGTGTTGTAATCCCAACACTTTGGAAGGCTGAGGCGGGCAGATCACTTGAGGTCAGTTAGAGACCAGCCTGGCCAACATGGTGAAATCCTATCTGTACTAAAAAAAAAAAAAACACACACAAAAAAATTAGCCAGGAGGGGTGGTGCACATCTGCAATCCCAACTACTCAGGAGGCTGAGGCATGAGAATTGCTTGAACCTGGGAGGCGGAGGTTGCGATGAGCTGAGATCATGCCACTGCACTCCAGCCTGGGCAACAGAGCAAGACTCCATCTCAAAAAAAATTTATTTTTTTGCGTGCTTTTTGTAATTTTTGGTCTTCCACATTGTTTTCGCCTGCCAGCTGTGTTTTGCTTTTATTGTCAATGTTTATTTATCTAGTACTATTTTCTGGTCTTTTCTTCTTTCACCCTTATAGAAGTGTAAGCTGAAGTGAATGATGTGAGGCTACAAGCAGGGAGGCAGCGAGGCAAGATGTTAGTTGGCAATGCATTAGGCTGCAAGTAACAGAAAACAAAAAGGTTATTTTTCTCCTGGAACAAGAGGGTCAGAAGCAGCTTCCACAATGATGCTGCCAGGAACCCAGGCTCTGTCAACTGTTTCTTCTACCATCCTTGGGGGTGGACAGTCACCTTCATGCTCTTTCATCCTCAGAAAAGAGGAAGTGCTTCCAGAATTTAACAGTCAGTTTCTGCCAATGTTTTATTCATCAGAACAATGCCACATATCCCTCTGCTTGGGACATGTTGTTTTGGGCTGTCTAGCAACACAGAAGGGAAATGGAGAAAGCCTGGGAGTGAATGAAAATCAAAATCATTCAGTGAATCAGTATCATCAGGGGTTGAACAAAGGTGGGACAGTAAAAATGAAAAGGAAATAAAGAATATAATTGATATGTGAGGAGTTAACATGTAAAATTGGTAGCCAAACAAAAAAGAGCTGGAGGGATCAAGGATGATGAAGAAGTTTCCTTTTCAAATAGGTGTAATTCAGTTTAAATAACATACAGTAAAAAGTAATGTGGACACATACCTTCAAACAATAAGTATTATTTTAGTGGGTTTTTAATCCTTTTATATGCATATTATATTCTGTTTTAATCATCATAACTATACATGTCTATCTTGCTTTTCTGTTTTTATGTTAGCACACATTTCCCCATGTATTTACTTAGTGATTTCTCAAATTTTAAACATGTTGGTTGCTACCTCTGCATCAAAAATAATTCTATGTATGTAGCATTTTTTAATAATTTGTATTTACTCTTTGGGCTATATTTTCAGAAGTATGAATAGTGACTCAAAATATAGGAATAAGTTTTCTTTGGTGTTGTTATTGTGCCATACTATAAAATTGCTTGCCAACTGGTACTAAACTGTGAATTACTTTTGACTAAGAAAAGTTGGTAAGATGGACAGAAATCTGAGAGTTAAGAGGAGGGGGCATGTTTTGAAGTAGAGCATGGTGATTTACTTTGGTTTGGACGTATTAAACTTGAGTTGATGGTGGAATACCAGTTTGTAATAATCATTCAGCAAGTAGCTTGATATGCAAAACTGGTTTTCCTGAAAGTCATTAATTATAATCATTGATACTGATGAGAAATTGCAGAGGTGATTTTTGATTTCAAATATAATCTTTAAGGAAAACAATCATAGGAAAGAAGACAGTAAAATACCAATTATTCTTAGGGGAAGAAGGGAAGAAGAAAGACAGCCCACAAATGAGGGAGAGAAAGAAGCATTAAGAAACAAGTCAGCGAGCAGTCTGGTGCATTTTCTTGGGAAGGAGGCAGTGGTCTTCAATGTCAAACGCAGAATGAATGGACATGAGAAGCAGGCAGGAAGGAATTGGATCATAAGCCAATGATGCAAAAGTTCTTGGGGCCCAGTAGCTCCGTCTTCACCAAGGGCTCAGCTACAGACACCCATTAAAGTCTCCTTGTTCCAGGCACCTACTTCTATCCTAAATCCACCTGACACTTCCAGATCATCTGCTGTGTATCCCATCCCGGTTCACTGCTCATTCTCTTAGACAGGACCTGAGGACTCTGTCCTCTTTACCCTGCAATGCACTTCCTCCCTCAGGGATCCCATTCCATTTTCCTGCACATTTTGTCACCTGAGGATCCTCCTGAGAGCCAAACCCTACCTCAGGCTTCCTCCTTTCTTCTCTTCTCACAGGAAGAGAGGTTAGACAGCAGTGATCTCACAAAGGGGTTGTATCAGAATGATGGGAATGTGAAACCGCACACGGATGCTTGGGGAGTGAGCAGTGAGGAAGTAGAGACCTTTTCAATCAGCCAACACTGCGGCTTGGAATAGCCACCAACAGAGCACAGCATGGCAGAGGGTACAGAGTCCTTATAAAAACAGCCACATCCACACACAACAACTTGCTTTACCATGCAAGGCAAAATAAACTACAAACATGAATGTCCTTACATTTGGCAGTTTGAAACAGCACAGGAAGAATTAAGATTTGAGTCTAGAGTTTATAAAAATGTAAATTCTTAAATAATTTAGGAGGCACATCAACCTGTTGTAGGTATCTAATCTCATTGAGATACCCCCACCTCTGGCTTGCAGATCGATTACTCTGTGGTAGCTGGGTCTTATTTATCAGTTTTTTGGGTGTTCATGTATGGGGATTCTGGACATTGTCCTAAATACAGCAAATCACTCCAAATACTTCCACTGTGTTTTAGTTAGCTAGAAAAAACTATGCACCACAAAATGTAATGGAAAATGCAACTTAGCCTCCTTTTCCCATAAATGTCAAGTACTTAGATATTTGGAAATGCCTAACATCAACTTAATTTGCTGGTATTCGTTCAGACATTTGGGATCACACAGCCATCACCACAGACACAGTATCACGTTACAGGAGTGGCTGCAGTTCCTGAATAACAGCTGACTTTCATCTGGGACCCCAGCCCAGGCTCCATTGCATGCAGGCTTGGGGCCACTCCCAGAGTGGCTCACTGGGCTTCCACACACTCCAGCTCTTGAGGGTAGAGTTGGCTTGAAAGTTCTAGGGCACAACATCAAGGCCGTACTTAAAAATCACCTTTTTTCAGAGAGTGCCATTTTGTGTTCTGTACAATTTATTTGTGGGCTTCTGAGAATTGGTTGGCAGTTTATGTAATATCCCTGCAACGATGAGAGGCAATCGCTTTCTGAAAACAAGACCTGTGATTATCCCAGCAGCATGGCCTGGGTTCCCTTTGCAAAGGACAGGCTTCCACCTCCATGGAGGCTTCAGGAGATCCCTGAAAATGCCTTCCACACTTAGAAGCAGAAATCTCCTCTCACGCTAGGAACTCCTGATGTGTACAGCAGGATTTCTCAACCTTCACACTGTGGACATTGTGGGCCAGATAATTCTTTGTTGTGGGACTGTCCTGTGTATTGTGGGATGTTTAGTGGCACCCCTTTGCCTCTACCCAGTAGATCCCAGTTATGATAACTAAAAATGCCTCCAGACATTGCCAGGTGTCCTGGGTGTGGGTGGGCACAAAATCACCCTCTAATGAAAATCACTGAGGCCATCTAGACATTTAGTCCCAAAACTTCTAACCCAGGCCCAGGATCTTCTTTGAAATTATACTCATACTGCTTACACTGTGTGCTCAGCTCCAGGTCTGGGCCCAAACACACACAAGAATAGCTTCCTTCCACTGCCTTCTTTCATGCAGGGTATTCAAACCCCGAAGGAGAAAGGAGCTGTCTGGGCCTCTCTTATCTTGAAGCATTATGGCTTCTGCCTGAAACTTTGGACCTTTTCTTAGGAGAGAGCATCAACTAGAACCAGGGAAAAGCAATTATTGAGTGCCTGCTGTATACTGAGCACTGTTCTGGATGCTTCAGAATCAGCCCTAAATTCTTGCCCTCGTGGGGCTTTCATTATAGCGGGGAGGCTAAAAATAAACAATAAGTCAGTCAAGCACTTGGAAGAAAGTAAAAGATGAGAGGGGTGTGTGTGTATGGAGGGGACTTCCACACTGAGTAGGGTGACCAGGGAGGCCTCATGAACAGACGAGGTTTGTTTTGAGATAGACATCGCTGGGTTGAATGTGGGTCCTGCCATCCCATGAGCTATTTTGGAAGCTCCTCTAGTCCTTCTTTCGGGGACTAGATAGATGCTGTAGAGTGTTTAGCACAGGGACTGGCTCATGGTAAGGGTTCTATGGGGGTACAAGCTGGGCTTCCGGTCTGCCTTCATCACCTGGTGCCATCACTTTGTCTTAAGAACACTCGGGCAGGCTTCTTAATCTCCACAAACAGGTTTGTAAAAGGGAGATAAGAATAGTTTCAACCTCACAGTTGTTTTCAAAATGAAAAGACATCATAATACAAATGCTTGGCGGAGTCGTTGCCATGTAGTTGGTATTCAATAAATGTCAGCTATTCTTATGATGATATACCAATTTAGAGCACCAAAAATAAGACATCATTAGGGCACATAAATTCATCACAGCTTCTCCCTAGTGAAACACTTTCTGCTCTCTGAAGGGTGTGTGTGTGTGTGTGTGTGTGTGTCCACATAAGGCATTTGGCAGACTTTCCAGCCAAGAGTTAGTGCTTCATAGACACATGTTCATTATTGTCATTATCACTGTCATCCTAGTACATGGTAGTTAATATTATGCCATCTGTACTGACCAAGATATGCCACTCTTTAGCTGGTAATTGTGATTAAAATTTATTCAACAAATATTTTTTGAGCACATACTATATGCCAGACACTTATTTTAGGTTCTGGGGAACAGTAGTCCAAAAAAAAAAGGATAAAAGTTCCTGCCCTCAGGGGGCTGACATTTGGGTGAGGGGAATCAGATGAAGCAACATAGCTTGGCCGATTACACAGTAGTTAGAAGATGATAAGTGCTCTGGAGAAACCTAAGACATGGACAGGGCTGGGGACTAAGGGGGTGGATATAAATAAGAGCTCTGTAATGTGGCCAGGGGAAAGCACATCTCTGACATTGGAGTGGAAACCAGAAGAAAGCGAGGGAGCGAGCCATGCAATGAGAAGAAGGGTGTTCAAGACAGAGGGAACACTGCAAAGGCTCAGAGGTCAGGGCATACTTGATGGGTGACAACAACAGAAGCGAAGTGGACAGCTGGCAAAGAGCAAGTGAGGGGAGCTTAGAAGACGTGGTCACAGAGGCAACTGGGGAGGCTGAGCTATTGAAAAGACATTGGCTCATCCTCTGAATGAGATGAGAGGGGGAACTAATGAATGCTTCCAATCTGACATATTATACAATAACCTCTCCAGCTTGTTGTATCATTAGCAGCCTATGGAAAGGCAAGGGAGGAATCAGAGAGTCCATTTAGGAGATTTGATGTATTCCAGATGACTAGGACCAGGATATTAGGAGGTAAAAATGTGTCTCATTCTAACACAGTCCTATTAAAATTATTTAACTACCATAAGGGAATCTATCAAATGAACATCACCCGTAAAAAACAAAACAAAATAAAACACCAAAAAACTGTGTATATATGGGTTGCTATGTACTTTAAAATATCAGTTCTGGAATTTTTTTAATTTTAGATTTTTTAAAAAACTATTTCATTTTAGAAATTTTTAAATTTTCACAGAAGTAAAGAGATAAGGAACTCATATGTTACCATCACACAAATGTAATAATTATCAACATATCTTATCTATACATCTGTATAAATCTATGTAAATAATCCACACTGAATTATTTTAAAGCAAATTCCAAACATCATATACTTTCTACCATAAATATGTCCATATGTATCTTTACAGATTCTGCACATTCTCTGATGTTTTTTACACTTTCTTTCTTTCTTTTTTTTTTTTTTTTTTTTTTGGTGACAGAATCTCGTCCTGTAGCCCAGGATGGAGTGCAATGGTGCTATCTCAGCTTACTGCAACCTCTGCCTCCTGGGTTCAAGCAATTCTCCTGCTTCAGCCTCCTGAGTAGCCGGGATTACAGGTGCATGCCACCATGCCTGGCTAATTTTTTTTTTTTTTGTATTTTCAGTAGAGATGGGGTTTCACCGTGTGTTAGCCAGGATGGTCTCGATCTTCTGACCTTGTGATCTGCCCGCCTCAGCCTCCCAAAGTGCTGGGATTACAGCCATTCCTTAGGTCTTACAGATTTTTCTCCCACATTTTCTTCTAAAAGTTTTATGAATTACGCTTACATTTCTGATACATTTTCAGCTAATTTTTGTATAAGATGTGAGTCTCACTCTTTTTTTGAAGATGTGTGTCCAGTTGTTCCAACACCCTTTGTTAAAAAGACTGTCCTTCCTGCATTGAGTTGCTTTTGCATTTTTGTCAAAAAATAGTTGATCCTACTTGTATGGGACTAATTTTTAGATTCTGGATTCTGTTTCATTGATCTATGTCTCTATTCCTCTGCTAGTACCACATCAGTTTAATTATTTATCTATCTAGTAAATGTTGAAATTAGATAGAGTGATTCTTCTTATTTTCTTCTTTTTTAAAAAAATTGTTTTACTTAGTCTAGATTATTTGTTTAAATATTTAGTCTAGATTATTTGACTTTATAAATTTGAGAATAATCTTGTCTATATATCTACAAAAAATCTTGCTGACACTTTGGTATGAGTTATATTAAACCCACCTGGGGAGAATTGGTATCTTCATTATGTTCAATCTTCTAATTCATGGACACGGTTTATCCTTCTGTTTATTTAGGTCTTCTTTGATTCCTCATGGCAAACCAAATCCAGCAGCACATCAAAAAGCTTATCCACCATGATCAAGTGGGCTTCATCCCTGGGATGCAAGGCTGGTTCAATATATGCAAATCAATAAATGTAATCCAGCATATAAACAGAACCAAAGACAAAAACCACATGATTATCTCAATAGATGCAGAAAAGGCCTTTGACAAAATTCAACAACACTTCATGCTAAAAACTCTCAATAAATTAGGTATTGACGGGATGTATCTCAAAATAATAAGAGCTATCTATGACAAACCCACAGCCAATATCATACTGAATGGGCAAAAACTGGAAGCATTCCCTTTGAAAACTGGCAAAAGACAGGGATGCCCTCTCTCACCACTCCTATTCAACATAGTGTTGGAAGTTCTGGCCAGGGCAATTAGACAGGAGAAGGAAATAAAGGGTATTCAGTTAGGAAAAGAGGAAGTCAAATTGTCCCTGTTTGCAGATGACATGATTGTATATCTAGAAAACCCCATCGTCTCAGCCCAAAATCTCCTTAAGCTGATAGGCAACTTCAGCAAAGTCTCAGGATACAAAATCAATGTACAAAAATCACAAGCATTCTTATACACCAACAACAGACAAACAGAGAGCCAAATCATGAGTGAACTCCCATTCATAATTGCTTCAAAGAGAATAAAATACCTAGGAATCCAACTTACAAGGGATGTGAAGGACCTCTTCAAGGAGATTTCTTTCATCAGTATTTTGCAGGTTTTAGCACACAAATACTATGTGTTTTGTTATATTTACATCCAATGAATTAATTTCTGGAGCAATTGTAAATAATATTATATTTTAAATTTCATTCTCCATGTGTTTATTGCTAGTATATAGAAATGAAATTCAGTTTTTTAAAAAAAGAATAAGACTTTTAATGGCAGTTTTATATTTACAGAAAAATTGAGTAGAAAGTACAGAGGGTTCCCATCCCACCACCTACACAGTTTCTCCTATTATTAACATCTTGCTTTATCTTGGTACGTTTGTTACAATTGATGAGCCAACATTGATCCATTATTATTAACTAAAGTCAGGATTCACTCTTTGTGTTAGGCACTGAATGAGTTTTGACAAGT
Source organism: Homo sapiens (assembly GCF_000001405.40). NCBI lineage: Eukaryota > Metazoa > Chordata > Mammalia > Primates > Hominidae > Homo > Homo sapiens. Next base: position 102,776,247 of record NC_000002.12, read on the forward strand.
GTGTAATGGCATGTATCCACCATAGTATCATACAGATTAGTCTCATTACCCTAAAAATCCTCGGTGTACTGTTTATTTATCCCTTTCTGCCCCCAAACCATCGCAACCACTGATCTTTTTGCTTCATCGTTTTACCTTTTTCAGAATGTCGTATAGTTAAAATCACACCAGATGTGGCCTTTTCAGATTGGCTTCTTTCACTTAGTATGTGCATTTAAGGTTCCTCCATGTCTTTCCATGGCATGATAGTTCATTTCTTTATTGTGATAAATAATGTCTCATTAGTGGGTGTATCATTGTTTATGCATTCATCTATTGAAGCACATCTTGGTTGCCTGTAAGCTTTGGCAATTATTAATAAAGCCTCTATAAACATTTGTGTGCAGGTTTTTTTGTGGACATAAGTTTTCACCTCTGGGGTAAATACCAAGGAGTGCAATTTCTGGATCGTATGGTGAGAGCATGCTTAAAGAAGCTGCGAAGCGGTCTTCCAAAGAGACCATACCATTTTACATTCTCACCAGTAATGAATGAGTTACTGTTGTTCTATATCCTTGTCAGCATTTGGTGTTGTCGGTGCTTTTGGACTTAGCCATTCGAATAGGTGTGTAGTAGCATCTCATTGTTTTAATCTGCAATTCTCTAATGACATATGATGTTGAACATCTTTTCTCATGCTTATTTACTATCTGTATTTCTTCTTTTGTGAGGCTTCTGTTAAATTCTCTCAGTTTCTAATTGGATTGTTTGGTTTTTTATTCTTGAATTTTAAGATTTCTTTGCGTATTTTCAGTACCAGTCCTTTATTGGATACATGTTTTTAAAAAAAAAATTATCCCAGTTTGTGGCTTTTCTTTACATTTTCTTAACAGTGTCGTTCACAGAGCAGAAATTTTAAATTTTAATAAAGTCCAATTTGTCTCTGTTTTTTTTCTTGGGTGATGCTTTTCGTATTGTATATAAAAAGTCATTACCCAACCCAAGATTCCCTAGAGTTTCCCTTATTTTCAAGGAGTTTTATGGTTTAGCATTTTACATTTAGATCTATGATTTATTTTGAGTCAAATTTTGTGAAAGGTGTAAGATCTGTGTCTAGGTTCATTATTTTGCGTATGGATTTTCAATTGTGTCAGCACCATTTATGGAAAAAACGACTTTCTCCATTGAATTTCCTTCGCCTTTTTGTCAGATTAGTTGATTATATTTGTGTAGGTCTCTTTCTGGGCTCTCTTTTCTGTTCCATTGATCTATTTATTCTTTTACCAATACTACAATTCCTTTGTTATTCTAGCTTGATAGTAAGTATTGAAGGTGGATTGTGTCAGTCTTCGTTTTTCTACTACGATAGATTTTTAAATGTTTAGCTTGCTTTCCTGCAAATATGCTGAATTTACTTATTAGTTCTAGAAATTTCTGGAGATTTTTGGAGATTTCCTACATAGATAATCATGTCATTTGCAAATAGGGACAATTTTATTTCTTCTTTCTTATTTAAATGTCTTTTATTTCCTTTTTTTTTTCTTTTTCTCTTTTTCTTTTTTTTTTGCCTTATTGCACAGACTATGACTTCCAGTACTACGTTTCTGTCATTGATTTCTAGTTCATTCAATTGTGGGCAAAGAACATAATCCATATAATTTCAATTCTTTTAAAATGGTTGAGATTTGTTTTACAGCTTGGGATATGATCAGTATTGGTATATGTTCCTTGGTACTTGAAAAGAATGCATATTCTGTAGTTTTATTGTATTCTATAAATGTTGATTAGTTAGATTCTGTTGGTTGATGATGATGTCTAGTTTTTCTGTATATTTTCTAGTTTTCTGTGTAGTTGTTCCATCAACTAGTAAGAGAGAGGTGTCGAAGTCTCCAGTTAAAATTGTGGATTTGTCTATCTCCCTTTTCAGTTCCATCAGGTTTTGCTTCACTTATTTCATAGCTCTGTTTTTTTTATACATACACATTTAGGATTGCTATGTCTTCTTAGTAGATTGAGCTTTTTATCAATATGTGATGTTTTTAGTAGTTTTCTTTGTGGTGAAGTCTTCTTGATCTTATATTAATATAGTGACTCCTACATTCTTTTAATTAATATTTGAATGATATAACACTTTTTCATTCTTTACCTTCAACTTACCTATATCACCAAATTTGAAGTGAGTGTCTTATAGACAATGTATAATTGGGTGATTTTTTTATAAAAATCTGGTCTGGGAAGCTGTGCCTTTAGTTGATGTATTTAGACCATTTATATTTAACATTATTAGTGATATGTTATTGCTTAATTCTATCATATTGATTTTTGCCTTCTATATTTCTCCGCTTTCTTTTCCTGCCTTCCTAGGAGTTACTTGAAATATTTTTAGAATTCTGTTTTGATTTATCTATAGTGGTCTTGAGTGTATCTCTTTGTATAACTTCTATAATCATCGGTTTAGCTATTACATCATAAATACATGTTATTATGGTCTATCGATGTTGACATTTACCAATGTAAGTAAAGTGCAAAACTTTACCTTCTTTATGTTCCTTTACCCTCTAGCAATTATAATTCTCACATATTTCTTCTACATATGTTGAGAACTGCACGCAACATCTTACTCTTTTTGCTTCAATCATCAAACATTGTTTAGAAAACTTAGGAGGAAGAATATATATTGTATTTACCCATATTTTTACTCTTTCCATTGTTTTTGCTTCCTTTCTGGTGTTTTTCTGTTATTTTGCTTTTGTTTAGAAAACTCCTTTTATCTTCTTAGTAATTCTGTTGGTGACAAATCTTAGTTTTCATTCATCTGAGGATGTCTTGATTTTCCTTTCATTACTGAATTATATTTTTTGGTAGGTATAAATTTTGGGGTTAACAATTTTTTTTTCTTTTAGTGCTTGAAAAATGTTATGCCACTTTTTCCTGACCTTCCTGGTTTCTGATAAAATATCCACTGTCATTCAAGTTCTTTTTCCCTTTATGTAAGGTGTTGTTCCTCCATCCCTGCTTTCAGGATTTTTCTTTGCCTTTAGTTTTAAGAAGTTTAATTATCACATGTTTTGGTGTGTATTTCTTTGGGTTTATCCTGTTTGGACTTTGCTTAGCTCCTCAATACTTTAGATTTATGTCTTTTGATGACTTTGGAAAGTTTCAGTCATTATTTCCTTGAATACTTTTTCAGCCCTGTCCTATTTCTTCTGCTCTTCTGAGATTTAGGAGACGTGAATGTTAGACCTTTTGTTATAATTCTACAGATCTGTCAGTTTTTGTTCATTTTTTAAGTCTATTTTCTTTCTGCTTTTTAGATTGGATAATTCTCATTACTCAATCTTGAAGTTAACTTACTGTTTTCTCTGTCCCCTTCATTCAGCTGTAAAACACATATGTTAATGTTTTCATTTTAGTAATTATATCTTCCAATTCTAAAATTTCCATTTGGTTCTTCATACTTTCTATTTTTTTTTTTTTAATTTGGCTCAAGGCTGGGTGTGGTGGCTCATGCTTGTAATCCCAGCATTTTGGGAGGCCAAGGCGGGTGGATCACCCGAAGTCAGGAGTTTGAGACCAGCCTGGCCAACATGATGAAACACCCTCTCTACTAAAAATACAGAAAAGTTAGCTAGCTGGGTGTGGCGGTGGGTGCCTGTAATCCCAGCTACTCGGGAGGCTGAGGCAGGAGAATCGCCTGAACCCAGGAGGCGGAGGTTGCAGTGAGCCGAGATTGCGTCATTGCACTGCAGCCTGGGCAATAAGAGTGAAACTCTGTCTTGGGAAAAAAAATTTGGCTCAAGCATTTTCACATTTGCCATTGAAGATTTTTTTTTTTTTTTTGTATCATGGCTATTTCCAAATCTTCTTCAGATAATTTCATCATCTCTGACATCTCAGCATTAGTGTCTAATGCTTATTCTTTTTCACTGAAGTGGTGATTTTCCTGGTTCTTGGTATTACTAATGATTTTTTTATTGAAGCCTGAACTTTCTGAATATTATAAGACTATGGATCTTATTTAAATCTTTTGTTTTAGTTGGCTTCCTTTCATACTACCCCAGTGAAGGAAGGAGTAGGCATTGCCTCATTAATTCCAGGCACCCCCTAAGCCTCTTCTGTTACCTGTGGTAGAGAGAGGCTCCCTGTTGCTGCTGAGTGCTAGTGAGGGTTCTGGCCTCCCATGATGCTTCCTCTGATACCAGTCTCGCTGGGCAAGACCTCATTACAGCTCTAACCATAGCTTCTGCTGACAAAGGTGGTGGGAGGGCATTATGCAGTGGGGGTGGTGAGGGTCCTGACCCTCCACTAGGCCTCCTATGACACCACTCTAGTTAGAAGGGGCTACCTCATTTCTACCTCTTAGAAGTAGAAGTCTTAGCACCCTATATGGTCTCTACTATCACTGTGGAGGGTGACCTCATGACCACCCTGCAGGGATGAAAGTCCAGGCTCCTTATTCAGCTTTCTCTGATATGACCTAGACTTGTGGGTGTGGAGGGGATGTGGTTGAGACACCTTGTTACAAACTGTGGAGGAGAAAGTGTACACTCTCAGTTTTTGCTTGTAGCGGTGGGACTGCAGTATTTTGTAGTGTTTGGTCAAAGTAGAGGGGTTATTTTCTAAAAGTTTTTTGCCTTGGCATGCTATCCTTTACCTGGTCCTTTGGATGGGCATTTTGTTTGTTTTTTAATCTGTGACCATTGTTGATTCTGGCTTGCTGGCTTTTCCATCACTAAGTCTAAAATACATGGGCAATACGAAAACTCAGGAAACTCACCAGACCCAGTGCTGTTCCTTGGGTCTCAAAGTCCCTTGCCAGCCTGTCTTCTGCTGTCCTCCTTCTAGAGACTTCTTATGCTTGTTTTATAGGAAATGTCCAGAGTTATTAGTTGTACTTACTAGAAGGAATAGGGTCAAGTGTGTCTACTTCATCTTCCTGGAAGCAGAAGTTAACTTTATCTGGTTATATTCTGAAGGAACAGCTGACTGGATTGACTGATGGGCTGGGTATGGGGTGTAAGGGAAAGAGCAGTCATTAATGACTCTTTTTTGTCCTTAGCAATTGGAGGGATGGAGTTGCTATTAGTAGAGATAGAGAAGGAAGACCGAGGTTGAGCTGAGTTTTAAGAAGATGATTTGCAGTTTTTGAACATGTTACATTTAAGATACATAGTGGAGTTTTGTAGGCTTTTGGATTGCAGAGTCTGGAGTTGAAGGTGGAGGTCTGGGCAGGAACTGTGCATTTAAGCGTCATGGCATGGAGGTTATAAAGCTGTGGGATAAGACTAAACCATGTGAGAATGAGTGCAGAGAGAAGGGAGATCAGTCCAAGGACTGAGCCCTAGGATGCTCCATTGTTACAAGGTCAGGGATAAGAGTAGGGGCCAGCAAAGGAGACTAAGGATGGGCAGCTTGGGAGGCAGGAATCATGATGAATGTTTTTTTCAGGGCAGGGAATGATGAGATGGACCAAATACTGCTGAGAAGTAGAGGAAGGCGCAACCGAAATCTAATCCTTGGATTTAGTAGGTTGTCCAGAGCAATGTAGAAAAACATTTGACGTAAGGTTTTGCCTCATGGGATTTTTACTTATCAAGCTCACCATCACATTTTATATCATTCATAAAAGGTAAGCTTTAGTACTGCTTGGACTCCAGTGCTGGGATGAGGAATTTGATCCAGTGAAATTATCAACAATTAGAGACATAAACTGCTCAAAGGCACCATAGTAATTTCATCAGACCTATTTATTTGTTTCTTGTTTCTTCTGTCTACTTATTGAAACCTACTAATATATTGGCCGGGCGTGGTGGCTCACTCCTGTAATCCCAACACTTTGGGAGGCCGAGGCAGGTGAATCACCTGATGTCGGGAGTTTGAGACCAGCGTGGCCAACGTGGCGAAACCCCATCTCTACTAAAAATACAAAAATTAGTCAGGTGTGGTGGCCGGTGCATGTAATCCCAGCCATATGGTAGGCTGAGGCAGGAGAATCACTTGAGAGGCAGGAGAATCACTTGAACCTGGGAGGCGGAGGTTACAGTGAGCCGAGATAGTGCCATTGCACTCCAGCCTGGGTGACAAGAGTAAAACTCCATAAAAAATAAAAAATAAAAGAAAACCCTACTAACATATTGATAATTTAATAATAAAAATAGAAAAATAATTTTTATTTGCTATTTTATAAAAATTATTAATACCACAATAAATGACTTTATTTCATTTTTATTTCAAATTAAATGGAATGATGAAAACATATATGGGGCTCATATTTTATGCAATCATACTTTACTTTTTATATATTGCCCCCTTGAATCTTAATACACTACCTCATAGTAGTACATCAGGACTACTTGAAAGCCAAGGATTTCATCTGAAGCCAAGGAAACAAAGAAGTTAGGTCTCTCACCCAAAGATCGGCGAGCTGCCTCCATTTCCATAACTTTTTTCATAGTCAACTTTAGAACATTTAAAAAATATTTATGATTCGTGTTCCTCATGAGCAATAGTCACTTTAAAACAAGATCTATTTGTTAATTAGGGAAGATTTGGTAAGCTTTATTATTTTACATTTTAGTTTTGTATAGAGCATCAATATATTTTTTTTCTTTCTATTTAGAAACAAGTTTGGGGACATGGGGATAAAATTACAGTGACTTTTAAGTGTTAATATTTTTAAATATAATTGATTTTTATCAGCTGCTTTTTCTAGTACCCAAGTTCATTGCTTCAAGTCTGTACATAGCCAAGGCCAAGGCTGTTATTTACACCAATAAACCATAGATTTAATATTGTTAAGGAAAGTGAAATGTCTTATGGAAAGCAAAGTGTTAACTTGTTTCCAGAGCAACAGCTGTTGTTATGCACTATGGAGGGAATTTGCTGTAACAGCTTGCTATGTTGAGTAGCTAGAGAGGAAGTCTTCCAAAGATATATCCTATCACTGCAAATAAATAAGGAAAATGAAACCCCCTCCTAAACCATATACAGAGTAGCTATGGGAACACTATGTTTGATTTTTGCAATGATTTCCTGCGTAAAATGGGCAATTTTAGATGGCTGGTTTTTTCAAATAGAAACTGGAAAGTTCAATGTATGCAGTTCATTATCAAAAAGAAATATTGACAATCTACATGCTGGGACTCTAAGCAGAAGAGTCAGAAGTGACTTCTGATGCTGTTGATTCTCTTTTTATGGAGAAACAAACAAAAAACTAAGGGGGTTGGTTAAGTGACTTCCTTCTAAAGAAGACACAGCAAATAGTTGTCAGGTCAGTGAGGACAACTCAAGGCTACCAGCAGACATTTCCACCACATTCCTTTAGCTCCATCCCTAGAAGAGCCAAGTCTGTAAAAGATGCCCAGGGAGGTACTGCACTCAGTGAATGCTGACATTAAACACCAACGATCTGTTGGGTGCAATGGTGTGCTCTTTTAGTTCCAGCAACTCAGGAGACTGAAGTGGGAGGATCTCTTGAGCACAGGAGTTTGAGGCTGTAGTGAGCTATGATCATGCCTGTGAACAGCCCTGCACTCTAGCCTAAGCAACATAGTGAGAAGCTGTGTCTAAAAAAACAAACAAAAAAACAGCAATGATCATGTTTCTTGATAAGTAAAGAAAATGTGACTCTCAGCCTGTGAATAAATAAACTGCACACATTTGTTCCAGGATAATGAGGTATGCTTGCCCTGCCAGAGATGCTAGCTATGTCTCAGCTATCTTGTCTGTCCCAACGAGACACTCATCTTACCCTGGCTGTTCGTATGTGGTTCACATTCCAAACTACGCCGGACCTGATTCTGAACCGGCCAAGTATTTTTCCAAGGCATCTGCTGGCAGACACGGGCCACTATTTGCAGGTACAACCCTCTCAGCCCATCAGCTGATAGCTACTCTTATCTCTGTATCTTTATTTTCTTCCTAGAAACTTTTTGTACCTCTCCCTTTTTATTCAAATTTATCTATAAGGTCCCTTGATCATGTCAATTTCCCCACTGGGTAGACTAGTTTACAGAAAGTATTGTCAGAGTTTTCCATGCCTTTGTCTCACAGTATTTTACCACTTAAGAAAAAAGCATCAGGAAAATATAAGGCTCTGTAAGAAAGAAAAGAAAGTATGTGTTTTTCTACCTTTTTTTTTTTGGTCTATTTTTCTTACTGAAAACACTCCCATGCGAAACCAGACTGCAAGCATTTTGTCAGTGGTGTTGATATTGATGGACTGAAGCTCCATGTGGACAAACAGCCAATGTTAAGTTAGTCAGTGATTTTTGTAATATTGTTATAGAAAAGGTGTCCAGATCCAGACCCCAAGAGGGGGGTTTTTGGGTCTCGCGAAGAAAGACTTCAGGGTGAGTCTGTAGAGTAAAGTGAAAGCAAGCTTATTAAGAAAGTTGAGGAATAAAAGAATGGCTACTCCATAGACAGAGCAGCCCTTAGGGCTGCTGGTTGTCCATTTTTATGGTTATTTCTTGTTTATATGCTAAACAAAGGGTGGATTATTCATGCCTCCCCTTTTTAGACCATATAGGGTAACTTGCTGACGTTGCCATGGCATTTTAAACTGTCATGGTGCTGGTGGGAGTGTAGCAGCGAGGACAACCAGAGGTCACTCTCATCGCCATCTTGGTTTTGGTGGGTTTTTGCCAGCTTCTTTACTGCAACCTGTTTTATCAGCAAGGTCTTTATGACTTGTATTTTGTTCTGACCTTCTATCTTGTCCTGTGACTTAGAATGCCTTAATCATCTAGGAATGCAGCCCAGTAGGTTTCAGCCTCATCTTACCCAGCTCGAGATGGAGTTGCTCTGGTTCCAACACCTCCGACAATATCATTTGTATGAAAAGTTCATGCAACTTGGGCCAAAATGTTCCACTGAAAAATGAGCACATCATAAAAGGACCAGTATGACGTGTTCCTTACATTCTCCCTCCAGCTACTTCCCTGAAGCCAAAGCTTTTCACTGTTCTGCACCTGCAAGCTGAGCTCCTCCAAGCACCACTCCCCACTCCTCCTCAGTCCCCTTTCTTCTTACTGCCTGCTCTGCTGTTTCCATTTTCAGGCCAGTCCCACTCTCCCCTTTAAGAATCACCTCCCCCAAAGAGCTTTTATGCAATATGCTAAGATTGCACCCTTTCTCTATTCTGGCATAATAAACCATCCATAGTCTTTCCTTGCACTTGGCATAGACGATAGCCATCTAATTGTATATTTCTTTCCTTTTAGACTGCTTGGTGGCACATATTGTACTTTTTCATAGTGTATCACCAATAAGTGCTCTCCTAGCCTAGCACAGTAGCTGATACAAGGTAGATTTTCAATCGGTGCTCAAACATGTAAATGAGAGTGTGGAACTCAATTTAGTTGTTAACCACTCCTTTTTCTGGGTGTCTTATAATACAAATAGAGGGGAAAATATCAAATCATTTTAGTACTATGAAATTTCTGAACTCACTTTTCTGATACAGAAATCGTAGAAACTACTTTTAATTCACATACCTAAGAGAAAGATTCCAAGATGTGTAATAACAATATCATAAAAGACTATAAGTTTCCCTGGGGAAATGTGATTTCTTGGATGTTAGATGTTTATGAGGCAAATCACCTAAAAATTATGAAAATGAAGACTCAGGGGTCCTAGAATACTTACAACTAAGTAAATAAGCCTTTGCTATAATTATTTTCTACTGTCTGTACAAAAGCCAAAGCAAGCAGATTCCAATTTAGTGTTTAAAAAAGTATAAGAATAAAGTAGTCTTAAAATGTTCCTATCATGGCTTAGTCTAAAAGATCACAGGTCTTTTCAGGTGTAGATTGATTTTTTTTTTTTTTTTTTTAAGGAAATCAGTGAATGAGGAAATTTGTCTTTTCTGGCAGTTTTAGAATTGGGCAGGAGGATTTACAGAAGTCCCTGGTGTTCTTGATTCATTTGAAGCACTGGAATTCCGGCACATGGAGAGGAAGATTACATAGCACTCAGCAATCTGTTTTTTTTTTTTTTTTTTTTTTGTGACAGAGTCTTACTCTGTCGCCCAGGCGGGAATGCAGTGGTGTGATCTCAGCTCACTGTAACCTCTGCCACCTGGGTTCAAGTGATTCTCCTGCCTCAGCCTCCTGAGTACCTGGGATTACAGGCGCCTGCCACCGCACCTGGCTAATTTTTGTGTTTTTAGAAGAGACGAGGTTTCACCATCTTGGTCAGGCTGGTCTTGAACTCCTGACCTCGTGATCCACCTGCCTTGGCCTCCCAAAGTGTTGGTATTACAGGTGTGAGCCACCGCGTCCAGCCTGAGCTCACTTACTTAGTACTCAGGTGTTAACATTCGAAACCTTGATACCTTAGCTCTTCTTTTTCCAAGGCCTGCTTCTCTTTCATAGGGATTTACATGATAAAGATTCTCCAGTGATTGTGACAGTGAGGTCAAGATCCTGGATTCATTTCCATTTTGAATGAGTTTGCTTCACTCTGTTCCCTGGCCATTGAATATCTCATTAACCTTGGGATTACAGGGGGTATTGAGTGGTAAATTGTTGATTCTCTACTTACTCATATTTTATTGAGCACCTATTACATGCCAACCATAAAGCTTCCACTGGGTTTAGAGAGATGAGCAAGACTGAGTCCCGGACACTCACAATCAGGAAGTGGAGGGGGATTGCACAGGGAATGGAAGTACAGTGCTCAGTCTAGTGACTGGCATTCAGTTAGCGCTGACCTTCATCCCAATCATCCTAATTATAAAATAAGTATTAATCATCACATTTTAGGGAAGGAAACTGAGGCATGGAGAAGCCAAGTAATTTGGCCAAGGTCGCACACCCGGTAAAGGGTATTCCAACTCTTGAATATACCTCTATTCTGAATGATTCTACACGTTCCTGCCTTTAGTGGAGGTAAGGAAGTAACTCTCTCCGTGATGTCCCTTTAAGGAAGGAAGGATGCTTTCTCAGATGAAGGAGAAGACGTGCTTTCATCAACTTGGACTGCTGTAACAAAATACCACAGCCTGGCGGCTTAAACAAGACATTTATTTCTCATCACTCTGAAGGTGTGAAGTCCAAGATCAGGGTGCCAGCATGGCTGGGTTTGAGCAGGGCTCTCTTCAGGGTTGCAGATGGCTTTGTATTTTGTACTCTTGCTGGCAGAAAGAGAATGAACTCTCTCCTCCTCTTCTCATAAAGTCACTAATCCCATCATGAGGACCCTACTCTCATAACCTCATCTAAATTTATTTACTTCCTCAAGTCTCCATCTTCAGATTCTCTCACACTTTGGGGGTTAGGGGTTCAACATATGAATTTGAGTGAGTGAGCACATTCAGTCCATGGTAAGTAGGAAGTCTATTTATTCTAGTTAGAGGAAACAGGATTGCAAAGAAGGGCCTTGAAGGATGGTAATAACTTTTCCTTCAGAGGACTTCAGCATTTTTTCAAAATTTCTGGCGGACATAGCAGGAGGAGCCAGAATGGGAAGATTTGATCCTAGAAGATGCAGAGGGATCAGTGCCAAGCAACTTTTAGAAACACAACAAACATGACTAGTGATAGTGGATTCTCCAGATAGCCCTGAATTAAAATCTTGAACCTATCCTTTACTGGCTCTTTAATTTCTGGAATATGACTTAACCTCTCTGAGCCTCATCTGTAAAATACAACATAGAGATTGCTGGGAAGACAGAGGAAAGAACACATGTGAGGGCTAAGCCATTGCCTGACTTGCAGAACCTGCTTTTTAAAACTAGCCACTCAGAGGGACCAGGAGTCTTACCTTTCTTAATCTGGCTGCATATCACAGTGTCCCAGTGGGCTTTATTTTTTAAAATTTATTATTAAAAATATTTGTTTATTTTTGAGAGACAAGGGTGGCGGTGGAGAATGTCTTGCTATGTTGCCCAGGCTGGATTTGAACTCCTGGGCTCAAGTGATCCTCCTGTGTAACAGGGATTACACAGTGTGCCACTGCACCCAGCTTTACTGGGCTTTTGAAAACACTGATGCCTGTGCCCACCCTTAGGGGTCCTCATTCAGCTGGTCTGGTTTGGAATCCTAGCATGGGTGTTATGTTTTGGCTCTCCAAGTGGTTCTGATGTGTGGCAGCAATGGGGACAACTGACTTGCCTCCCTTCCCTACTGAGGGAGACGCGGGCAGGGGAGGACCTTGGAGCTGGAGATTTGGCCCTGTGTGCTCACCTGGTCCCCTGGGGTGGACACTGAGTGGCTTTGTACACAGGACCTCAGTCCCCTCAGCTCTGTGACCTTGAGGATTCTGGTGACAGCTGTTTCAAAGTTGCATTGGACTATTATTACTCCTGTTACTGCAGCCACCACCCATAGGACCACTAATACTGCAAAGCCACCCTTCCTGGTACCCAGGAAGCCTCCCTCCTAACCCCCAGGCTCCTTAGAAGGAGCAAGTGAGATAATGAACATGGGCATGTTCTCAACCCTGTGTGAAGAAACTCATGCTTCTCCTGCTTCAAGGACTCAAGGTCACTGCCAGAGTGGAAGGTGGAATCCCTCCCCCTTCTGCCCAGTGTGCTTCCTCCCTGAAGCATCTCCTGAATCGGGCAAGTTTAAGGGTGGGAGGTTAATAAACTTCATCTGATCTCAGAGTTCTTAGCGTCCAGAAAACAAATCAATGGGCCACGCTGAGCACTGGACTTTGCTTGGCATGTTCACGATTGTGGGGTTCAGATGCAGAGATACTGTACAGCCTGTCCTTCTGCTTTGGTGCAGGCACTACTGTATTTTTAGACCTGCCCGACACTGCCAAGACAAGCAGTGTATGGAGATGAAGGCCAGGCTTGCTGGCCTGCACAACAGAAGCACATTGCCTAAAGCGAGGCAACATATGCTGGCGGCCCTCATTTGCTGCGAGGGAGGTGGGGGGTAGTGGCGTGTTTTGTTTTGGCTTCATTTGGAACATTTTATAGCACTTCACACTGCGTGTGCTTGAGGATGTGTCGAAACACAGGATTAGCTTTATGAACTAGCTTTGTGGGTGTCTGAGGCAATATAGCAAGTTTTGAAAAATGAATAACACTTAAGTTTATCTTTAAGCTGCAAATAAAATATTTACATTTTTGTATGTACAACAAAATCACTTATCAAAACACTACAAATTTGGAATTGTGATCATTTGGGTTGACTTTTCTCTCTATACCCTCTATGAAAGAAGGTTTGTTCTGCAAATTATATTATGCAAAATCAAGAGGAAATGTTTAAATATCTTAACAGAACAAACTGGTTTTGCTTGCAAATGAAAACCCGTAGAGACGCTCTTGATTCTTCCTGGTTTCTCACCACCTGTAACAACAGTAACACCAAAGCTTATGTCATCTCCATCCCAGCTGCTTAGCTCTGGGTCAGTCTTTTAAGAGCTCCCACTTGGGCTTGCTACAATAGCTACCTTAATTAGCTTTTCCTTGTTCTATTCTTTTTCCTAGCAGTTCATTCTCTGTATACTTACAACAGGGATACTCTGATACCAGTTGGATTGGTGTCTCTGATTAATGGTCTTGAGTACCCCCTGACACCCATGTGATAGAGGACCAGCTCCTTGGAAGGGAAAACAAAGCCTCAACCACTTTTCCAGGTTCCCCATTTTCTCTTCCCCTCATCCACCCGGTGGCAGCCGCAGGGAGCAGCTTCTTACCCCACATTCCATGGAACTCTTTCCCTCTCTGATTGGCATGGCCTTGCTCCTGCCTTCTGCCCCATGAATTGTAGACAAACGCTGAGACCCAGCACCATATGCCCTTTCTCACTGCTACTCAGCCCTGAAATCATGGTCTTTCCTGCCATTCGACACCATAATATTCAAGCATACCTCTACTAGGTATGTTTAGCACCCAGCGTTAAAAAAAGCAAATATGCTTTTTCTTCTGGGGAAAAGAACTTGCGAGGGCAAGGATTATGTCTTACTCTGGCAGTTTTTGGTGCCTTGCACGTAGAAAGCCCTCAGCATATGTTTGCTAAATTAAGTGGCTTCTGGTTGTCAGCACTGTGCCCATTTGTTAAGCAAGCCTGGCAAGGCCCCTCTTAGAGGCCCCTGATGAGACACCAGTTTGAGTTGTTGGATGGATTTGAATGGCTTGGAATGGAACTTATTCTAAAATCAGCTACAGTTAAAACGTCAGGCTGCTTTTGCCTATCATCTAAATTAATGAGGTTTTAGTGCATTTTTTACTCTATTTCTCTGGAAAAAGAAATACTATGGGGCTTTACTTTCCTAACTTTTTCCATTGAATTCAGAACAGATTCCCATTCTGCCACTAGCTTCTTGCCTGTGATAATCTTCACACATGCACAAAAAGGCACATAGATATGCAGAAGCACACTCATACAGACACACACACATGTTAGTGTGCATAATTAATAGTCAACTTTACTTCACGGCCTTCATTGTCCTGTAGTTTTTGGTTATTTTTATTTTTCCTTCCTGAAGGATTTTTAACAGACATTTCCCTGTACTGCCTACTCACATCACTTTGAATTTGACCATTCAGATATACCCAAGACATGAGCTCCTTTGACCTATGCTTGAATCTGAAATTTGAATTTGTGATATAGTTAATACTCTTTCTATTATATATTTTTATGGATAAAATTGAGACATCAGGAACATGGATTTACATTCCCTAAATCCTCTATTTAACAAACTAGACAATGTTTAATGATTCAATGACTGTTTTATTTTATTAGTTAACTTATTTATTGAATTTTTTTTTGAGATGGAGTTTTGCTCTGTTGCCCAGGCTGGAGTGTAGTGGCACCATCTCGGCTCACTGCAACCTCCACCTCCCGGGTTCAAGCTATTCTCCTGCCTCAGCCTCCCGAGTAGCTGGGATTAGAGGCGTATGCCACCATGCCTGGCTAATTTTTGTATTTTTTATAGAAACGTAATTTCACCATGTTGGCCAGGCTGGTCTTGAACTCCTGACCACAAATGATCTGCCTGCCTCGGCCTCCCAAAGTGCTGGGATTACAGGCATGAGCCACCGTGCCCAGCCTGTTTTATTTATAAATAAACAACAGAATACTTCTCAAATAATTACTAGAAAATATTATGTATAAAGGGAAATGTTAGAAAAATATGAAATGATATAGTTACACAGAATATGTTGATATCATATTTCAGTACACTTTTAGCTGATGATTTTCAGTCTAGATCTACTAGAATAAGGTTTTGAAATAAGTTGCTAGAAAATGTAATTCTGTAAAAGTTTAATCTGTTTGGGAAAATAAACTGAATTCTCCAGAACTATTTATACAACATCTGTTGTTGGACTGATTGGCCGCCATCCTCATTTCAGCACCTGCCCAAGGAGCTCTTCATAGGCCAATTTACCAACTGACTGAAAAATCAACAGAACTTACTCTCTTTAAAACCATTCTTTAATTCTTTAATCCTTTCACAGATTCACATGTGCTTTCCTTTAATTATCCACATTGTGATTGTATAGATTACATGTAAATGTATTTCCATTGTAAATCTTGCTTCATGTTCTAATAGGCACTAATAGAAGTTCAATATTATTTAAGTTAAACATTGAATTGTATCTAATGAGACAAATGGATTTTTAGAGATGCTTCTACTAGGCACAGTCCAAAATCTTCAAAGACAAGGCTGTGTAGTTTTACAAGCTCATATAAAGAACAAGAAAACCAACTCAGTTTTCTCTGAGATACAGTCAAGATCTAAGAGATTGAAACAATATAAATCACTAACCAAACAAAAATATCCTCCAAAAATTGCATAGGAATATAAAATTTGATATATACCTAAAAATATATATATAATTTTATATGTGTGTATACACACACACACACACACACACACACACACATTTATAGCCTCTAAGGACAGTCTTTCAGTTTTCAGTGTTAATATATGTGTGTGTGTGCATATGTGTATGTTCATATATATATATATATAAATAATTTAAAGCCTATCTCCAACCTAGATCCATCAGATTGGATGATATTTGTTAGTATCAGCCACATTGTTGACAAGACCATTTTATTACAAGGTGTCATAATTAATAAGAATCATAGCAAATATACTTGAGTGCTTACTACATGCAGCCGCTTTTCATATATTATATCAATTAATCCTCACTATAAACCTATGAAAAGAATACTGCTTTCTGCATTAGAAAACTAAAGTCTATCATAGTCACACAATTAATAAGCAGAGAAGCTCCCATATCATGTTTCAGTTCCCAAATGAATGTGCTTAATTCACCATGTGTTGAAGATTTTCTGATTGGCTCAGTTTTACTTTAGAGAGTGCATGAACTCTATGCAATTCTACAAGACAATTCTTTATTATGACTGCATATTTTAATTCTGCAATCAAAGTATGGTGCATGTGAAAACTATGTAATATAATTAGCTAGAAAATAGGAAGTTCCAACAAATTTTGTAATATGCTTGATGTTATGCACTTTTGAATGTTAGAAGCATAGGCAGGAAACAAAGCACATGGTGACGGCACTCAGGCATCTGACTGGGAGGCTATTTCTATGTGATCAAAGCTCTCCAGGCAGCCAAGGCCCTCCCTTCCTTTAAATACCAATCTGTGGTTGTACAGGGGATTCAGAATCAAAAGCTGGGCTCCTTTGCTAGATCAAATGAAAGGGCAGGGACTCGCAGTGGTCAGGAATGACAGCATTCTGGGGCGCATTTTTTCCACACTTCTGTCTTGCTGTCTGTTTCTTCCTCTGCTTCATCGTGTGTCTCCTCCCTTTCTTGCATCCCCTCCACTGCCCGCTGCCTTGACGCTCCTGCTGCTTCCTCTGCCGTCTGTGTGACCTGGTTCAGGATCCCTGAGCCTGGGCTTCCCTGGCTCATCTGATTCGGGCTGTCAGTGCCTCATGTGAGCTTCTGCTCTGCTGCTCATCACCTCACTTTCTCAGTTTTCCAGTTCCTAGGGGATCACAAGGATGATTCCAATTCATCTTTCAAACTGTTCTTCAGAAGGCATGGGTCAGAGGTCACCGTGCATTGGCTCTGTGTCAGGTATCTGCTCCCATTTACTGATGTTTTAGGTTTGTAGGAGTAGAGTCATGTGATATGGAACATGGCCACTACCTTTTTAGGAGGTAAATGGACAGAAAACGTTCCCATGAGAGATGGTATGAGAACTTCGTAGAACTTTCTGTATCAGTAGTCTACTTTGCCCAAACATGACTACTGCACTCTAAGCTATCATTTAAAGAGATGTTCCAACCTCAGTGGCACATCAGAAACAGTGTACAGCCATCCAGTTGTCCCTCAGCATCCACATATAATTGTTTCCCGGACCCATCCCCCTGAGGATATGAAAATCTGTGAACACTCAAGTCCCTGATATAAAATGGCATAGTATTTGCATATAACTTATGCACATCCTCCTGTATACTTTAAATCATCTCTAAATTACTTCTAATATTTACTACAATGCAAGTACTAGGTAAATTGTTGCTATACTGTATTGTTTTACAATTTGTATGATTTTTATTGTTGTATTGACATTTTTTGTTGTGTTTTTCCTAAATATTTTTGATCCATGGTTGGTTGAATCCACAGATGCAAAACCCAGATAGAGAGGGCTGACCATACAAGCTAAGGGAAAGAATACATGTTCCTATTGCTGAACACAAGACCCCCTGCTGTGCAGTGATAATGCAATCTTGATAATAATAGCAATAAAAGCCACCACACATGGTGGCTCATGCCTATAATCCCTGCACTTTGGGTGAAGGTGGCAGGAGGATTGTTTGAACCCAGGAGCTTGAGGCTGCAGTGAGCTGTGATTACATGACTGCACTCCAGCCTGTATGACAGAGCAAGACTCTGTCTCAAAGAGAAAAAGAAAAAAAGAAATGCCTTTTATTGGTTTCTTATTATATGCCACACACTTCACATACATTGTAAGTCATTCTTCTAATAGTTCTAAAGGATGGACACAAACATCTCTATTTTACAGAAAAAGAGACTTCTAGGAGTTTCAGTAACTGGTCCAAAGTTACCTTGCAAGAAAGTGGTAAATACTCAGGTCACTCGGACTCCAACACCTATGTTTTTCTACTGTATTATGCTGATTTTTTAAATTTTAACAAATATCATTTAAAGAAACTAAGACAAGAAATAGATTCTACTTTATTTACATGGATATTAATCATTTCTGCTGCTCTTCCTCTGTTTCTGAAGTTTAACGTGCACTCCGGTGTCATTTCTCTTTAGCCCAAAGAACTTCCTTTAGCATTTCCTGTAGAACAGGTCTGTTGATAACACATTCTACTCTTTCCTTCTTCACAAATGGCTTCACCCTACCCTTCTTTCTATATTTTCACCACGTGCAGAATTTTAGTTGAAGGTCTTTTCTTTCAGCAGCTTAAAAATGTTTTCCCACTGTCTTTTGGCTTCCATCATTCTTGATGAGAAAGTTAGAGCCTTGGGATTATTTCCCCATATGTTTTATGTAATGATTTTTTCCTCTGGCTGCTTTCAAGACTTTTTTTTTGTTTAGAGTTTTTGGTAATTTTATTATTATGTGTCTTGACTAATTTATAGGAGTTTATTCGCTTTGGAGTTTGCTGAGTATCCTGTATCTGTAAATTTGTGTTTCATCACATTTGGAAAGTTTTCAGGCATTACTTTTATGAATATTTTTTCTTCACCAATATCTACGGCCTCTGCTTTAGGACTCCAATGACACAAATGTGAGAACTTCTGATATTGTTCCACAAGCCTTTGAAACTTCATTTATTTTGTTTTCAATCTTTTTTCTTTCTGTTTCTCATATTGAATAATTTTTATTGCTTTATTTTCAAGTTCACTTACTCTGTCCTCTCTCATCCCTGTTTTATTATTGAGTCCATTGCATGGGTTTAATTTCAGATATTGTGTTTTCTAATTCTAAAATTTATTTTTGTAATTTATAGACCTTATAATTTCTTTATATTTATTTCAAGAGTATTCACCCCAGTCTATAGAAAATGGTTCTAATAACTACTTTCAAGTCTGTCTGATAATTCATATATCTAAATCATCTTTGGTTTGGCTGTCTCTTTGATAATTGATCAGATTTTCATTATTGTTGGTATATCAAGTAATTTCAGGTTGTATCCTGGACACCTTGAATTTTATGTTGTCAAAATTCAAAGTGTTAAATTCAGTGGAGAATTCACTGTTAAAATTCTCTGGATAATGTTGATTTTTAAAAAATTTGATTATTATTATTTTTTCGGCAGGCAATCAACCAACCCAATCTGTCCCTTTCTTCTGTGGTGGCAGTTTCAATTTTAATTCATTTTTCAAAGTCTATGTGATGCTGTTTGTGCTGTGCACCCTGGGGCGCACACCACTCAGGGCTTGCTCTGGAACCTGGACGGTCTTCAAACTGTAATTTGGTTCTTAAAGACTTTGCTATGCTTCTTGGTCTGTTTCCTGTGCATGTGCAACTTGGGGGTGTGCTTGGTATTTGTGTAGGTTCAAACGTGGAATTTTAGAGTCTTTTCTTTAGCTCTTTTCTCTGTGGGATTTTCTTTACACCCTCTGGCTCCTCGGACTCTTTTTCCCAGTTTCTCTGGCCAGAAAGGTTGAATTCTGAGTTCTGGCCTCCTGCGCTGTGGCACAGTTCCATGCAGCCATGACACATAGCAAGCAGCAAGAGAAAGGAGAAAAAACATAACCATGATTCCTCCCTCCTCTTTGCACAATGAGGGTTCCTTTTTGTGATTCCTCTATCTAGAGGGTTGGGTCATCATTTGGGATTTTAAGTGCCCACGCCTCCACTGGGGCAGCAGTGCAGACCTGTATTTAAAGCTGATCTGGAGGCAGGACTAAGGGAATAAAAAGAGGAAAAAATAAACATGGGGATTTACTCTGGCTTTAGGGGGCTATTTTCCTAGATTTCTAGGAAATGAATTCAACTAAAGATTTTTGCTATTCGCACCTTTTACACAGTTCCCCATTCGCTTGCCTTCAGGCCAAATCCATGAGGAAAAAAGAAGAAAATCAGATAACTTTGCAACTTGATCTCTGTTAAGACTTGACTTTCCTTCTCACTCCACTTGCTATTATTTACTTTCAGTCCTTATATGGTTGCTTGTCATACTTACCTAGTTTTAGTTGTGATCAGTACAGTCGTAGAATGGATTTCTTATTCTCTGAGCTGCTTCTTGTTGTTAATGATTATACCCCTAGCACTTGGCACAGAAGCTGTCCTGTGAAAGATAACCTCAACCTATTTCTAAATGAAATAAATGAAAATGTAAAATGTGAGACTCACCAATTGCCTAATAAACTATGGTAGGACAAGGACAGCAAATATTTGGCCACACTCTGCAACTCGTAATTTCCATACTCAAAGCTGACATTAGTATCTCTTCACTGCCCTGTTCCCTGCTGAGCCTGAATACAACTGCAGAATATTGTCTAACACAGCAGCCCTGGAAACCATGCCAAGTGGCCAGCACTGGTATGGGAAGTGAAAGCCTATCATGTATTCCTGTTTTCAGGACTTGGTTATTCACATAAAAATCCGAGCCTTCCTTTTCCATTTAACTGAAGTGACTCCTCTTCTCAAATTTCCATCCTCCCATCCTCTTTCCTGTAAAACTCCAGTTGATTGATAGATTTCTTCTTTGCCAGGAAGGCTTCTTGAGAAAAAAAAATATTCTTTTCCTTCTTATCAAGTTGTATATTTTCTTAAAATATAACTTGACTAATATGTTTCACTGAGCGTTCCCCCATCTATACTATCAAGAATTTATTTTAGCTTTTTATCCTTTTGGAAATGATGAAATTGGTTAAGATTGGTAATTATCCAACTCAAAAATGATCGTTAGAATTCCTTTTTGTTTGATTACCATATATCACCAAACCTACTATTTCTTACCAGCTGTTTCCATTAATTTAGCCTTGCTTGTCCTTGACTCCTATAGACTCCTATACTTCTCATTTTGAATCTAAGTGAAAATATTAATAGAAAGAGGTAAGCCTTAAATACATCTGATTTAAATTATCAGATTTGCTTGGAAAGCATAGCTAAACGAACTTCTTTTATGGTTTTGCTTGTCATTTTTTATTGCCTTAGACTGTTTTCTATAGAGCCAACAATCTAAATAGAAGTGGATATTTTTGTTGTGGTTAGGGGCTTGGGGTGACTATTATCAGCTCTCAGAGATAATCATGGTACAAATATATCTTAGAAGAAGATGTGAGGTAGTGTTTGTAAATAATGTGAATGCATTTACATGTGTTTGGACATTCGGTATGAAACACTTCTAGGCTACCCAACTGGGTACTTAAATGGGAGAACTCTTTAGAAGCAAGAACCTTAGGTCTTCTTGCTTCTAAAATGGAAAATCGTGATGGAAAAAAGAGCTCCCACAGTATATTAAGCATGTGTGTGGTACAAACATTGAGCAAGAGGAGTTGATTGAAGGTCACCAGCTTGGACATCACTGATTCCAAGGTCATCTGATAAGATCTCCTGTTTGTTCAGACCCATCCCTGGCATTCTATCTAGCAGTGCCATAGCTGAAATTAGAAAAATGAAGATGAAAGCAACTGACTGTGACAATCTGCTGTGTACACAATCTAAGTGTATTTTTCTTTCTTTTCTCTTTTCCTCCTGGGGTCTCCAGTTTACCGTGGTTTCTGGGCAGTCCTGATGCTCCTGGGGGTAGTTGCTGTAGTCATCGCAAGCTTTTTGATCATCTGTGCAGCCCCCTTCGCCAGCCATTTTCTCTACAAAGCTGGGGGAGGCTCATATATTGCTGCAGGTACGTACGGTGCAATGGGTATGACTTTCAGCCACGGTTTTTCTTCATGTCTTTCTATTTTTCATTTCTATATTCAGGCGTCAGCCTTCTAGTAACAGTAACACAATAATATTTGTATACAATACTTCTTGAACACTAACTAATAATATTTGTATACAATACTTCTTGAACACTAACTGTGTGTCGGACACTTTTCAGGGACTTTCCCTTTTCCACATGCTGACACATTTAACCATCATGATAGTCTCTGCTCACTGTAAGGCCATTATTATAAAGAGGAGAACACTGAGGCTTAGAGGAGAAAACTCTGTCACTGACTCACTCCAAGGTGTGTAAGAGACTGTTAACCTCTTACCCTATTAATTTTCTGTCTGTAAATGGGGATCGTAACATAAGTCTCTGTAACATATCAGCATATGATATGGGTAGGCATTTTCTGAGCTCTTCAAAGATAGCCCTGTGATGATATTTATGATAAGCATACACTCATGATTTATCATAGGTACAAAAATATTTTTCTACATCACTCCCATTCATTTTCTTAATTGTTTGTTGATGCCAGGTGTGGTGGCTCACACCTGTAGTCCCAGCACTTTGGGAGGCTAAGGTGGGTGCATCACTTGAAGTCAGGAGTTTGAGAACAGCCTGGCCAACATGGTGAAACCCTGTTTCTACTAAAAATACAAAAAAATTAGCCAGGCGTGGTGGCATGTGCCTGTAATCCCAGCTACTCAGGAGGCTGAGGCAGGAGAATCACTTGAACTCGGGAGGCGGAGGTTGCATTGAGCGAGATTGTGCCACTGCACTTCAGCCTGGATGACAGAGCGAGACTTTGTCTAAAAAAAAAAAATAATTAATTAATTGTGATCCATATGAATTATCTGAATATATTATTTTCTGTGTGAAGCTTGCATTTATTTTAGTTAGGTTTCTAACTAATTTAATTTCTGCTAAAATGATCACACTACAAATAGAAAAGTAATTGAAGAGGTGAGTCTTGTGAATTTTAAGCCCTTTTCATTTAATTAGGCAGTGAAAGCCAGACTATTAACTTGGAAACATAAGCACAGGCTATTATTTGTAAAGATAATTCTAGAAAACTAGCCAAACTTCAGTATGACTGAGACCAAACTGTACATACTATGCTGTATTGTAACATCAAACCAGAGTGACAGAGTGCTCCTAGGTGACACTGTAGTGACAGTTGAAGGAAAGGAACAGAATGGAGAAGGTTACTGTCCTTCTAATCATTGGAAAGATGGCTTGTGATGCTGCCCAGTGTCATTTCATCAGTGCTCAGGTAACACAATACTTTCTGCATAAGATTGTGCTTAATTCTGCAGAGGGAATAAAAATAATAATCAGATCTAGATCCTGTATTTTGTAGGGGCCAAGAGGAACAGAAGGTTCCCTGAAAAATCCACTTGGAAAAGGCAGATTAATTGAAGAAAAGGCATACATATAATTTCATGTGTATACCTGGGAGCTTTCAGATTGAAGACCCAAAAAGATATGGGCAAATTGTCCATTTTTATGCTTAGGTTCAACAAAGGATGGGCAGCTGTGTAGAAATATGATTGGACAAAAAGGGCAGGATCTAATGGTCATAGACTAAGTGGGGAACCCAGCGAGGCCTGTCCGTTTAGCTTCTTCATGGCTTCACTGAGCAGCACGCCTTCCTTCTGGGTGTGGGGCGGGACCCTCTCTGGAATTGGCAAACAAGGTAGGTCCGGTCAATTCCTTTGTCCTTTGTGGCCAATTTTTACACAGAAAGGTGGAGGGAGAGTTAGAGTAATATGTTCAGGTTTCGTGGCTGGCTTTGGGGAAAGGAGTTCTGGTTTCTATGATTCACCTTTGTGGAGAGGGGACCTTTGTGGTTTCTAAGGCCAGCCTCGGGAGAGAACAGGACTGGGAGGCAGGAGGGCAGGAGAAGGTCAGAGAAAAACTTTTGCTCCTGAGGCTGCTGCTGGGGCTTCATTTTGGAGTTTTGTTTCCTGAGCCCCAACAGTTTAAAGAGCTAAAAAAAAAAATCTCACTCTGAGAAGAACCCTGTTAAACCATTCTTTCTTTTGTCTTTTATTTGAACTGTTTTCTTTCACTGGATTTAGCCATTAGAGCTCTTCATTGTAAAAGCCTTTTTTACTGAGATGTAATCAACATACAACCTACCATTTTGATGTGTATAATTCAGCGTAGGGTTTTAGTACATTCACAGAGTTGTGCAAGAATCACCACTATCTGACTTCAGAATATTTTTATTACTCCACAGAGAAACCTTGTTTTCTACTCTCCTTCTCTCCTGACCAGCTCTAAGAAACCTCTAATCTACTTTCTATCTGTATGGGTTTGCCTATTCTGAATATTTCCTATGAATGAAATCACACTATATGTGGACTTTTGTGTCTGGCTTTTTTCACTTAGATCTGATAAATTATCATCCCTCTGCTTGAATTCATAATTCCATAGGACCAAATCCCATATCCTTATATCCCTTAAAACTGAGCATCTTCTTGGCCAAAAAAATTTTTCTCACCCAAACGACACTTTACCCTTTCCCTTTTCAAAGTTCCAGTAAGGGTACACATTTTTCTATGGTCTTCCCAGAAATAACAGTGCTCTGTTTACATGTACAAATATTTGTTTCTTCTTTTTCCTTGCTTTTTTTTTTGTAACCACAGTTTTTCAATAGAGGGAACATGTAATCACCATAGTTTAGTGATAATGTATTATGGGCAGCATGATCGTTTTAAACTCAGAACTGCTTTGATCCTGGTTTTCGTTCTGGTTTTGGACAGTTTGTGTGTGTGTGTGTGTGTGTGTGTGTGTGTGTGTGTGTGTGTGTTTAGTAGCTTTGAAAAAAAATTGTTGGTCTTTTTCCATTTTGCAATTTGTGCAAAAAGCAATATACGTGAAGAGTTATGTTTGGCTGAGAACTGTGTAGGAGGATAAAGCATTTAATGTACTCATATATCCATACACCTGTAACTGGTGGATTTTTTCTTTTTGTTTTTATTGTGATTTTTAATTGACACAATAATTATACATGTCAGATTTTTTTAAATGAACCTTGTGTTGCTTATGGTAAAGGGCCAAGTGTTTCCTTGCTCAGGACTTCATGCAAAAGCCCCGAGAAGTTCTGAGGTGTCCAAGGTGTTCCCATTTTCAAAGCCATGAAACTAGGTGATTCAGAGGACACTTACTTTACATTTGACTTTTATTATAATTTCCTTTGTGGCACTGTTGCAGGAATCAGGAGGACCAGAGAGACCTCAGGGTAAAGCAGGAGGATTTTATGGAGTGCACTCAGACCCAGTGGATTAACATCCTGAGACTGGGCCCAGAACAAAGACAGCTCTTGAACTTTATACACACTTCAAAAAGGGGGTGGGCTAGCTTGAAGCAGGCTTTCAGTGGCATGAAAGCAAAGAAACAGAGGCAGAACAAAGACAGTTAATCAAATTGTGGTAGGTATGTAACTCAGGATTACATATGACCATTGCGGTGCAGCCCAGATGGCTGTTATCTGGGTTTGCTCTAGTGTCTAGCACGGGCTTATCTCATAACCGTTGCTATGGTGCCCAGATGGCTGTAGTTCAGGCCTGCTCAGGCTTCTCATGACCTTCATTGTGCCGCTTAGATAAAACAAAATACTTGAAGTTACTAGTTACAGAGAACAGGAAGCTATAAACTCATACTAAAAAGGGAAAGGAAAATTTGTTTTTCTTCTCCCTTTGCTGAGGGAGTTCTCCAGAGTACATTCCTTTGTGTCCTAGCTTCTTAGATAGTGTTTACAAGGCTTTTCCTGGGTCTGGGCTATGCCTGTTGCTGCCTCTGGGATAAGTCAGCCTAATACAGGGAAGCTTATTTCTTTTTCTACTTAATTTTATTTTTCTTTCTTTAATTTCCACCTCAGCACAACTCTACATTGTTTGTGTATGACCATTTGTTTACCAAGAGCAGGGAGAGCTACCCTGTTGCGTGGGATGGAATGTGACTGGTCACTCGCTCTTGAGGCTTCCATGCCAACCCTGGGCCAGCATATTGAGCTCTGCCCACAACTAGGAGCAGGTGCAGCCTGGGCTCAGGCTTGCGGTGGCTGCTTTATCGATGCCACAAACAGAATTGGACGCTGTCTGTATTTTTGGGCAGATGGTGTTAGGGAAGGGCAGAGCTAAATTTTCTATGACCATTGCTGGGTATGTGCACATAGGAAGACTCTTTGGCATCAGCAGCACTGTGTTTAGACATTCCGTGCATGGCAGAGGGATGCTGATATCAGGCTGTGGGGTAGGAGCGGTGGGGCCCATGGTGTTCCCTTTGCTGGGTCAACAGGCTCAGAGCAAGGCTCAGAAGGCTTGGAAGGTGGATATTGCTTCTCCCTACACTTGGGCAGAGACTTCCTCAGGCAGGCCAGGCCACCTGTTTCCAGGAGAGTCAGTTCTGGGCAAAGTGTAGTCATTGTCAGGACATTGACCCTCAGCCTGTGTTTCAGCAAGTGATCACACAACTCTGCAGGACCTAAACTGCTGCTGTTTGTTTTAACGTGGACTCACAGAGAACTCTTAGATACACAGGGGTTGTCACGCATCTCCTCCTGCCCCGTGGCATTGGATGTGATAGGAAAGACGCAGGAAGTGTTAGGATGGGTAGGCATGGCATTCTAAACATTGGCTTATATGAAGAAAATTACTGTAGAGCTGAATAGTCATAATCCCTGTGCAAAGCAACATCAACACAGCAATTTCTGTATGTCAGCAGGACATCTACGTGTGTGAAATGAGTAAGGATGTGGCCTGGACACTCAGGACACTGGCATTGGGAGATCAGCCATAAAATTTGATATCTTACCAGCACATCAAGCTAGAAACATTTTTCTGCCATAATTGAAGTAGCCTTTTCTTAAATGGCAAACTGGGATGTATGTGGAATTTTGCTGCAGAAAGTAGAAACAGAGTCTTTCTGGGTGGAGGAGACTGCAGAGCTCTGAACCTTGGACTAAGTCCCTTGTTAGACTCACAGGCTGGTGAGACTACCTAGACGTCTTGAGAGTAGAAGGATTCAAGCAGCCCCTATTCCAGGTCCAGGATGTGCTCATGGAAGCAAAGGGTATCTTTGCAGTGTAGCTTAGTCCCTTGAAACACCACAGAGGCCAAGTTGAGTCTTGTTTCCTGCATGTGCCTGCTTGCTCTGCCCCATTCCACGAGCACAGGGTGAGCTCTTTGCCCCAGACAGCTCACAAGTTATTGCCTCTCACCAGGGATATGAGCAGGGCTGATTGGGATGAATTGTGTGAATCCTCTGCCATGTGCGGCAAAATGCCTGAAGCACAGCCGTCTGCAGCTCACCCGTCCTTCCCTGCTCTGGAGGCAGTGCTTTCTGTAAGTGTAGGGATGGAAACACTTAATCTAGTGTAGGAAAGGTTAGTAGATATAAAGGGAATAGGAAGTTCCCATCTCTAGCAGGTTAGACTGACTTAAAAGGAAGTGGGATTTGTGGTTTGGTTTCCTTTTTTGTTTTCAAAAGATCAAAAGAAATGGCAATAGCCCATCAGTAAACCACATTTATTTGCAACTGAGATAAGAGAGATAAGATGGATACATAATACGTAATTCAGGATTTTTTTCTCCTTAATACTAGAAAAAACAGCTCGCAGAAACCAAGCAACATAGTTCAGGTGCTCATTTTCCTTTGGCTGAGGCTGAACATGTTGCTCGCAGAGGCTCCTCATGTTTTCCTCCAGGTAAAGGAGGATGTGGCGGCTGTCAGAGCAGGAGAGTGTGTGGGGCAAGTCAAGAGCAGGACGGCTTAGGAAGAACTGCCGACAGCCTGGAGGCAGGCTGTCTACACTTGCAGGCACACGCAGCCCTGCCGTCCACACCTGCAGGCACACGCAGCCCTGCCGTCCACACCTGCAGGCACATGCAGCTCTGCCGTCTACACCTGCAGGCACACGCAGCCCTGGCATCCACATCTGCATGCACACGCAGCCCTGCTGTCTCTATGTCTATCCTGTGAGAGATCTGGGCTATAAATAGCTGCACACTGTGGACAAGCGCAGGGAACTCCCTGGGAGGGGCTGGCCAAGGTGTGGCTACAGTGGCTTTTCTTTTTTTCTTTTTTTTCCTTCACATTTTAGTTTCTTTTTTTATTATTTTATTTTTTAAAACAATTTTTCCATAGGTTATTGGGGTACTGGTGGTGTTTGGTTACATGAGTAAATTCTTTAGCAGTGATTTGTGAGATTTTGGCACACCCATCACCCAAGCAGTATCCACTGCACTCTATTTGTAGTCTTTTATCCCTTGCCCCCTTCTACCCTTCCCCCCAAGTCCCCAAAGTCCATTGTATCATTCTTATGCCTTTGCGTCCTCATAGCTTAGCTTGCATATATTAGTGAAAACGTACAATGTTTGGTTTTCCATTCCTGAGTTACACCTAGAATAATAGTCTCCAACCTCATCCAGGTTGCTGTGAATGCCTTTAATTCATTCTTTTTAATGGCTGAGTAGTATTCCATTGTATATATGTACCACAGTTTCTTTATCCACTTGTTGGTTGATGGGCATTTGGGTTGGATCCACTACAGTGGTTTTTTAAAAGCTTCTCTGACTTTCCCTGGTATGTGACAAGTAGGCTTGCAGGAGAAAACCAAAAGCATAGCTTCCCAATAGGAAACCGAATATTTTACCTGAGTTCAGACTTAACATATTAAGAGCTCTGGTGTGTGGGAGGTTGGTGGTGGAAAAAAAAAGTAGTTAATATAAACTATTTGTTACTGATATGCCAGTCAGATGCATCTCTTGTACTAGAATTAGTGTCTTCAGTTTTGATGATCAAAAGACCCAGGTGCACTAGATCTGCCTTCTAAACAGCATAGACTAGTTACACTCATATTTCTAAAAGTACCTGCTTTGTAGACTCGCTTTGTGCCTTCCATTGTCACAGTTGGGATTTGTCTAAAAAATCACTGTCATCCAGACACTGATCCTGTTATAATATGGGAACACCTTCCTTCAAATTTTAATGTGGATTTTCCAACGTCCTTGGTCTGACATTTTCCACAAATGTCAAATGCCAGCATTAGTCAGCCTTGCTTAATATTATATAGAAAAGAGATGTGACGGCTTTTATTTACAAAAATATTTTAAATGTGATTACTTTTCTTTCTCTGATTCTTCCTTGCAAGCTTATTTTCCCCGCATTGCTCTTCAGTGGAAATGTGTCTAACTGGTTGTTAGAATCCATTTTAAAATGGGGCACTAATATGGGAGAAAATGAGGAAATCAAATCCCAAAGCCTGCTCCTTGAGTCTGGAACATCTTAGTTGGGTGAAGGCTGTGAGAATGTGAAGAGAGGAATGAGAATGTGAAGAGAGGAGACACAGAGCCATTTCTTTGGAGAGAGCCATTGCTTTCCTGTAAGTGTCCACCCAACCTGACGGACCTTGTTGTCCACCCAACCTCCAACCTTGTTGGAGACATTCTGGTTCACGGTCTAACACCTGCCCAGATAAATCACCATCTCAGGAATACCTTTGGTGGAGCTTTTCTGAACAACCTTAAACTTCAAACTTGAATAAATGCTTCCCCACACTCCTATCGTTCCCTCAAAAAAAAAAAAATGTGCTGTTCTTCTAAGAAGTAAAATGACAGGCCTGGCAAACAAATGTTTTTACTCATATGACATACTATAATGAGGCATCATTAATCTTTATCCTGAAAGACGGTTTTCAGATGTGCAAAGTGAGAAGATTATTTCTCTGAACCGAGTGTGGTGGTGGTGCCTGCAGTCCCAGCTACTCGGGAGGCTGATGCAAGAGGATTGCTTGAGTCCAGGAGTTGGAAGCTGCAGTGAGCTGTGACCGCACCACTGTACTCCAGCCTGGCAGAGCGAGATCCTGTCTCTAAAAAAACAAAAAAAACCCATACTGTCTCTGGTCTGGAATTAGGTTTTGTCACAGTGAAAAGGCAGACTGAATTTCCATAAGCTTTATTCTCCTTTTTCAAAATATGTGTCTCATTACTATCTACTATTTACTCAGTACTAAGGGATTTAATTTCTTTGCAAATATTTCCTTTCATTGAAAACCATCCTATCCCCCAAATAGTCACTTTGCTCAGAACTAACTAGTAGTGAGTGGCCAAAAAATATTGTATTGGTTTTTTCACTAAGTTTTATAATTTTTTTTTTCTGAGCCATTTGTTTTCTTTACATTTTCGTGTATGGAAAGAGAAGCCTAATGTGCTTGACCTAGGCTAACGGTCTGTCCTGAAAAGAATTTTTACTTCCTAGAAGTAAAGGGCTGATGGGCAGGGGAAGGCGGTTGGCTTGACTGGACACTCAAAGAAGAAATTGTCCTCAATACGAACGAGCTTGAGCCTGGATTCACCTTCTGTTCTTGGCAAAACATTTTGTCATGGGACTGTGGGGTGACTGGTGCCACCTCGTGGAGAGTTCCAGAAAGACACTGGGAGATGCATTGGAGGTCATCATTCCCTTACTCCTCTGAAATCTCAGGACTGGAAGACACCACAGCGAGTTTATTCTTTTGCCTCTTGGCCTGTCCTGAAATAGCCCAGTCACATGAGAATCTCTGATGCTTTAGAAGATTTCAGAGAGTAACATTTGCTAACCATTAGCAGGAGCTCGTGCCAAAGCTTAATAATAATAATAATAATAACAAAATTAGCCCATGCTTATTAGTTGTTTGTCATGTTCCAGGCACTGTTTTCAGGACTTTTCCTCTGTTCGGTCCTCATGACTACTTTCTGAGGTAGGCACTTGGATCCTCTCTATTTTACCAATGAAGAAACTGAGACAGAGCAGTACGAAAGTTGCTCAGGGTTACTCAATAAAGTGTAAAGTGTGAAACTTTGAGGCAGGATTTGAACCAGGGCAGTCAGAATCCAGGGGTGTGCCCTCAATCACATCCTACTTCCTGAAACTCAATTCTTGTGAATAAATATTTCCTTGGCATTAGATGAAATTCTCATTTTCAGATTAAACCCCTAATTACTTGTGGAAATAGGTAAACCCCCATGGTCATTCTCTGTTAATGATTGTTACTCAGTAGAGTACAGAGCACTGGGTATGTAGGATGTTTAATGATAAAAATTGTTATGACAATCTAAGAAAGTTATAAATGCTTGAGAAACCCAATCAGCATTTTATATATGTTGTTGACTAAATCAAACTATGAGTCTAGAAAATGAAAGGGAAGAGGGAATTATTGTATTTGGAAAGCAGAATGATGAAGTGTGTGCAGCAATGAGTGTTTGGAAATCAGAAAAGTGTAATCATGATATTGTAACAGCAGAAAGAATTAAGGCTGTGTCAGAAAATTGGAGAAAAAATGGAAAACAAGTCTGAGAAAATGAAGAATGGAGATAAAGAATGTGGACGATTATGCATTAGTTGTTCTGTAATCTGAAGCATAATTTTATGGGAAAACAATAGCATACTAATGTAAAGAAGAGCAAACTAATTTTTCAAAAACACAATTTTAAATCATTTAAAGTAACTTCTAGCTTTTCTCAGAAAGATTGTCTAAATATTTTGATGAATGCAATAATATTTATGAGACTACTTTGAAAGTACATTACAATATTATGACAAATATTACTCTTTAGCAAATGTGGAAGTGGCAAATTTCCCTTTTCCCAGATATAATATGGAGAAAGTTAAGAGTACATGTTGGACTCTGGAATGCACCTGTGATAGCTGGTCACGCTGCACTAATCCTCATATTTCGTCCTTTAGCAAGACATAGAGGACTTCACTGAAGTAGAGAAAGCCCTCAGACACTTCGATTTCTAAGGTTCCTCGTTGTTAAAATTAATACATATGAAAACAAGTTTGCAAATATTGTAGCATTTTTAGTGTTTATATTTAATATATTAACTCTCTATGCTTTTACAATTCATACATAAATGAATGACCCTATATACAACATGATTTGTAGATATCATGCAAAGGCTAATTGGGAGTCTTTTATGAATGCAGGGCTAAAGTCAAATCATCCTAATGGACCCCGACAGCATTCGTAGCATGAGGGAGCATTGAGATTCCATCCTAAGAGGTTAATCAGCTGCCTGTTCTCACACAGCCAGCTTCTTAAGAGTCTAGCTCTTTCTCCTTGGTTGTAATTTTTGACCCCCTAAATTAAAGCCTAGAGATGCTCCTTAAATATTGCAGAGGCAAGTCTTTTTCCAAAGGAGTTCCAGAAATAATGCTATAAGGATGGGTTGTGTTCTAGGTGGCTGAACGATGAAAGCTGAATGAGCCATTCAGCTTTCCAATCTCCTACAATAATTGAGCGCTATGGAATAATTGTTAAAAGTTTTGCTGAGGAATTAATGTTTGAGGAAGACAGTTAAGGCAGTGTTTTATTAAGAACCATGTTCTCAGTTGGATTTAGCAGGGCTGCTTGTGGGTGGGGAAAAGGGAGGAAGCTTCAGCAGGTGCACTTCAGGTGCCTGCCGTAGCATCGATAAGTTCCAGTGCCATTTTATCAGTTTTGCCTAAGATTGTGCTCCATACAAAAATTTCATTACCATATTTTTCTAAAATCATTTGTCTAAGAAAATGTTATCCATTATTTCAAAATTTCATGTATGAGTTAGAACATCACAAAACGGTATATTCCCAGTAGTTTCATTCATAATAGTTAGAACAACCCAAATGTTTATCAGTGGATAAACAGATAAACAAATTTTGATATACTCATACGATGGAATAATGCTCAGCAATAAAAAGGAATGAAGTGTGAACACATCTTGAGAACATGAATGCATTCTCAGGCATTATGTTGAGTAAAAACATTCCCAAACAAAAGACTGTATACTGCTATGATTCCATTTATAATGACGTTCTAAGGACAAAACTGAGCTATAGTGATAGATGCTTTGGGTAGGAGAGTGAAGAGGCATAAAGAACCTCTTTGAGTGATGCATACATTCTATTTTTAATTGGTTGTGGCTACACTGATGTTTACATTTGTCAAAACCCATCAAATCTTACACTTGAAATCTGTACATTTTACTCTATGTAAAGTATATGTAAATTAAAAGAATGAGAAAGAGGAACAATAAACCTGGAATACTTTTGCCCATTAGGAAAACCTTCAGACTATGGCAGTTTAATATCATATCTTCAAACTTTAGGTATGGGCTGATTTAAGAAATGTTTATATGAAGATGTTTTATGTATTTTCTGCAAAAGCCTTTTGTAGGGGTATGGTCAGTCAGGGTATTCAGTGTCCCTGTGCAGATCTGCAGAAGGCATTCCCAGTATCTCCCTTGAAGAATTGCTTCGTTTCTTCTTCAAAAATTACAGTAAATACATAGCTTATCAAATTTCTTTTTTGTTCTTTCTTCTGGACATGTCTGCTCTAAATTCACCGTTTCATGAATGCTGCTATCCTTAGCACACTTACCCAGGCCCCAGATTTTTTCTTTGATTCTATACTTAGCACAAATGTGACCTGCTGCCTTCTAGGCAGCTCCACCTAGAAAAGTAACCTAGTCCCCCACTGCTTCCTGGAAACATTTTCCCTGTTGCAGAATGTTTGGGAATGTTTTCAGCTTAACCTATGAGACTCGTGCTCTCAGGGTTCAGTCTGAGTTATTCCACAGGCTCAACGTTTGACCTTGGTGGACAAATAAGTGACAGCAATCCTCATTTCCATCCTCTGTTGAAAATAGCCACAATGAGGAAGCCGATGCTATCATCCTTAACATTTTATGATGTTTACTTTCTAATTCTATGTAGATGCCCTGCTAAATATTGCACTACCTTTAGAGTGTGTGCAGCCTTTACGTAGAAAAAGGACGATTTTGTTTTCTGATTCTAGTTTACTTTTCACCTTAACTTCATAATGAGTGTTTTGACTGTGCAGTTCTATGGCTTTTCTTATGCCCATGGAAAACTGAAATGAGTTGCCTCTGCATTTGTGTGGAAGCATGACTAAAGGAGGCCATTGAATCATCTCGAATTTATGATTCTTCCCCAAGTAACCTATAACTGCTCATGACTCAAGTTGTGAAAGCCCATTTAAAGGCAGTCGAGTTACATCTAAGAAGTGAAAGATCAAGTCTGTCATTTTTAAATAATCCAAAACACTCTCTTTTTAAAAAAAAATACATGTAAGAGTATATGTGCTTCTAGACAATAATAAAGCAGTTTGATACTTTGCCTAACTTTTTTAGGAAAAAAGTTTTCATTTCTCGGGCTAAATTTTTCTCTTCTATGGATTTGTTTTTAAATCTGGTTCTTACGGTATAGTGAAAAGATCTTTAGAATATGCCTCCATTTTTCACTCTTGTGTTTGTGAAACAGTGAGGATATACAATTTTATGTCTCAGTTTTTGACTTGGTCTTGGGGGAATCTGTTTTGTTTCCATACTGTGATTGTTTCCATAGTGTTATCATCAGCAATTGCATTCCCAATGGCCATTTGTCACTAAATTTTACGTGCCCTTTGTTTCAGAAAGAGAAAACATGCTTTCCAAATTGAATTCACGGCATTTAAAGGGCAAAGTTTTGTAAGAGAACCCATGCAAAATTATACGTTTCAATCATTGTTTCACATACTGCCAATAACAAGAGATCCAACATGTTCTTGGTGTGACTCAATTATCTTTCTGCAGTTTCACTGTGGTCACAAATCTTCATGGATTCGGGGCTGGGTTTTGATTCTGCCTCCAGTGAAATATTTTATATATTTTCTGGACTTCAAAAAATAGGTATTATAAAATTCAATTGGAAATAAATGTGTGCTTTCCAAATGTATGACCAAATTTAAATGTAATTTTATTTTAAAACAATTTACTATCTATATATTGCAGTATTTTCTATTCTTGCTAAAGTCACTGTGGCAAGTAGGTTTGTAACTCATTGTTATTCAAGCCAGTTATTGTTTATGTTTTTAAAAGTCCTGAGATATCAAAATATAGATGTTGTAAATCCTTTTACCTAATCAAAATACAGATGTTGTAAATCCTTTTACCTAAAGACTCCGTTCAAGTTTTTCTAACTATTCCATTAATGTCCTCTATAGCAAAAAAAAAAAAAAAAAAAAAAAATTCTAAATCATGCTTTGTATTTAGTTGTTGCTTGAGTCTCCATTAAACCAGAGTTAAGTCCATTTTTGTGCTTCATAACCTTGACACTTTTGAAAAAAGTACAGGCCTGTGATTTTTGTAGAAAGGTCTTGAATTTGAGTTTGATTTTTTTCTTTAATGATTGAGTTTAGGCTCTGTATTTTTGGCTCTAAGATCATAGCATTGATGCTGTGTGATTCTCACTGCATCCCATCAAGTGATGTGTGATATCAATTTGTCATGTCACTGGTGATGTTAACTTTGATTACTTGAATAAGGCAATATTTGCTGGGTTTCTGTAGTATGAGGTTACTATTTTCTCCGTCAAAATTAATAAGCATTTTATTGGAAGAGATTTTGAACTTATGTAAATATACTCTGTTTCATTCAATTTTATCC
Organism: Homo sapiens; assembly: GCF_000001405.40. Taxonomy (NCBI): domain Eukaryota; kingdom Metazoa; phylum Chordata; class Mammalia; order Primates; family Hominidae; genus Homo; species Homo sapiens. The sequence goes on from NC_000002.12 coordinate 102,811,500, forward strand.
ACTGGATTTAGCATTCATTTTTATTTCTTCTCCGAATTATTTTTAAGTGATTGTCAAATGGTGATTTCTAATTCTGCCATCCCTCTACACTTATAAGTTAGTGTTCTGTTGTAAGGAAAAGCTTCCCTTTCCCTATTCATTTATTCACTCATTTATTTATATCACTGTGAGTTCCTATTTTATTCAATGGGAAATAATGTACCACTATCATTATTCATTTTGTGATCAGATTGTCTTAGTTTAAGCTATGGGAGGCCCCATCAAGCTGGCTTCCAAAACACCCCTGTCATTCTTTGAACACATCTTTACTTTCTGGGGTAACAAGATTTTCCAGGTTCATCTTGTATTTTATGCCCCAGCCTGGATTCAACAATTTCTTTGAGAATCCCGGTTTCATGGTGTTTAGGCATCAAGATCTGGACACTTGGTATACTCTATGCGACTGGATGTTGGTGTTGCCAGATGCTCTCAAGAAAGAGAGCCACAAAATATATCTAGGTATATATACACATGTGTATTTTAAAACATGCACACACACATTTACTTCTATATTTATTTCTGTATTATCTATCAGTGAAAAACCATGAAGTCACACTGATATATCCAATTCTAATCAAATTCTAATCACTGTAGGGTTTATTTTAGCTTTCCTCCTTTTCAAATTTGTAACTATTTCCTGGCAGTCAGAAACATGGCTCCCATTGGCCATTCACTTATTTGATCAGTCTACCTGAATACAGTGTCCTTCTGTTTCCTCTCTTGACCACATGTCTCATGCAGGCTGCCATGATTAATTCTTGCTTCCATATCCACTAAACCATTGGCCTTTGGTGTAAATTCCTTCTCATTGTCTGTCTCTCTCTCTCTCTCTTTGTCTACACATGTACACACACACACACACACACACACACACACACACACACACACACACTGGTTTACCCCATGGGTGAGATATAAACTGATCTGATACAAATTAAATGGACAGTATCTTCAATTAGTGAACAAGTTAAAGACTATAGTGATAGAAATGACTACTTTTCCTTCTTTTAAATGGAATTTCCCTTCAAATAATGACAATATTTAAATATAAGTTAATTCTTTCCTATTAAAAATCATCTACCTGATTACCTGCAATACATTTTCCTAATACTCAAAGTTCAGTGATGGGTTTTTCAATTTTTGAAAAGATAAATTTAAGGCTACTAGTTTTTCACAAAGGCAATTTCCTTTTTCCATTAAAATATCTGAAAGCACAAGAGAGTCACATGATGCAAGGAAGATAAAAACCATATCAGCAAATAATACAAAGTTTTGCAAGGTGTTTGCATAAGGCAAATGATATTATGCAAATGCCTAAGCCAAACCTTTACATCAACAGGCAACACTGTCTATATATTTGCTGGAAAATGTATTGAAATGCACAGAGTTGCTAGACAACACATGGAATTGCCATATTGTTGTCAAAATCTGAGGTATGGCGTTGTAAGGAGTTTGCTTGCAGGCTGTGGCTTTACTATTTCTCTGTGATTAGTTGTTTCTCAGTGGCTATATTGCTCTACTCTGTGAGCCAATATTTGCATTTATATTACAGACCACGGTGTGAAGGATGTTTCTTATTAGCGAAGCATCTATTTGATTCTTCATTGCTCTGTAGCTTGTGTCATGATTACAAGGAAGTTTAAACTCCGATACTGACACACCACAACATATTTATGAGCCCTTCTTCTTTTGTGTTTACTTTTCAAGATTCTTTATGAAATTGATGGCCCAGGAGAGAGAGGGCATCCTAAATGCTGTAGGACCACAATTAACGTGAGAAATGTAATTGATGACTGGGCTCTTAAAAGCTACTCTCTGCCAATATGCCTCAGTCTCTGCTCCTAGTCTCAGACTTGCATTTAGCTTTCAGACATTCTAGCAATTAGACTATGGAGATTTTATACCTAACAGTTCAACTCATTAATTCAATGAGTGTAATAGATCCTTGGCATGTTTGGATTGAAATTTTGGACAAATAACAAGTGCTCTCAAGTAGATTTTGCTTTAGGACAAATTTGAATCCATCAGGCTGTGTGTGCGGTTTGTGTATGGAGCCTGTTGCTTACTGGTGACTCTGCCCAGCGGACCCTGGAGCCTGCTGCTCAGCGTAGTGGCATTGTTTCCTTCTGGCAATTACGGTAACAGTTACATGGGAAAGGACATGCTTAGTGGTATTCTCCAGTTTCAGGATTCACAGAGCTTTTCTGTCACTTGTTAAGGTCATGGGTCCAAAACTGTAATACTTCATCTAATTCCAAGAGTGTTTGGAACCAGTGGATTACAGTTACGTTGTAATTGTTGCTAAATTGGGATGTTGCCCTCTAGTTAGTGGTTAGGCATTTGTTATTTCCCTCCCTCTGTCCCTCCTTCCTTCCTTCCTCCCTTCCTCCCTTCCTTCATTCTCTCTCTTTCTTTTTTTCTTTCATTTAATATGGCTGTTGATCTCTAATCCATGATTTTATATTACACAAAATCTTTTATCATCAATCTTCCTCCCTCATTTATTCAAGACAATGTTTTCTCTATGCTGTAATCAATCTTTAGTGTGTATATATATATATATATATTTAGATTCTGAAGAATCACGTATATTCTTTTATGTTTGTTCAGTGTTTTCATCTCCGTTCTTGTCTAGTGCTTACTTTGGTTTCTATTTGTATAACCATATTTAATTGCAGCATTAGTTAGCTGGGTTATAATAGTATAACAAGAGTCAGAAAGACCCGGGCTGAAAATCAGCTCTGAAAACCACTGTCTGTGTCTGTGTATATCTAAAACCAGGTGGTAAGTGTACCTATTTCAATGTTTATTCTATGTATTGAAAGAAATAACATAGTATAGTGCTCATCCCAAACCATTTGTGCAGTAAAAAAGAAAAAAAAAAGTTAGAATATAAATTCTACAAGTGCTGAGATATTCACTAATGTTCACAAGCACTTACTACAGTCCTTGGCACCCAGGAAACACTCAATAAATACCTGTCAGTGATTGCTGTTCTTAGGCTACTATAGCCCTCCTCTCAATGCTTTGAAGATGAAAGATAAAAGAAATATCTATAAAGTACATAATAAAAGGTCTGACGTAGAGTATTTGATTTTGCTAGAAATGTATTTGCAGGAGCTTGTCATCCGGTCAATGATTGGTTTAGATAGCGTTCTTGAGAAAACATCTTCAGAAAGGCTAACAGTCTTCTGTTTCATCCTTCTCAGGCATCCTATTTTCATTGGTGGTGATGCTGTATGTCATCTGGGTCCAGGCAGTGGCTGACATGGAAAGCTACCGAAACATGAAAATGAAGGACTGCCTGGATTTCACCCCTTCTGTTCTGTATGGCTGGTCATTTTTCCTGGCCCCAGCTGGGATATTTTTTTCTTTGCTAGCTGGATTACTATTTCTGGTTGTTGGATGGCATATTCAGATACATCACTAAATCAACTGTTGCCACAAGTATTTTCTTGAGAGATTTTAAAACAAGGAATACTTTTTTTCCATTTTGTTTCATTGATCCCAGCATAAAGTTAGTAGATATAACTTTTTAGTTGCTATTCAAATTAATCATTTTACTAAAATTTTCTTCAGTAAGAAGGTCCTAGAATCTCTCCAGACACCAGCAAGCCTCTATCTTGTCTAAGTGCTGTCAAGGACCTAGTTCTTTAGGGAATAGGTAAACAGGTCTCCCTTTCATTGAACATGTTAGAGTTCATGCAGGTCGCAAAGGCCTGATAATAGCTTAATACCATGACATGGGGAAAATCTCGATAGATTTGGCTTAAAGTCTCCTTGGCATTCACTTCTGCTAATTAAAAAAAATCCTTGAAGAATAATTAAGAATGGGCAAGGTTGTCAGAGAATTTATTTTGTTTCTTGCCCACACAGATAATATCCACATACACATTCACTGGCTCTTGTGAGCAAATGAATTTAAAAATAGACAGCAGTTGTTCTAATTAGTGGGAGCCATGTACTCACCAGTTAAAATGGGCCACAACAAACAAGACTGAGAGCATGTACTTATCTTGCTTTTTCACCAACAGTGGTTTGGTTACCTAGTTTTATTCACTTAATTGTGCATGCTTACATAAACTTTAAACTACATTTAAAACTAGCAAATCTGCATACCAAATTATGTATAACGTAGATTGAATTTTTATGAACTTAAAGTGAGTTAATTGTATAATGTAATATTGTTTAAAATATGTAAAAACCAAGCATTTCCGCTTGGTCCATAATTCTATTTGATATTTTAAAATTCTCATTTAAAAATTATATTGCTATCATTCAGCATGTGAAAATTTATTGATAAAATGTGATTTTAATATTTTTTAGATATAAACTTTCAACGTACTTCCATATGAGGATTATAATAGCCCTGCTTTATTAAAGACCATAAAATATTAACTTTCCCCAAGATGTTATGGGTTCCAGTTCTTCTGATCATTTGATTCCTTTAATTACTGTCCCTCAATTTCTTCATCTTTACAATAGATATATTAACATTTACAGATCGACTATTTCCTTTAACCTCCTAGAAGAAAGTTTTTGTGGGGAAAGATGATTCTGTATTATTCAGTAGCATAGACATTTTGCATATCAAAGATGTTCATTTGGCACTAATGTTGATTGAAATCAAATCCATCTGAGATGCCTAGCTCGTATTTGCATTCTGGAAGCCTCCATCGCAGGGGAGCTCGGCAGGGTATGTGAGCTTTGTTGGAGGTGCGGTGTTTCATTCTGCAGCTGTTGTGAGGACAGAGAGGCATGGCCCACAGGCAAAAAAAGTCACCACCCAGAAGATGCTCTGGGATAGAGGAACTGCTCCTTTTCATCAGCTCTTCCAATGCCGTGGGAGAGGTGATCCCAGTCTTCTCTGTACATCTTGTGCTTTTCCATTAAGACTTGTTCCAGTGGGAAGGAGCTTTGGAAAAATTGCAAAGGTCTGAATCTTCAGGGCATTTTCATGACAGGACTTGCCAATAATAATAATAATAATAATAATAATAATAATAATAAAGCTCCAGAGGCCTAACTGGTTTCTCAAGTCATTTCAGTGATATCATTGAAACGTTTTTGTGGTACTTCCCTTTGTCTTTCACTGTTTCATTTTTATATTGCTTCATTTACTTCTTTGCTTTTGGCTTTGTTATTAGAAAAAATAATTATGAGGTCTGTTGTGCATGTTGACTGTGATATTAAGTTATGGCATGCCATTAAGTTTTCCAGACGATGTTGGATGTATCTGATTAGTTCATGTCATCTGTAAATACAATTCTTTTTTGTAGTACTTTGGAATGGAGCCTTTTTCTGGTGTACTGTATGCCATTTAAGTTTCACATACAAGCTGCTTTCGGCAAAGGCTTGAATATTTATAAATTTCAGATGGTTATCCTCACTTTATAGTACACTTAAGTGGCTACCATATATTTTTTATATGACAATTGGCTGAATAGCTGATGTGTATGACACTTTTACACAGATTTGCACTTTGGAACTATTTTATAGTTGTAATGCATCAATCAAATACATTTCAAGCACATTTCTTGATCAATTTACCAGCAACCCTCTGAAGGAATGAAGGAGAGTTGTGATTGCTATGTCAATGAGTGAAATATACTTAAAAATGGCAGAGTTATATAGTACATTATTGTAGCAACCTTATATCTGATTTGAGATACTGTGTTGCCAAATGTCCATGTTATGTTTATTTCTCTATTGGTTGTATTTATTAATTTTTAGAAGCCTTTAAACTGTGTTAGAATCTTTTTGAAAAATGTTGATTTTGCATCATAAAGTTTCAATTTATCAAGGATATCTTTTCAGTTACACTTTTAGAAAGAGTGAATAAAAAGGGCAGTGAGTTATGCTCTTGGACTTGGTGAAAGCTATCATCTCTCCATATTGTATTTGTTCAGCTGGTTTAATTCACTCAGGTGGATGATTGCACATACATTGGAATTGGCTGGAGAGACTACACAGAGAAGTTTAATGATCGTGTACAATTTGAGGGTTGATGGTAGGGCTTTCTAAAAAAAGTAATATCAAGTGTGTTGTTAGTATTCATTTAGTCATTTTTATTACTAATCTATAAATATATTTATTAAATTTGAAGATTAAATGGAATTATAAAGGAATATATTGGAGGAAGTGTCAGTGTTGGTAATTATTCATCTATTTATCTGTCTATCATCAATATATATGGGTGCATGTCTGTGTATATTTGTGTGTATGTAAGTGTGCATGTGTATTATATGTTTGGGTAGAAAGAGATACATTGAATGGTATAAATCAATATATTTGAGCTAAGCAAGTTAAAAAAAAATCAGTTATCTTTGGGAACAGCAATCTATTATTGTTGTTTCCCTGAGTGCCACTTTAACTGTTTCACTCAATGGATGGTGGTTTATTCAGTTCAACACGTAATTTGATTTCTATTTTCTTAAAAGTAACCATGTTGGACTTACAAAGAGACTTAGAATGTCAGAGGTGTTAGGCAGATATTGGATACCAGTAAAATTGGCTGGATATGTCTGAAGGTCGGTGGAATTGTGAGAAAGACCAATGGTGATGGGGTTACATTGAAGAAAATATAAGATGAGCTAAATCAAAACCAGATTTGATTTTTTTGGGACTCCACCAGAAGTGGAAACTCATAAACAAGAGATGAAACAGAAAACTACATTTTTATTGATTGTATGAAGGAGTTAAATATATGGAGACATTTCCTCAGTGATGATCAAGGGTAGGTGGGGAAATTCCAATAAGAATGTAGGATGACAATACCTTAGATATGTTGAAAACCAAGGAGGATGGGGATATAGTATCTTTCGTATTATAATAAGCATAAAGTTAGCAAAGGGACATTTAATTTGGTTAGCAGGGAAGATAGGAAAGAAAGAAAGGAAAACATCCAGTTACAGATTAGACTTTCTGAACTAACTCCCCAGAGCAAGCGTTAGGGGCTCCATCTTCAGATCAGTGAGACAAACCTGGACTAGCCTGTGAGAGTGGGATGTATCAGAGACAGCAAGTCTGGAACGACAATGGAGATGCCCGAGGAGACCCACTCAGCTTTTTGAAAGATCATCCCTCCTGCCCATAGGATTCAGCTATGACTGAAAAATTGAAGGGGCAATTGGACGGTTGAACTTTATAAATGATCTGCTTCTAGATGTAAGGAGTCATATGATATATCTAATAATTCTATTTAATCCTATCTATCTATCTATCTATCTATCTATCTATCTATCTCTAAATTATACAGTTAAATTGATCTCTATATAGATAGATACTCTCTATATCTATACATTGTCTATATAAGTAACTAAATTAGAACGATTTGGATTCTTCAAATGATGATGGTTTTCCTAGTTCACTGAAATGACAGGATAGTTTACCTTGGGTTTATGAAATAAGCATGGTTGAAATAATTGGCATCCTGCACGGATTCTGAATATTTTGCAGATAATTTAGGGAAGGAGAGGGCTCACTGGGATAAAATAAGTGCACATGCAGCAAAGATTTTAATATTCTCATTCTTCTGGACGTCTAGGAATTACAGTGACATAATTCACTGAAAATGTAGGATAGTTGTCTTTTTATATGACAATTCATTTTTTCTTTTCTTAGCATTTTTCCCCATTAATTCTAAAGAGAGACTGCCACTGTTAAAAAATTTACCAATGCTTACACAGAGTATTGATGTTAAAAACGACCTAAATGAACAGATATTTAAACAACAAATACTACCAAAGAGTGATGTGTAAAGAATAATGCTTATTGCCTCATATTTTGGTCTAGCATATATAAAGGCACTGTAAGAAAATTTGATGTATTGTTTTCATCCCCCGAAAATTCAAGGGAAATTTTTCTCAAAAACTTTTGTGGGTATATGTAACTATCTGAAAGATATGTGAAGTAGAAAGTCGGATTAACTTGTCTATGTGTACCTATAACCACATACCTAGGCATGTATATGTATATATATGTCTGTGGTATGCATGTATATGTATATATGGATTTGGATAAAACTATATACATATGTCTGTGTGTATGCATATAGAATACATACACGCCTGCCTCTATATGTCTGATTACACATGCATGCACACATATATACACATAATGTATGTGTATGTATGTAAAGTGTATACATGAACGCGTAGAAGAAATGCTTACATTATATTATATGTGCATATACACATATCCAAATATCTGTCTCAGGCATTCCCAAACTCTTAAGTTTTGCTGGAAAGGAGGGCATATTTTATCTTTCTGCTATTGCATGCTTGTTGCACTGGTGAGTGAGGATTGGGGCAAATAACAAGTGCTACCACGGCCTTCTCTTCCTTGGATCCAGAGCATATGTGGTGTTGCATATAAAATGAACTAGTCATGTTTTCCCTGTAAATGCCAGTGGCCATGATTGTGTCTTTGAACATGTTCTGCACACCAACTGGCAATCGATAGCTGTCAATAAGTATTTATTTAATAGTTATAAACCTTTTTGGGCAAAATGATTTCTTTCTAAAGCCACATGTCTTAGTTGGTTTATTCTTTCAATCCCCTTGCAGAAGATTATACTGATTGGTTCCCTGTCAGCTCCTTATTTGGGTCCCCTGAAGGGAGGTTCCTAGGGTGTTGTGTGGAATGTGATGAGCCTGTGTTTGGAGAGTTGATTTCAAGTCCTTGATTTTAAACTTGCAATTTGCCAAATCATTCTACTTCACTTTGACTCAGTTTCTTCATCTGAGACGTTCACTAGTTTATTCAACAAACAGTAATTGCATACATGCTACTAGTCACAAATGGCACTAGATGTTAGATACATATTATTGAACAAAACAGACATGGTCTTTTTATTCTTCAAACTGAGATTCAAGCAAGGGATATAGAGAACAGACAAGTGAGAAAAATAACTTTGACTTTATCAATTGTGATAAATCCTCTAGGGAAAAATGCATAACAGACATAATGAGAGATGAAACTATGCTTGTTGGATAATAAGAGAAATTCTTTCTAAGGCAAGAATTCTGACTATTCCAATACACAAAATACATAAAGGGGCTAACTGGGTAAAAAGTGGAAACAAAAGGATTTCAGGGAGAAGGGAGCAAGTGGAAGAAAACGCCTGAAAATGGAAAAGAACTTGACATGTTCTAGAAATGGCAAGGCAGCTTGTGTGGCTGGCCATTGAAGCAGGGAGCTTTGTGATGAAGTTGGAGAAGCAGGAAGGGTCCAATCATTCCAAGCCCTTGCCTCATTATAGTATATTTTGAGGGAAAAAGTTGAAAGGACTTGCTGTGAATTAGATAGAGGTTGAGGACAGGGAAGAAGCAAGAATGACTTCAGATTTCTAGCTTAAGCAAATGGGTGGATGGAGAAGGCAGGAGGAGAACAGGCTTGAGGGAGAGAGGAATCCATGGTTCATGTTCATGGTGTCATGTTTGAGATGCCTGTGACATGTCCACGTTTCAACCCTGATAAAGAGTTGGATTTCTCAAAGTCCTGCAGTGGCCACAGGACACTGTAGAAGCTGACCCCTTTACTTACTTCTCCAACTCATTTACTACTTTTCCCCACTCTCATTCTGTGCCTCAGACATGCCAAGGTGCACTCCAGACTCAACACCCTTGAACATAATGTGTAGCCTGCATTATGTTTTCATAATTGAAATCTTTAAAATTAGGCTACTATGACCTGCACAAGTGCATACAGTGGTTGATATAGTTTGAGTATTTGTCCCCACATCTCATGTTGAATTATAATCCCCAATGTTGGAGGTGGGGCTTTGTGGGAGGTGTTTGGGTCATGAGGGTGGATCCTTCATGGCTTGGTGCTATCCTTGCCATACTGAGTGAGTTCTCACGAGTTGTAATTGATTAAGTGTGTGACACTTCCTCCCCTACTCTCTCTTGCTCCCGCTCAGCCATGTGACATGCCTGCTCCCTCTTTGCCTTCTGCCATGAGTAAAAGTTCCCTGAGTTCTCCCTAGAAGCTGAGCAAATGCCAGTGCCATGCTTCCTTTTCAGCTTACAGAACCGTGAGGCAATTAAATCTCTTTTCTTTATAAATCACACAGTCTCGGGTATTTCTTTATAGCAGGGCAAGAGTGGCCTAATACAGTGGTCCCCACTCAGTCTCTCATCTCCTTTAGGCCTTTGTTCAAAAGTTACCTTCTCAGGAAAACATCCCATGATCATCCTATTTAAAAATGGAGGCTGAGGCGGGCAGATCACGTGGTCAGGAGATCGAGACCACCCTGGCTAACATGGTGAAATCCCGTCTCTACTAAAAATACAAAAAATTAGCCGGGCATGGTGGCAGGTGCCTGTAGTCCCAGCTACTCGGGAGGCTGAGGAAGGAGAATGGCGTGAACCCGGGAGGCAGAGCTTGCAGTGAGCTGAGATCGCTCCACTGCACTCCAACCTGGGCAACAGAGCAAGACTCTGTCTCAAAAAAAAAAAAAAAATGCAACACTTAAGATAAATGTTTAAGGAGATGGATGTCCCTATTACCCTGATATGATAATTGCACATTGTATACAGGCATCAAAACATCAAGTATACCCCCAAAATATGTGCAACTATTATATGTCAATAAATATTTAAAAACAGTTAGATTAGGCAGTTAGTTCAGAGGAGCAATGTGGGCCTGGAGATGCACACTGGGGAGTCACAACATGTAAAGCCATGGCAAAGATTAGACCCCTGAGGAGGAGAGCTAGAGAGGTTGATCCTCTGTGCACTGGAGAACCAAACAGGGGAGGACAAGTGGAAGACTGAGCCTGCGGAGAAGTCAGAAATAGACAATGAAGAATTAATGGGAAGTGTGATATCGAGGAAACCCAGAAGGACGATGTTTCGAGAAGCGACTGAGTTTTTATATTTACCAGTGGTGCTGAGGGGATGAGTAGGACAAGGAAAAAAGGTGATCTTTGGAGATGGAAGTGTGGAGGTGGTTGGTGATGGTGACTACAGAAGTTTTGGTATAGGGGCGGGAATGGAAGCCAGATGTGATTGATTTAAAGAGTTAACAGGAGGTAAGAGAGTGGAAAAGGTTGTTGTGCAACTTCTAAAAGCTGACTGTCTTTGAAGCAGAGCAGAACCATGGAAATGGGTAGAAGGGAATGTGGGATCAAAATAAAGCATTCTGAAGACCCGGGAAAACAAGGGCAAGTGTGTGTACTTTGAAAATTAGTTTGTACAAAGAAGTGGATGGTGTGAAGAGGGCCATGAAAAAAGTGGAGTGTGGAGCCTGCCAGCGTATGTGTGGAGGGACGGTGGTGCCTGCCTCACCTCAAAGTAAACACCCAGAATGTAGAAAGCACTCAGTACATTCAATTTGACAAAAGAAGAAGAAGAAAGAAGAAAGAAAGAAGAAAGAAGAAGAACCAACCAACCAAACAAAATCCCTATTGTTCACTTAGTATGTACTAGTTCCAGCATCAGGTGTTGGGGTCACCTTTTACAAGTCAAATCAATAGTCTTCACTGCTCATCCTCAAAGCACAAAAATAAGATCCCCAAGAGTCAACACAGTTGAAAGGTAGGTCTTTTAACACTGTGAGCAGTAATAGAAAATGACAGCATCTCAGTCTGTCAGGATGTTAGTGTACATCTGGAAGGTTCCATCTTGCTAGTGAAGTTAAATGTTCCCCTGACTTGATTTTCTAGATAAGCATTTGAGAAGGAAATTTCTTATGTATTTCTGATGGCATTTGGTTTTTAATATCTTAGAAAAAATGTGAAGTGTATTTCAATAGCATGTTTTCAACACTAGATTCAAGAGTTCTTCCTTTATTTTTTATTTTTATTTTTTTGATGGAGTCTCAAACTGTCGCCTGGGCTGGAGTGCTGTGGTGTGATCTCAGCTGACTGCAACCTCCGCCTCCTGGGTTCAAGCGATTCTCCTGCCTCAGCTCCCAAGTAGCTGGGATTACAGGTGCCCACCACCAAGCCCAGCTAATTTTTTGTATTTTTTTAGTAGAGACGGGGTTTCACTATGTTGGCCAGGCTGGTCTCAAACTCCTGACCTCGTGATCCGCCCACCTCGGCCTCCCAAAGTGCTAGGATTACAGGCGTGAGCCACCATGCCCAGCCAGTTCTGTCCTTCTTAAACAGTTCCATTCACTGAAAGAAAATAGCACATAATGCATCCTCAAGGAGATATGCTTACATTAACTTTTAAAGGAGATATGTAAACCCATTCAAATTAGGCCTTAGAAAGAAAGTGAAGCAATGTCAATAGCACATTCTCAACATTAGTTTAGTTTTGTTCCTATCTGGAAGAATCCCAGTGACTGTCCAAAAGCCATCCACTGGTTTAATGGGAATACTCAGCTTTCTGTCTAGGGCCAATCAAAAGGCGTATCATAATATTGCACTAGAACATTGGACTTGTTAATAGATTCCACATCATTGAAGTTATCCATTTTTGAGCCAGAAAAATGCTTTAAGATAAAAGGAAAGTGCAGCTTATGAAAGAGAGGTGTGAAATAAAAGATTCAGAAAGAGGGTTTTAAAAATGGGCTCCATTTGGACTCTAAACAATTCCTGTATTGAATTTTTTATTAATAAAAGCAGGGGATTTGATTCTTAAGAGGTGACGTGGGAGAAGAGTTGTTTTTACCACTGTCTATGCCTGGCTCAGTTGACTACATCACAGTAAATGACTATATCTTATGCTGATAGATACTGCGGTTTTTGACTGATCTTCAGCATCTTCACCAGTTTATAATAGTTAATAATTTTACCTGTCCTCAGTGATTGTTTGTGGAGAGCAACATTTTGACATGGTTTGGATTTGTGTCCCTGCCCAAATCTCATGTCGAATCATAATCCCCAGTGTTGGAGGAGGAGTCTGGTGGGAGGTGTTTGGACCATGGGAGTGGACTTCCTCTTTGCTGTTCTCATGATAGTGAGTTCTCTCAAGATTTGGTTGTTTAAAAGTGTGAAGCACCTTCCCCTTCTCTCTCTTCCTTCTGCTCTGGCCATGTAAGATGTACCTGCTGGCCAGGCGTGGTGGCTCATGCCTGTAATCCCAGCACTTTGGGAGGCCGAGGTGGGCAGATCACAAGGTCAGGAAATTGAGACCATCCTGGCCAACACAGTGAAACCCCGTGTCTACTAAAATACAAAAAAAATTAGCCAGGCATGGTGGTGGTGTGCATTTGTAGTCCAGCTATTCAGGAGGCTGAGGCAGGGGAATCACTTGAACCCAGGAGGTGGAGGTTGCAGTGAGCCGAGATCACACCACAGCACTCCAGCCTGGTGACAGAGCAAGACTCTGTCTGAAAACAAAACAAAACAAAAAAAAGATGTATCTGCTTCCCTTTCGCCTTCTGCCATGATTGAAAGTTTCCTGAGGCTTCCCTAGCCATGCTTCCTGTGCAGCATGAGGAACTGTGAGCCAGTTAATCCTCTTTTCTTTATCAATTTCCCAGTCTCAGGTATTTCTTTATAGGAGTGTGAGAAGGGACTAATACAAATATATTCCAAATTGCTTTCATAACATTGTTGCTTTATAACATGTTATTTTATGTTGTTTTAATCATGAAATGATGAGCCTCAAAGGCAAAAACTTCAGTACCTATCAAGCTTTTAGAAAAACACATGGTATCTAAGGTCTGTTATTGCCTATTGGAAGACACAACAGGACAGAAAAAGAAGATGTTAAAGAAATATTTTAATTTTCCAAGCTGTTTTTCTTTACAAAAGTAATAAATATTAATTAGACAATTCAAAAAGGACAAAGGAACAGAAAGGAAGAAATAACTTTTACCTACAATTCTGCCCTCAGAGTCAAGTGGTGTTAATAGTTCTAATAGGTAACAAGAAGCAGGTAATACAGAGCAAAGTTTCCTAAACTTAGTTTTTTACCTAATTGTATTGTTTTAACATTTTTCGTGTCTTTAAATATTTCCAGTATTATTGAGACTCTTTGAATCATAGCCAAGCCAGCATAGCTCAGACACACAGACATGGTCAGTGTTTGAGTCTTTGGCCTTAGAAACCCCATTGAGTTTTTGAGTCACTTTGCTGTTTTCCAGGTGACCACATTTAAAAGCAGAGGAATAATAGTGACTATCCACCCAACATTATTGTGAGTTAAATAATTGTGGACAATTGAAATCCTGTAAGAACAATAAAATGTGCTCCCTAAATTGCCACTGAATGAAAGTCAAGAGAAGATTCACAGTGGCAGTGATTGTGATGTTTGAGCATTTCTACATGCCAGTAGCTTCTCTTACTTTGTCTGGTGGTGTCAGTCCCATTGGAGAGTTGAGGCAACTGAAACTAAAAGAATAGGTAACTCGCCCAAGGCCACACAGCCAAAAAGCACTGGAGGTGAACTTCCAGGTGTTTAGTCTCCATGTTCTCTCCATGATACCAACTGGTTTCTTCCTAATAGCAGAGAGAAGATGTTTTGAACACTTTTGAATGAAAAATGGAACAATTGCTTGAGGCTACATGTTGAGTTAGTTGCATGAATTAACAACTGAATTGCATAAAGTCAGCCACTTTTAAATTCTCCACTGGCCACTCACTGAGATTTAGTGCTTGGGCTTGAACCATTAAATGGGACCATGGGTATCTCATGGTGCCATGACTCACAACATTTATGAGGGCATCCAGGTATGTGGTAGAGAGAAAACTTCTGCATCTGAAGCCTACCCGGATGCCCTCGGGTAAGTTACTGAGGCTCTTCACTTTCCTCCAAGCAAAATAACTGGGCAAAGCCCCAGTGCAGCGTACAGTCTGCAGCTGGCTTTTTTTTTTTTTTTTTTTTAACAAAGTTCCCAATCGATGTTCATTAGAGCGGCGGTGGGGGCTATTGTGGTTTAGAGAGAGGTCCCTGGAGAGTGAGAGATGGCCAGGGCTGGGATCCGACTTCCACCATTGGCAGTGTGGTGTTGAGCAATTGTGTAAAGTTCCAATGCCTCAGTCTCCTCATCCATGAAGCAGGGACAATGAAAATGTTCATGCAACGTGTTTGCAAAAGTATCTGACACAAAATAAGTGCTCAATAAATGTTATCAACTATTACTATTATTATTATTCTAGTTTTGAATTGCCGTACCATGTTTTTAGGGCTTCTGATCCAAGATTTCTGACCTTACTATTCCGAAGTCACTGGATACAGTTTCTTCAGCACTAATTATATTTTCCTCATTCCTCCACTCATCTTAGGGACTTCTTACATCTTACTGCTTCTGCATGTCTAAGATTGCCCAGGAGCATGATCAGAGCTGGGAAAACTTGAGGGAGCGGGTCGCAATAGTAATATCATGTCCCTTTTGGAGAAAACAGACCACCAAAGAAGATAAATCATCCCACAAGTTACATGGATGTGTTTCTAAATGTTGGCCAATCAAAAAAAAAATCCTAATTCAATTAGTGCCTTTTTAAAGTGAGGAATACACTTTAATACATTTAAAAAGGAAAACACAGCAAGATAATGAAAAACTGCTCCCCTGCACCTCAGCTTTACTTGCCCTTGTCTTATGTGGCTTCCCTTTGAAACGGGTCGCTCTCATCACAGCACGTAGCATGCTGCCAGCCGCCACATGGCTATTTGGCAGCTATTTATAGCACAGATCATGTTACAGTGCAGCATCGCCAGGCACCATGTTCCAACTGGTGTACCACTGAGCTAAACAGAAATCAACTCAGGTCTTCTCTGAAAATCAATGTGAAGCCATGATCTCTGTAATCCTCCTTCTCTTTTCTTTTTGTATAATTTCTCTTTGGAAGTGTCTTGCTCACAATGCAGGGGAAATTCAGTTGGATTGTCAGTCTGATATACTATACTACCAGATATGTTAGATTTTCCTTCCTTCTACATTTGCTTAAGAGCTTATAAACCACAGTGAATAAAAAGTGCTAAGTGGAATGAAATGACCTGTCAAGGGTAGATGCAGCATTTGCGAACAACTTCAAAAATGTTCTCAGCTTCACGGCCCTCCAGTCTGGGTTTCTGTGCTATCTCGAAGCTTCCTTTTCCTTTGCTGTCTTCTCCTTTCTTTCACTCCTTTCAAATCGAAGTACTTCGTGCATCACTGATCTTGGAAGACTGTTTCTTGCAAAGAAACAATTTTGCCCCTGCCTAAGCAGCCTATGACAAGATTTGGAGGTGCGGTTGAGTGCTGAGTGTTAGGAAAGCAGTTGTTAACCTCGCCTTCATTACCCTACACCAGACTGGAATTTCCCAGAATATTCGAGAAAAACAAACAAGCAGCTTCCACAAAGATTTGGCTAATACGTACACTGGATAAAAATGACTTGTGGCTTAGGCCGGGTGTGGTGGCTCACACCTGTAATCCCAGCACTTTGGGATCACCTGAGGTCAGGAGTTCGAGGCCCGCCTGGCCAACATGGTGAAACCCCATCTCTACTAAAAATACAAGAATTTGCCGGGTGTGATTGTGGGCGCCTGTAATCCCAGCTGCTTGGGAGGCTGAGGCAGGAGAATCATCTGAACCTAGGAGGCAAAGGTTGCAGTGAGCCGAGATCGTGCCACTGCACTCCAGCCTGGGCAACAGAGACTCCATCTCATAAATACATAAATATATAAATAAATAAAAAGTGACTTGTGGCTTTAAGTGTAGACCAATAAAAATGTTTCAGAATGTGGCTTGGTTTGGGGACATGGCTCTCTGTAGTTATTAATCAGGGAAGAGAAAACAAATCCCCACTAAATGAGTGGTCAAAGGATGTGAACTGTGTCTCAGGAGATCACATGTAACCGAGTTAACCCCTGTCAGAGCAAACTGATAGAATTGCTAGCACGTAAGGGAAATTGGGCATGGAGACACTGTTTCTACTCAGGGCTGATATGTGTCATAATCTTAGGAAAAATATCACTTACTTTTTTCTGCCTGTGTAATTGAAATAGTGAAATAGAGATTTTGAAGAGCAAGGTCGCCAGCTCAAGTCCCAGGTTGCCACATGATATCTTTGCAAAAAAAGTCATTAGGAAAAATGTTCATGGTTTTGACATCTCTTCTGCTTCTGGTAGGAGATAACCTGTTGGTCGAGATTTACATGGCAGTTAAGGCTTCCAAGTGATGGCCAAGGTGAGGGAAGTGTCTCTGACAGTTTGCCCATGATTTCTGGGGCCCTGGGCTTTTCTCCTAACTTTTCTAGCTGAACCTTCTCTGACCAAGTCTCCACACTAGGCTACCCCACAATAGGAGCTCAGTAGATGTCGGCTAGATGAATGACAGCATGGAGTGAGTGGGTCATGCTGCTGGGAAGTTTTTGCCCAGGGCAGGGTCACTTTTATTGATGCCTTAGAAGCAACTGGAAAATGAAAAATGAAGGAGTAGCATCTAAAAAGACTGTAAGGCTAAACAGTTAACCTGAAATTGCCTAAGAATTGATTTCCAGCAAATAAGGGGTATGAAGAACACCCTGTGAATATGTATATTGAACAAATATTCTGTGGCCCGTTTATGGTTATTTAGAAAAATAAAAGTTGTTCATTTAAGTGGTTGGAACAGAGCGGAAGTTAGCAAATATTCTGGGTTCCATCTTTCTGTTTTAATGCATCCTGATGAGCAAGTTATTTCTTCAGTTCTCCGCATGAGAAGTTTAAGTGGAAGGCTGAGGTTATGGAGTAGCTGGCATTCCCAATCAGGTAGCACCTTTTTGCATCATGTATTTCGACAGTGATGGGCTATACGTGGGCAGAAGGCTTAGGGGACAGTCATGTCACAGACCTGGCTCTTGGTATAGTTTCTAGGGGATAGGTCCCTAGTTTATGCCACAGGATCCATATGCTAACTGCATCAGGGTGGGACACCTGACTGGAGGACAGCCAATCCATTGCCTGTCCAATGACTTATAAGTTATGACCTATAGCCAATGGCTAAAGAAAGGTGGGTTGGGCAGTCAGGTTCTTCTCCCTCTCGCACCTTTCTTTCTCTTTTCGCCCCCATCTCTATCCTAACAGCAATTTATACTGGGAAAATATCAGAAGGTGTTAGAAGACAGAACCCTGAAGGATGTGCCAAGAGTCACCATGGAAAGAGTAGAGATAGTGATGTGCTAGGCATGGGCACAAGGCTTAGGTGACAGAGACCATGAGAAAGTATAGGAGCTTTTGCCAGCAGGTCAGAAAGCCTCCCACACAGAGAGTATAGAGGAGTCCATCGGATAGCAGAGGACTCTGGAATGGTCCAGAGTTTTTTTTGCCATTGGAGCTTTCCTGCCTCTAGTGCCAGGATCCAGGCAGCCTGGGGCTTTATGATTCCTGTTCTTGGCTTTTTGTGAGGCTTTCCCTTCTTGCATCACATATTTTGCTTGACCACTCTCCTCCCCCAATTAAACTGCATTGAAGGTTTCCCCATATTTGGAAACCCAAAGATCCAAACCAAAACAGAAAAGGAAAATTTAGGAGCAGTTTTCCCACAATAGGTTACTGTTCATATTACCGGTAAGAGTGAGAGTTGAAGGGTAAAGGGAAGTGTGTTCGTATTGCTTGTATACCATTAAGGGAATGGAGAAAGCTGTGTTTGTTGAGATGTTAGTGTTCACCCAGTTCTGTCTAAGAGTTTATGTCTTCTGCAGTCTATGTGATTTCTCATTGGCCTGCCATTCCTTGTTATGGTCACAGAGATGTCTTACTGCTTTTGCTGTTTTCATGTGTCTAAATCTTTACCTATTATTTTCAGAACTACAATACTCAGACTTAATGAACAATCAAGTTTTGACAACCACTTCATATAAATTACTATGCTTTCTCTATGGAGTGGAAACTCAACACTTGAGTGAAGAGTTGAATTGCTGGCATCAGGCATTGATAGCTGTGTGAAGTCATGGGGCTTTCAGCACTTGGGTTTTAAGGGTTCTGTGTATAGATATGGTCAAGGCCATGATCCTAGCTCTAATCATGAATTTTGTGGGCTAACATGGGAAGTAAGCTTTATTTACAACACTGGGACTTTGAAAAACTGAATTCCAAGTGCTTTTTTTTTGGCTCTGGATTTTATTTATGTATTTATGTATTTATTTATGTATTTATTTCTGTGGGTACACAGTAGGTATATATATTTATGGGGTACATGAGATGTTCTGATACTGGCATGCAATGTGAAAAGAGCATATCATGGAGAATGGGGTGTCCCTCCCCTCAAGCATTTTATCCTTTGAGGTACAAATAATCCAGTTACACTGTTTAAGTTATTGAAAAATATACAATTAAGTTATTATTGATTATAGTCACCCTATTGTGCTATCATATAGTAGGTCTTGTTCATTCTTTATAACTATTTTTTTTCATACCCATTAACCATCCTCACCTCCACCCTCCCACTACCCTTCCACTACCCTTCCCAGCCTCTGGTAATCATCCTTCTACTCTCTATGTCCATGAGTTCAACTGATTTGATATTTAAATCCCACAAATAAGTGAGAACACGTGATGTTTGTCTTTCTGTGCCTGGCTTATTTCACTTAACATAATGATCCAGTTCCATCCATGTTATTGGAAATGACTGGATCTTATTCTTTTTTATGGCTGAAGAGTACTCCATTGTGTGTATGTCCACCTTTTCTTTATCTGCTCATCTGTTGATGGACACTTAGGTTGCTTCTAAATCTTAGCTACTGTGAACAGTGCTGCAACAAACATAGGAGTGCAGATGTCTCTTCATTACACTGATTTCTGTTCATTTGGGTATACACCCAGCAGTGGGATTGCTGGATCATATGGTAGCTGAATCTCCAAACTGTTCTCCCTAGTCGTTGTACTAATTTGCATTCCCACTGACAGTGGACAAGTGTTCCCTTTTCTCCACAATCCTTGCCAGCATTTGTTATGTATTCTACATTTTAACCAACTAACAAATGAAAGTTTGATACACAAAGGTAAACAGGATCCACCCTGCATACACGACCGATGTGTTAACATGCAGTCATCTTAAAAGAAGAAGAGTGGTGGGCCAGGCATGGTGGTTCATGCCTGTAATCCCAGCACTTTGGGAGGCTGAGGTGGGCAGATCACCTGAGGTTAGGAGTTTAAGACAAGCCTGGCCAACATGGTGAAACCCAGTCTCTACTAAAAATACAAAAATTAGCTCAGTGCGGTGGTACATGCCTGTAGTCCCAGCTACTTGGGAGGCTGAGGCACGAGAATTGCTCAAACCTGGGAGGTGGAGGTTGCAGTGAGCTGAAATCGCACCACTGCACTCCAGCTTGGGCAACAGAGCTAGACTCTGTCTAAAAAAAAAAAAGAAAAAGAAGAGTGATGAAGGATGCCAGATGCAGAACTTCTGGGTCTTGGGATATGCTTCTTAATGGGGGTCTTCACCATGACTTATTGCAAACTTGGGACACCCAACCACCAACTGATGGCAAAGAAGAGCTAGGCATTCTCCTTGTGACAATGTTCTTTCTTTTCATAGGACAAGGCTTACAGTTTCATATGTATTATGTAAAGGTGAATTGTGTATGCCAAGTAGAGAAAACGCAAGAAGACAGTGGGAAATGTTGATATATTTCATATTGCCATGCTCTCATATCCCCATACCTGGCATGACAGAGTGAGAGACGGATAGCCATTCTTGATGGATACAGTGGTCATGTATTTCACTGGATTCTATCCGCCTACATTCTTTATTCCACTATGCCATTTTGTTCAGAATTCAAATGTATTCCAGGGATGTATTTCTGGACTATAAATTAACTCTTTCATTTAAGTAGTTCTCCTCAATATTCCTCTAAATTCTTCCCCTTGAAATTACATCCTACTTTTGGTATTGTTATAGTTATTTTGTTCATTTCTACTGGGATTGTAAATCAACACATACATCACAGTCATTTCACAATTCTCATCGAAAAAGACCTCACTCAGCTTAATAAGGTGCAGTGCCTTGAGTATCATTCTTTGAAGGCCTTTGAAGTGTTTCCTTCCAGGCTTTATTCTTAAAGAACGAAGATACTGGGGCCAGGATGTCTGAGCCAGAGGCAGAATCCTATGCAACTGTGCTCAAGTCCAGCACTTAAATAAAAGCCAGAAGAAGTTGGAACTATTGCAAGCACATTTATAATATCATTTGAGGGACAGCTGGGGTCAGTGCTAAATTTTAAATTATCAGATGCAGGGAGACAACTCTTGCATAACAATAAGCGCAGGCTGTCACATTGAGCAGAAAATAACCATACTTTCACCTTGGAAAATATATTCTAAATAGGACAGTAATTGTTTTCAGAAAGCTATTCAGTGACTTACTTTCTCCCCCACCACACACACACTCAAGAATTGCCCAGGAATAAGGTAAACTTTTTATTATAATTTATACAATGTGGTAATTTTTTGAATAGTTTAGAATTTTTATAGCCTGATAACAGATCTTCCAAATTGCACACAGCCATCCTGC
Organism: Homo sapiens; assembly: GCF_000001405.40. Taxonomy (NCBI): domain Eukaryota; kingdom Metazoa; phylum Chordata; class Mammalia; order Primates; family Hominidae; genus Homo; species Homo sapiens. The sequence goes on from NC_000002.12 coordinate 102,832,914, forward strand.
ACTGGCAGGGAGACAGGCTTGGATGACCTGCTGGGTCTTTCTCATCTCTAATGTCTGTGAGTCTTTGAAATACATCCCGGAGCTTAATTATGACAGCAGTCTTTATTATTCTGAGCCCCTAATGGCACACTTCATGGGAACAATGCAAAAAGAAAAGAGTCAGTGCCTTTGCCGTGGTTTACACAAAAATTGGAACATGCTATGATTTCAGGGAGGAGCTCCCCTTTCTCAGGCAGGTGGGAGGTTGGAGGAGGAGTGGTGGGTTAGGGAGAAGAGGGTTGCTGGCAGGGGCTTATTGAACTAATTCTCAGTTATTTGTTCATAGTCTGGTATAAATCAGTCATAGATAGACTTTTTGCAGGAATAACAACCATGTTAATTTTGAGCCTTTGCCTCAATTTAGACAACTTAGATATCATCCCCCTCCCATCACCAGATCCAATTGCAGTTCTAATTTCTCCCTGGAATTGTGCATGGGGACTAGAAAATCAGGTCAAACATCGTGCTTATTTTTTAAACTTTTAATTTTGAAAAAATTTAGACGTATAGAGGAGTTGCAAAGAGAATGGAGTGCTCCCACACACACACCCTGATTTATTTTCCCCAAGGTTAACATCCCAGGAAACCATGGTTCAACTCTCAAAACTAAGTTAACCTTGGTACAATACCAAGAACTAAACTACACACCTCATTAGGAATCCACTAGTCTTTCCTCCAATATCCTTTCTCTGTTCCAGAATTAGGTCCAGGATCCCACCATGCATTTAGTTGCAATGTCTCCTTATTCTCCTCTCATCTGTGACAATGTCTCAGTTTTTCCTTGTCTTTCATGGCCTTGAAACATTTGAAGAGTACTGGTCAAGGACTTTGTCCAGCATGTCTCATTTATATTTGTCTGATGTTTTGATAGATTGGAGCCATACATTTTGGGAAAGAATACCACCAGAGGCCATGTGCCCTTCCCAACGCATTGCATCAGAGGACATAAAATATTAACATATCCTATTTCTGGTGATGGCACCATTGATTCTATTGATTAAGATGAGGTCTGCTAAGTCAGTAACTTATCCCATTTGTGTAAATGGGACCTGGGTCAGCCATGGAACCTAGATAACCTTATGTTAATTATGAGTTCAATAAATACATAAGTTAAATAGTATATACATATCTTGAGCAAGGATTCAGTGTTTCCAGTCATTGGGTGGGCTTGCATTTTTAATTTCCCTGCTCTACGAAGTGTGACCGCAAAGGTATATAGGTCTAAATATATCTCTGGCAATGACATGGCTGCCTATAGCCATCCCTACTTTGCCGTGGGCCTAACTCTAAGGCTGAAGGATTATCCATTGATAAACTTCATGCACAACAGTCTCTGTAAAGAAAAAAACCCTCATCCATTTACCATCTTAGGACTCGTCTGTTTTTTTCTGTATATTGTAACATTTCCCTTTTTTTTTCCTTCTGATCTTCTCTTGGGATCCTCTGCTGTAAACAGAAATCTAGAAGATGGGGGGATGGAAGTGAAGTGGAATGTAAAAACGTCTGCCAGTGCCCCATGGTCTCCAACCCACTTTCAGATGCACCGTCTCATTTCAACAGATATAGGTGAGCCTTGGGAGGTGTGCATATCCATGAGAGTGTTATTGCTACAAATAGAAAAACAAAACAAAACTGATGCTTAACAATGTTCAAGGACTTGCCAAGGTCATATGGCTGTGACAGTGCAGAGTGGGTTGTAGATCCAGGGTCTCTGAATACTTAGTCTGCTGGTCAGGCTCACCACATATTTCACACCAGGAAAACAGGCTCAGGGCTCCTGCAGGTCCAGAGCAGTCCAGCATATAAGCAGGTGACTTGAACTCTCGATTTATTACCAAGCTGTTACAAAAGCCAAGCATCCTTCGTTAATCACTCTGGGTTTTCCACTTGCCGGTTGTTACCTTAGGAATAAAATATTCCTGGGGTCTATTTCTAATTTAATGCCAGGATGCAAATTGGGCCTCACCCGTTTCACCTGAGGTGTTATTTATGCCCAAATAACACCTCCTAGATGAGGACTTATTGTGCCTGTTTCCTCCTTTGGAAATTAAGGATAATAATAGTAATCAGCTGCACACAAAGCAATTGTGGGGGGCGGGGATGGGAAAGGCTCAGTGATTGTAACAGCTCACAGAAAACCCAAGATCAGGGAGAAGTGCTGTAGAAATGCTAAATGCAGCAGGAAGAATTATGACATCTCTGCAAATTCACCACCGGAGGCCAGGATAATACAAATGCTTGGCAAATGGTAACTTCATTCAACAAATATATTTTGGCTACATGTAACATTGGAATCCAAAGGTAGAAGGGTTTTTAGATAATAATAATCGTGACTCGATTTTTAAAATTGACATTTTTTACAGTAGTTTTAGGTTCACAGCAATATTGAGTAGAAGGTATAGAAATTTCTCATGTGCTCCCTGCCCACACGCAGGCACAGCCTCCTCTGTTACCATCATCCTCCACCACAATGGTGCATTTCTTACAATTTATGAGCCTTCATAACACATCATAACCACCCAAGGTCCATAGTTTACTGAGGGTTTACTCTTGGTGCTGTACAGTCTTGGTGTTGGGTTTGGACAAATGTATCCACCATTATAGTACAAACGGAATTGTTTCACTGCCCTAAAAATCCTCTGTGTTCCATCTGTTTATTCCACCCAACCCCTGAAAACCACGGATCTTTTCACCATTTTTATAGCTTTGTGCCTTTCAGAATTTTCTTTTTTTAAATTTATTTAATTTATTTTATTTTTTTATACTTTAAGTTTTAGGGTACATGTGCACAACATGCAGGTTTCTTACATATGTATACATGTGCCATATTAGTGTGCTGCACCCATTAACTCGTCATTTACATTAGGTATATCTCCTAATGCTATCCCTCCCCCCTCCCCCGACCCCACAACAGGCCCCGGTGTGTGATGTTCCCCTTCCTGTGTCCATGTGTTCTCATTGTTCAGTTCCCACCTATGAGTGAGAACATGCGGTGTTTGGTTTCTCAAGGACAGAATGTTCTATAGTTGGAATCATACAGTATGTAGTCCATTCAGATTGGGTTATTTCACTTGGTAATATGCATTGAAGGTTCCTCCATTTCTTGTCATGGCTTGATAGCTCATGTCTTTTTAGCACTGAATAATATTCCATTGTTTGGAGGTACCACAGTTCTCTTTGCCCCGTGAAGGATATCTTGGCTGTTTCTAAGTTTCGGCAATTATGAATACAGCTGCAATAGACATCCATGTGCAGATTTTTGTGGGGACACAAATTTTAACTTATTTGGGTAAATACAAAGATTATAATTGCTGGATCATATGATAAGAATATGTTTAGGTTTAGAAGAAACCTCCAAATTATCTTCGAAAGTAGCTGCACAATGTTGCATTCCCACCAGCAATGAATGAGAATGCCTGTTGTTCCACATCCTCACTGGCATTTAATGCTGTTTGTTTTTTGGATTTTGACCATTGTAATACGTATATAATGGTATCTCATTTTGCTGAAGTGTTTTAAGTGCCAGATACTGGACTAAGCACTTTAAACAATGATCTCATTGAATCCTTATAAGAATGCTATGAGGTGAGTGCTATGCTTTTGTCTTCCCATTTTCCAGATTAGTAAAGGCAAGTTTAAAGAGGCTGCATAACTTGCCCAAGATTCCATGAACAAAAAGCACAAAGCCAAGTGTTCAGAGGCGTTCTCAGTGCTGGTTTGCTTGTCCACTCCCTGCTTTTATGAAGGAGGGCCTTGATTCTAGATCTGTTAAAGGACTCACTCAGAGTGCCACACAGAGCAGGACACAGGAAGAGAACTCGGCCTCTGTCAGCTGTGCTGCCCCACAGACAACTTCTCAGCCTTCAGTCATGGCAGGGTTGGCCATTAATAGAAAGCGTTCAGTCCTTGGCCTTATACTGGGAATCCTGATGGCTATTCCAAGCTTCTCCAATCCAGTGCTTATTTCTGAATGCATTTAATGCTCTGATTGGAGACAGGACCTCTCTTGAGTGCAACACATAAAACTTAGCATTGCCTCACAATCAGTTGAAATATGTTGCCTGCCCTGTGCCTGAACACCAGCTGCAGATGAGAGGTCTGTGTTATTATGGTACCTCCCTCCAACCTTAATTGTTTTCTTAGGTAGTTTCCACTCCCAGTTCTCTGATACCCTGTGGTGTTTCTAATTTCTTCATATGTCATAGTTAATTCTTAGAACATTAGTTCCAACCCAATTCTATTTGAAAAACAAATGTTAGACATAAGAAGGTGAAGTTTGTGGGTTTTTTTTTGTTTTTCCAATTTAGGGGGCTGTAATCCCTAAAAAGTCAAGAATTATAAAGTTGTTCATTAAGATAAATAAGAAAAACGTTATTTGTTTTTAACTTAAACTAGAGAGAAGAAAAGCATGAACAGCAAAGCATTGACTAGATTCTACCGATACATTGAAGAATGATTTGCTGTTGTTAATAGGGTGGAGATTCTGTTAGAAAATTCAATATGGGAACTCTTGAAACTGATGGCAGAGTTGAGGGAATAGGCCAGCGTGGGCCCTGTAGGATCTTAGTGTGTGTCAGTGCTGTGGGGGGTTCGGGGGGTTCAGGGGGTCTGGGGGCTGTTGTGGTGTCACCTTGATAGTGCCAAGGTTCCTGCGTGAAATGTGGTTAATAAAGTAATGGTGGATACCAGAGCAGAAGAGCAAGAGGAGCTGCTGCAGGATCACTTGGTTCATTTCACATTGACCACGTAGAGCAGAATGGGGCTGATGGGCCCTGAGTACCTCAAGTGGCCTTGGGTCTAGCTGCACTCTCCTGCTTTCCCCAGACCCAACCACGCAGGCTGGTTTTGTTCTCTCTCTGCTCTGGGCAGGAGACTTCCAGGGAAGTTACCTGTTTAAGGAGGCAGAAGTGGCTTCTGAGGGTTCCTCACCCTTAGGGCTAGCTACGTCATTCATGGGGCTTAGGGCAAAATGTAAACACAGGGCCCCTTGTTGAAAAATTACTGAGAATTTCAAGACGGCGGCAGCAAAGCACTAAACAAAGTGCAGGGCCCTTCTCAGCGCCAGGCCCTGTGTGACTGCCCAAGGTAACCCTACCCCGGAAGCTGGCCCTGCCCCAGCATCAGTGGATGATTGTTTATAAATTCATGAAGTCTTATTCCCTTTTTCTTGATAAACCTAATTCTCTAATGCTGCACGGAAGTAGGTTTTGTAAGTCTTCAATTTCAAAACAGGAAACTGTGAAGCTCCATTATTACTTTTGAGGGATAGCTATGTTGTTAACTTAAGGTCTAACTTAGTTGATTCTAGAAGTTGTGATTTTGGTTTCCCTAGCTTCACTGCTTGGTGCAGTGGACTACTGAGATGGCTACATATTGTTCCTCCTCTTAAGGGCTCCTATTTTCACAATGTGTGTAGCACATAACTAAATGAGTGTAATGCAATGTCATGTGTATAGAATGCATGCATAAAATGGTACCGATGTGAAGAGGGGGAAGGGCTGAAAATTCAGCTGCAGGTGGTCAGGGAAGGCTCTTCAGAGGGCTCCAGGATGGAAGGACCTAGGCACTGCCTCCATCTGTCCTCTCTGCCTCTTGGTAATTCGCAGTGTGCATTGGCTATTTTCCTAATGGGGTGCCCCTTTCATTTGTCAGTAGTAACAACCTGAAGAATCAAAATCCTGAAAACACTTGGGGCAAATGTTGAAGTGGACAACAGGGGCTGGACGACCATTTTAAAAGTAGAAATCAGTTCAGACGTGTGTTCTGGGGTTCTGTGGGGTAATTGGTGGAATGGCCTGTGGTGAAATGAATGTAGAAGGTTTGAGTCCATAAAGTCTCACAGATGTTTAGGCAGAGAGACCATGAGACCTCAACCAAGCCATTGGCAGAGGAAGGATGGCAAGAGAATGAATTTGAGATACACTGTCGCTGTGAAAAATAAAGGAATGAGAGAGAAGTCAAGGATGGTTAAAAAACTGCCATCTTCGCCAAGGTTGTACAGAGTCCTGTATTTCATCTGAGTGAATACCATGCATTCATGATTAGTAATACCCCATATAGCATCAAGACACTAGTAGTAATTGTGCTTGTGTGTTTGTTTCTGATAAAGAGGTTCTCAATTGATTTTTATTTGTTTGTCTTGCTGCCTTCTGCATGAGCACTAGGTGACCAGGATTCTTCTTTTTGCCTTTGTAATTATGTTTGTTTCACATGGCATAAACAGTGGGTACTAAATACCTGCCATTTTTTTCTGACTGATGAGGATCCCACAGATCACATCAAAGCTGTCTAAGTGGCTACTTGGACTTCCTCAATGGACTGAAATGCTTGGAAAAGAAGGAGATAGAGCAATTTGCACATCTGGATTAGCGCTGATTTCCGATTTCTTTGCTTTTAGTGGCTTCACATCATACCTATTGTGAAGGTCTAAACCATTTAGTTTTAATTGACAAATAATAATTATATATATTTATGGAGTACATTGTGATGTTTTGCTATATATATATATATATATATATAATATATACACACAAAAATAATTCCTGTCTATATAGTGGAATTATTAAATCAAGGTGCTAAAAGAGTAGATTTTAAAGATCTAAACTTTAGATCCCAGCACCTATCCTAAATTTTCAAAATTGGTCTTTTTTGTTTGGAGCATAAAAACAAGAGTGTAGGTATTACATATGACCAACATGACTTTTTAGGTAAAAATTGAAATACCACAAAACTCAAATGCAATGTAGCTCTAGTTGCTAGCCACACTGTGAAACTAGTCCTCTGTGAGAAGAGTGCAGAAATACGTGTTTGTTATCCACCTGATGAATTGCCAAGGTGGTGCTATCACTCTCAGCGTGCGACTTCTGAAGTCAGAAGCCCAGCAATTCTACAAGGGAAGCACAGAAGGTTAGAGGATCCCTGATTGATTTTCTGGCAGCCAATACAGGAGAATGAGTCATAAGGTTATAATAGGCAAAAGACATATTCTCAGGGATGCTGCAAACTTTGGGAGTGTAGAATTGTTTTGAGAAAAAGCAGCAACAAAGCATGGGATTTGCATCTGTTCTTAGTGAGAAGTAGCTCTGAGTGCCTCACGGGGAGAAGAAACCAACATCCCCCAAATCCTAAAAATAGAGGCTGCAACTTTTACATCTGCCACTAGAGGGCGCATTTCATCTATAAAGAAATCTTTCCATTGAAAACCCAGGAACTTTCCAAAAGGCTTTTGAGCACATCTCGAAGGGTGGAGGCCTTGGGGAGGGATGAGGGAGTGGGAGGTGGAGGGGCAAAAGGGAATATGAGATAGAGAGTTATTGACTTGCTTAACTCTGGGAAAAGGTGTGTGCCTAAGTGCGAAATCGCCATATATTGTGGATGCTGCATTTTCCTGATTGTTGTAACCTGGGTACCTGCAGCACATATTCCAGGAAAAAAGTAGACTCCGTCTTCGCATATAACTCTTCTACAGAGGAATCTAGACTTGGTGAATGCACCATTGTTCTCCGAAGGGCCCCTCCACCTAAAACGGGGCAGGAACCAATGTAAACACCGGCGTTAGTGGGTCAGGTAAGTGATCCTGAGGCATAGGGGGTGAGGTAGCGTGAGTTAGCATCAGGCTCATATAGAGGACGCAATAAAGAGCCAAGGAATTAAAACAAAAATGAGGAAGGCCGATTAAAAAAGAACATTTGACAGACAATGTATAACTCCAGCTCCTTTCACAGAAAGCAAAATATTCCCAGAAAGCATAGAATTCCCTGAGATAGGGGGAGTTAGAACTCGAATAAGAGTTCTGATTTTAGGCATTCTCTGTTGGTAATCCTTCAATTTTTATAACATTTTCTAGATCTGCCACTGCATGAACTACATAACTGACAAATCTTCAATTCACATTATATTTAAGTGGTTTCCCCATCACTTCTCACAGTTAAAAATACATTACATAAATTACTATCCTGCCTAGTGAAATATGCAACGACTCTGTTGTCTGCCGTTTATTTCTAAAACATTTTGGCACTTTCTGCGGAAGTCGTCTTCTTCTCAGTGATGCCAGGGGACTTTTTTTTTCAGTGTTACTTTGTTCCTAAGTGCAGGATCACAGAGATCCATGGGGAAACAAATAGTGGCATCAAGAGTGGCCTGTGGTGGAGGAACTAACAGCTGCAGGCGGAGGCGGATCGGGGAGCTGGAGTGGAAAGAGGGCAACTGAGGCGATGTCTGTGTCCTCTGCACGTGACAGTCCCACGGAGCTCTACTGATCTGGGGCCAGGCTGGGACTCCGGCCCAACTCCGAGGGGCACCAGGGTCTGGGTATTAATCGTGTGGCAGAGCTCCAGTCTCCATGTGATACACCAACCGTGCAGAAGCGTCCCCTGCAGAAGCACAGGGGACAGCCAAAGCTCTATGGCCCTGCAAACCCCTCAGCATGGCCCTGTGAGTATCCTGCAGAGGACCCGGGCCTGAGCAGTTCCTTCTTCCCAGCAGGTGTCACTGTGGAGTCATTAAAACCGGGAGAAGAGAAGAACTGTGCTTTGGCAAGCCGAGCCCCAGTAAAGGTTCTTGAACCAAAACTGCAGACAGGCTCCGCAGCAATGACACGCAGCAGCTTTAAAAACTCCCTCCACCACTGAGTCCAATGCTGTGAGCATGCGGTGTCTGTTGTCTTTGAACTAAGTTCACCAGATCTTCCAAGTTTTAAAATGGGAGCTAAAGCAGAACAATTATCCATATGGACGTTAAAGGGATAGATAGCTCCATTTCAAGGTGGCAATAGCTATATCAATTTTTGTCCTATTTTCTGACTGTTTGGACAGGTAGTTTTGTTCGTTTGTTTTTTCATTGTGGGAGGTAACTTGATGGCATGGAAAGAATGCAGAATCTGAAAATCCGGATTCAGATTCTTGCTTCCATCTCGCTATGTGTATGTTACTTTGGACAATTTACATAATTTAGAGCTCTGAGACTCCATTCCATGACAGGGTAATTGCGAAGGTTAAATGAAATGTATTCAGGAAAGTATCTAGCATGGTTAGTTACATCTGAATCCAGATGCATCACTGAAATACTGTTTAGATTTCATTATCGTTCTAATATTTTAATATCATTTTGAATACATTCTGTTTATATAGTATTACCCATATATAAAGTATAACCTCTAGGAGGATAATTCACTTGTCTCCTTTGGGCTAAGTCTTGTACTCCCCTCCCCTGCTCCCCCCTGCAATGACTACTCGCCATCTCTGCTCAGATGTCCTGCTAGAACTCAAATGCAGAATTATTATCTGTATGCTCCTACCTCCCTCTCTGCATTATTTATTCCGATTGATGGTGCTGTCCCCTTTTCCTGAACCTTGAATTGCTGGGATCACCTCAATTTCTCCTTCATCACTATCTTCCGTATCTAAACAGATCCTTGAACTTGCAGTGCCGTTTCCAATGTTGCACTATCTTCTGTGTCTACCTGCTGCCCTCACACAGCTGCTTATCAGGATTACTAGTTCAGTTTCCTACCTCATTGGCTTCTGGGGAGCTTTCCCCGGATCCCAATTCCAGGGCTCCACCTAGATCCACAGGGTCAGAATTGTAGGGGGGCCCAGAATGGCATGGCACTACCATACACTTGAATTTCGTTGGGAATCCCTGTCACATACATCTCTGACCTCAAGTTAGATTGACCTTCCAAACCAAAGGGCATGCCACTGACAGAAAGCTCCTCTTAAAGCCACCTTTTAATTTTGTTCCTTCCTTGCTGCATATCTTTGCGATTTCCCACTTCCTGGAGGATGGACTTAACTTCGGAATGAGATGATGTCACTCCATTCTCGGTGCCATGAAGGAAGGGACAGTGTGCACCTTGCTCATCATAGAGCCAAGTGCCTGGCCCATTGTAGACCCAACAACCAACAACGGACCACCCTCCCTTTGGGTGGTTGCCTGGATCACAGCCATTGCCCCTTCCAGGGATGCTGATGACATACATGGAGGGGCCACTGACACCTCCCCTTGGCCATAGCTGTTGACAAAGAGGGTGGGCTTTTGATACAATGTATACAAACAGATACTCTTTACAGAAAATGGAGAGATCCTGAGATCAGATGTCATGGACAGGTAGTCACATGAACATGAACAGCAGGCCGTGCTAAGGTCTCCTGTTGCCATGGCTCCCCGATGTGTGCCAGGGTTTGTGCGTCCTGAGCCTTGGCTGCTGAGATCCGCCATGTCAGGAGATACCATGACACCTCCAGTAAGTTGTCTCTTTTTCTCCCTTTTTATTCAAGTCACTTAGAGTCAGTCCCTCTTACTAGCAAATGACAGAGCATAATCTGACACATTGTTGGGGATTTCATCTGCTCATGACACAGTTCCAATCTACCTAATCCATGTTATTCTCCATAATTCTCGGTCATAATTTCTTCTCTAAAACCAGGTGACTCTTCTAATAAATTTCACTCTTTTCTAGATGGAATTTCTTCTCTCTGTTACTCAAGCCTCTCAAAGTCCTTATTGTCCCAGCCTCTGCGTGAAACGTCTTCAGCCATCAATGACATCTCACTCCTTCAAGCCCTTATGCCACTGCTGGGATGGACCAGTCACTGGACCTGCATTACAGTGGGCTTATATTGACCTTTACCTCTACACTTGTATATAACTCGTTTTCCCATTTAGTTGCAAGACACTTGGAAGCACAGACCAAGGCTTACATTTGTGTTTTAATGTTTTTCTTGTAAATGCTTTATGCCTAAATGTTTCTGTACTACTCTTCTTTCCAAATCCTTATTGTTTAAAAGTTTCTCTCCTACTATACCATGCCTTATAAATATTGATTGAATGAATGGATGAAATGCATACCTGCTTATATTTCTAATTAAAGGCAATTTGGGATTATAGTATTTGTTTTTCCAAAAATGTTTCCAATTACCCATTCCCTTGTCAGTTCCCATGTAGCATGGAAATGCAACATTCCCTTTGTAGAATGTCTGCTTTGTAATTACCCCTGTCAGGGTGATTAATGGATAGCAGTTTATGACCAGGAACCTCCGTGGTGACCTGGTGTTCAGCAGAGGCCACCTTGTCTCAGATATTTCTGCCCCTGCAGAAGGTTTTTAAAAAAATTTTTGGCTTTGGAAAAGAACTAAGGTTGCAATATGGGCACATTTGCCCGCAGATTCCCAGAGCCTGTCGATAGCTAATTGCATCCAGGCGGGAGGACTGATTTGCTTGGCAGTCCCTCCTGAATGGGAGGTGGGATGGTCAATCCAGGCTGGAGCAGGGCCAGTGCCTTGGGCCAAATGTGTTTTCTTCCTCTTGACTGGCTGTCTTCTGCCTGGGCCTGTTTTGCCCTCTGCTGACATCTCAGGCTGAGGATCTCTTTGCTGGTCTTGCAGGGCCAAAGGTGGCTGGAGGGTCAGGAGGCAATAGGAAGTAGGGCTTCCCCACCCCTCCTGCACTGGCTCACTGTCCAGTCACTGAGGTTAGAGGGATGTCTGGCCTAACCATTCCATTCTTCACGTTGCTGTTGTGAGTGTCCTTGTTTCTCTTTTTCTGAGACTCCTGGATTACTCCTGGCCACAGCTGCTCTGCTCACCTGGTGGAAAGCAGTGCTTCCTTCTCCAGGAGAAAATCCGCAATGGCTGGAGCCACGGGTGCAAAGAAAGCCCATGTACTGGGAGCAAGGAAATGAGGCTTTGAATGTGCTCTTCGAAGACTGCCTCTAGGAAGACCAGAGGGCTACTTTCCATTATTGTTTCTGTTCTCCCCTTCCAGCAAATGGCCCAGGTCACTGGGAGCTAGCAGCATACCAGCACTAGTGCAGAACTATTAGTGTACCAGGGCACATGAGCCGAATGAGGCCTGGGCAGTGTTGCACACATTTAATGGATTTTCTCACTTAACCCTCACAGCAACAGCATGAGGCAGGTACTTCTAGTAATCCTACTTTAAAGAGGCAGAAACTGAGGCACAGAGAAGTTAAATAACTTGTCTAAAGCCACATCACTCCTATCCTCATACGTACTCTTATAAGAATAATGAGCACTCCTATAAATGCTCTTACTAATCAACTACTCATTGCAGCTATATTTCAGGATATGTATATGGGTACACTGTACGCTTAGCAGGAGGTTAGGTAACAGCCTCCTACTTGATCACTCAGCAACTATTTTGGGGCACCTATTAACATGTAGACCTGTTCTACAGGCTAAAAGAAATGCCAAAAAGTAAGTGCTTGCACTATAGGTTAGAAGAAAAGATGCTTTCTCTGCGTGTCTCTCTTTCTTTCTCTAGGTGTGGGTGTTTTGTGGATGTCCCTGCAGCTATAGACAGACCTGGGATGCAGGCACTGTTCTGGGGGTTTTGTAAGCAGCACAGCCTAGTGGGTAGGAGAACAGTCCCCAGATACCCCACGTATGCTCATAAATGACTCCATTGGCCGGGCATGGTGGCTCAGGCCTGTAATCTCAGCACTTTGGGAGGCTGAGATGGGCAGATCACCCGAGGTCAGGAGTTCAAGACCAGCCTGGCCAACCTGGTGAAACCCCATCTCTACTAAAAATACAAAAAATTAGCCGGGCATGGTAGCACATGCCTGTAATCGCAGCTACTCGGGAGGCTGAGGCAGGAGAATCATTTGAACCTGGGAGGCAGAGGTTGCAGTGAGCCGGGATCACGCCACTGCACTCCAGCCTGGGTGACAGAGCAAGACTCCATCTCAAAATAAATGAATAATAAATAATAAATAACTCCATTGCCCACTAGCACCAGACATTGGATATCTGCTTAATTTTCCCGTATCCCAGTTTTTTCACCTGTACAGTGGGTATTATTATAGTTCCTAATTCTTCAGGACTACTGTAAGGGTTAGAAAAAATGATACATGTTCACTTCACTGTTTAGAATAGTCTGAGCACGTTGTAAACAATCAATAAATTGCAGTGATGATTGCCCTTACCTTTTTGCATCTCTCCGTGTATCTACAATTGCCTGCTCACTTGGAGAAAGACACTTCCTCCTGGAAGCCTCCTATGACAACTGACCCCCTCCCAGTACCTTCCTGTGAGGCATGTTGGCTGTCCCTCCTGTCGCTTTCTGTAAAGCTGTGTATGTTCTCTATAGAGTGCAAGCTCCTGTCACATATATTTATTCAGGACCTCCTATGTGCCAAGCACATGGGGCATAGCAGTGGAAATGACAGGCACCCCGGCCCTGCTGGAACTCACCATCCAGTGAGAGTGGTGTTTAGTTATTCAACAACTACTCTTGTTCAACAATACATATTGAAAAGTCAGGAATTGTAAGGAGATTTTTGGGGCACTTCACCTTCTTAGAAGTGGGGTTACCGAGCAGCTAACAGAGGCTTGAGGAAAAAGCAGGAGCTGGCCAGTTGCATTGATGGGGGGGTTTCTAGGCAGAGGGACTAGAAGATGCTGAAGCCCTGAATTAGAAAGGCATGGACGGGGAGGAGGTCATAATCTTGCCTGCGTTTCTTCCCCCTGGGCAGAGACTGGTCCCATCTGGGGTGTGAGTGTGAAGGCGGGCAGTGGGGTGAGAGCTGAGTGGGCCCTGCCTGTTGGCTGGGCTTAGCTGCTGCTCTCACAGGCTTACTTTTCCCTGGGCACTTTGAGGGAATAGAGTCAGCTGGATCCTCACAACCTTGGTATGATTCACGCCCATTTTTAAATGAGGGAAACTGAGAGATGAAATAAGTTATTCTGGTAACCAAGTTAGTAATTTAATGAGAGGCCAGTGGAAGTCTCTCTGCATGAGTATATGATCAGAGATGAAGACTTCCCTGAAATCTGTGAAGCAAAACCAGCTCTCCTCTTTTGGGTAAGAGAAATGGTAATTACGGGAAAATTGAAAAGTATCCAATGATTTTTCAGCACTTTTTAATCCCCTGAAGTGATCGTCTCGATTCAGAAACAAAACACTTGATTAACAAGGAGGGTTACCACTGCCCCGAACATATTTGGTATGTTTATTTACGTTCCACCCCACCCACTCCCAAGCAAAACAAACAAACAAACAAACAAAAAACAGAACATCAAAAACTAATACAAATCTTTGGAGAAAATATCTCGAACTTTTTGTAAATGAATGGTTACACTATGGGCAGAGTTGTCACTCTTGAAATTCAAGCCGGAAAATCAAAGCAGATTGGTGCCCAATTTTATGAGAATGCTCTGATTTTCTTCATTTCCTGAGCATATAAACAATATCTTATTGTGTGAGTGCTACTCTTTTGGAATTTAGATACAGAATATCAACTTGACTTTCAGAATGCAGATACTATGTTGTATCATTATCAACAATAATGATGTTTTCCTTCAAGTACTAGAGACATATATTTACATGTGTCCAAGGAATGAGCTTTAAAAAAAGAGAAGTAGACATTTCATATACTGGCTATCTTTCCATGTCATAGAAATGAATGAAGGGGAAATATATAAATTAGAGAGTATAAAGTGTTTCACTGAGAAAAGCCTTTAATCAGAGAGGACAAAATGGATTTCTAATATTGCTAGGCTTATAAAGTGGAATTGTGAATGCTTTGGTTAATAAAGTTGTTACTACTTCGAAAGCCAAGTTTTTGGTAGGATTTGAGGCCTAGTTATTTACAGCAATACACATGACATTTGTAACAACTAATATGGTAAATATGTGTGTCTCTGTGTGTGAAGAGAAAGGTGATATGCTCATGAAACTGCCACAAGGTAGATTTAAAAAAGCAATATTTTTATATATTAGGTTAGTGCAAAAGTAATTGCAGGTTTTGCTATTGAAAGTAATGACAAAAACTGCAATTACTTTTGCACCAACCTTTATATAGTATTTTACTTAACTTAGAGTCATCAATCATTTCCCCTGCAACTTAGCAAAGAAACTTTATTGTAGATATTTTCAAATACTGTATTTTGGCCTAAAGAACAAGAAAAGAACCCCCCCAATGTGCTCATCCTCCACATTCAACAGGTTATCAACATTCTTCCAGTCTCCTTTCATCTATTCCAGCCCCACTGTTTTCTGGGATACTTTAAAGCAAATCCCTGATACTACATCATTTCACCAATGGATACTCTCTATCTCATAGCTAAAACCCTTCCCCCATTGTAAAAATTAATCTCGATACCATTATTGGCAAAATTAACAATAATTTCTTAATGTCATCTAATTACCCAGGTCTTAACCAATTGTCCAACATTGGCTCGAAGGTAACTTTTAATCGTGGTTTGTTTGAATCAAGACCCATAAAAGATCCATACATTGAGTGCATTTCATTGATCTATTAGGTAGTCTTGAAATAAATAGTGACCCTCTCCTGCCTGTCTTTCTACTTACTACCTCCGTTTCATTCTTTTTTCTTTCCTAACATCAGTTTGTTCAAATCAGCAGGTTATGTCCTGAAGATTGGCACATTCTGGATTTGGCTGGTGGGATCCTCCAGAGTCATTTAGAGTGCAAACTTATGATACATCTGAGACTTCATTAGATTCTTATCATCAGCAGGGAAACTTCCTAGGAGATTTTTTTTATTTTATTTTAATAAATCTCTCCCAGGAAAGACCACCCGGTGGCAGTGTTAGGCACAACTTTTCCTTGGGTGAGTCTCCTCAATGCCAGGGACCTTGCCCCTCCCCTGAGTTCTCTATTTTCCCGGTGCCTGCCAGCCACACCAGCGCCTGCGCATGCGCATGCGGAAGGACTAGCTTCCAGCCCGGGGGCCGCTCTGCCTGCCGGGGAGCCGCTCCCTGGGTCCACTGGGACCTGGAGTGGGCGTGACTGACGGCTTTGCCTGCCTGGCTGCAGAAATCACTGGCTCTGCTTTGGATTCATTGGTTTAAAAGTATAAGACAGTTTTTTGAGGATGAAAAACTGAGGGTTTTCCATTTGAGTTAAAATAAGCAGTAAGATTTGCAGAATGTTCCATACAGCAGCCAATTCGATAGAAATTGATGGCAGCCCGAGTTGTTATTTCAGCCACGACCCCCTTTCCTGCTTCCTCACAAAAGATAACCACCAATTCTGTTACTTTAACCTTCAATCTCTGAGACACTTTCAGTGCTCATTTTTTCATCCAAATGTCAGGAAAGTCTTGGAACAGTCATCTACATCTTTCCGACACTGCCTCCTTGGAGATCAAAACAGTGACCGGCACAGCACGGGGACAATGTTTGCTTAGAAGTGTAGTCTACATTAAGGCTGTGGCACCAAATTACTAAATCACACTTAACCTCAGTTTATTCATTTGTAGAATGCCAACAACAATCACTAAGTAATAAGGACTAAAGGAGCGAATTGCTGTACCTGTCATATAGTCGTTGTTCAATTAGCATTAACATAAAAGCAAGGAAACTCAACTTAATTAGATTGGGTCTTCAGAGCTGGAATTCGGCTAATTTCTTGCCATTTTAAAATTTGAGTCATCACACTGAATGAGAGGCCTGGCCTTGGAATGATGGAGTAGGGCCACGTGTGTACTTTTGCAAAATTAATGAGGATAAATTAATTCACTAGTAGGTGACTAGTGCACACTGAAGCTCTAAGCTGGATATCTGAAATTTGTTAGTTAAAATTAAGTAAGAGCTATTTTACCTGGAGTATTTCCTTCCTTGTAATTTAAAATTAAACCTTCAGCCAAAGCAAGTAACTTTAATTTAAATGAATTTCAAACTCTACTCTTGCGATTCTATTTCTCTCTGTGTCTTTCTGCCTGTATAGTCATTGTGCATTAGAGCATCTTTGCTGATGAGGTCAGTTTGCTAAAACGATTTATTTTCTTAACAATTTTGAGTATATTATTTAGACCATTTAAACGGCTTTTAGGGAAATTACTGACAAGCATATTTAAATTCAGAGCCAGGTCACTATAAAGAAGAAAAAGTGGAAGAAGATAAACACCCTCATTCAACATCCAGAAGCCATAATTGTGGTCATGAATAATCGTGTATTCCTCTAATAAATTATTAGATTGTAAGCCAATATATTTTGTACAAAATCATCTTAAACATTTCCAGAAGTAAAAATTCAAAAAAAAAAATCAATCATATGGTTCTTTCTGTCACATTTTGGGTATGAACTAATTTATTTGATGATATATCAATGATGAGAAGAAAACAGGAATATTTAAGAAATTAATGATATAGTGCCATGAGTACTTTGCCAACCACTTAAAAATAAGAAGCCAAAATATTAATGGTATAAAATATGTTTATATACATTCAGAATTTTAATGAGATTCTCTTGATATGTTGTGAGTTAAATGCCAAATTCATCTGCACTTAAGCAGATCATACAGGTATTGAGAATGTGGGTAACATGTATGAAGGCAAATTTAAAACACACATTCCTCAGCTGAAAAGGTAAAATCATTAGAGATTATTTAGTGTGTGTCCAGAGAAACACAAAGTTAAGACATTTTATGGTTAGCTGAAAAATGCTGTGGTGATTTTTCCATAGACACCCTCCCTCCCCATTTCGGCTCTTGCTAGATGATTCTCATTTCTACACTGTAATTTCCAGCTTATCCTAAATATAGACTCTGGATTTCAGCCATCCTAATTAAACTGTGAAGTTCTTTTGTAGTGAGCTCTGATGCTTTGGAAATCAATTTCCAAGCTTACACAAGCAGTGTGTGTCACCTTTTTGGTTTTCTTCCCCTTTATGAATTTATCTGGAGATGGTAAATTTCAAATACTATTTTAGTGGCACATTTGTTCCATTTTTTTGGTCCAGGCTGTTAAAAAATAGTAATAATTATAAACTTCCTTCTGTTTTATAGAGATTAATTCATTCTTTCAAAAGTTTCCCACCTTAAAGTACCTATCCCCTTTCCGCACAAAGTCTTTATAGTATAAATAAAGAAAGTGAGATTAAATTGTTTTTCCTAAGGCTATTTGGAGAAACAAGTATGGGATTCTTTTCTGTTACACAAAATTCATGTTTTTTCTGGACACACAGCTGTTAGAGATAATGGGATCTTCACTAAGGGAATAGAAAGTGAGAATCAAACACAAACATTTCAGTACAAGCCACTCTACAGGATAAGGCTAAAAGCTGGTGTGCGGAATCTTGGGTGTTGGCTCAGGAGTACCTGTGTCTTGACAGTGCTCCTCCAGAGCCGGCCTGGCCCCGAGACTGCACCGAGGAGCTGCATGGACTCTGAGAGCTCACCTTCTGTGACAATGTGCACACCTTTCCCATCCTGCCTTCTGCCCTTGGAGAGCAGCCGGCTGCAGTCCCTGGGCTGGGATGATTGGAGACGAAGTTTTCTCTGACTGCAACTTTGAGCAGGGACTAAGACAATGAAAATTCCATAGGAAGGTTGCAAACTATTTTTTAACAAAACCCAGATGTCTATATCCTTTGAAGGTTCAGTTTGAGAGTAATTTTACAAGGACTCTGGTTTGTCTTTTGGCTTCAACTTGCGGAATGTGATTTTACTAGAAGTCTTCATGACTGTTGTGAGGTGGTTGTAGTGGTGGCTTTCCTTTTAAGTTGTCTTGGAAAGGCAGAAACACCTGAAATAGTCAGTGTGTTTGTCCCAGGGCTTAGGAGGTCAAGGAGCAAAAATCAAGCACTCTATGAGCTACAGTTGGACTCAAAGTGTTTTGCAACCCTGGCTACACATTAGAATACTCGTATGAGTCTTCTGAAATAGATGTTAAGTACCTGGGTTTCACATGCTGACCAACTATATCAGTTTCTTTGGGTTGGGCCAAATGTATGAGTAGGCTTTTAAAATTCCCCAGGTGATTTTAATTTGCAGTCTGTGTTGTAGATCAGAGTACTGGTTCCAAACATCGATGTCCACAGCCATGGGGAGCTCTATAGATCTCCAGGTATGTCACAGAAGCCTAAACATTACTTTTAATATGCTTTATTTGAGACAAAGTAGTTACTACTTTAGATAGCAATTTTGGAGGGTAGATCAACCAGGAAGGAGGCAATGAGAGGAAAATAAATGAAGTACTCAACAGAATGATGCTTCCGTTCTAAAAAGGCAGGGATAATGATTTAGAGGGTTAAGTTTCCTCTATATGGGTCTAAGTTATGAAAAAATATATAAAAGAAAGTTTGGTTTAAAAAGATAGAAGTTATAACAAATGTGCTATGCAACATTCTTTTTTCGGTTGATCTCACACTAAGATAAAAATGTTACATTTTGCTACTAGATATATGCTATTATAATACTGTCAAGTTAGCATAATGGATTTTGCCTACAAAACGGTCCAGTCTTGAGCTAAGATTTAGCAGATTGATACACTTTAAGAAGAAGGAACATTTTCCGGTTCTCATTGTCAGTGTAAAGCAGTAGTTCTCAAACTTAAAACAGAATCATCTGGAACTTGTTAAAACACAGATTTATGGGGCTCACACCAAGAGTTTCTGATTCAGTGGTTCTGGGTGGGACCCAAGAATTGCATTTTTAACAATTTGTGAATGATGCTGATACTACTGGTCTGGTGGTCACACTTTGAGAAGCACCGGTCAAAAGCATTAGAATAGTCATTCATAGGTTCATTTTACGTAGTACATGTCTTGGCTCAGGTTCTCTAGAAATAGAACCTGAGGCAAAAGCTTATATGTGAATGCTTTATTGGAGTATGCAAGCCCTGGGAAGCTTGTGTGAGGGAAAAGGAACATGAAGTCCAGAAGGAGGGCAAACAGATCTGAGGGTGTGTTATGGTGCTGTGGAGCTGACCTGGAGAGAGAAAGAAAAAAGAATTTACCTACCACCTCTCTCAGATGTTCCCTCCACTTCCAAGCTGTGTCTCCTTCCTGTCCAGTTAGTCACTGGAGAAGCCAAGCTCCATAGATATAATCTTGCCAGAGGGCAGTTGGCATGTGCATGGGATCCTAGGTCTACAGGCTTGGCAGCAAGACTCTGCAAAGCACCAGCCTCTGGGAGGGTAGCTTTTTCCATAAAGGAAAACAAGAGCCCCCACCCAGAGTAGCATATAAACTGACCCTGGTAAACGATCAGTGCTTCTCAAATTATTTGCTGTGAAAAATATGGTTTTAAAATTGCCACTGGTTCATAGATCCTTGCCCCACTGTGTCCTCTTGTGCCTGACAGCATGCAGTGCCACATGTGATGTGACTCAGTACATTGGCTCAGCAACACCCAGATCAGCCTAAATCTTGTTCATGCAAGGGAGTCCACTGCTCACATACACAGATGTCATGGCAACGTCAAGTTGCTGTGAAGATTTGCAAATACTGACTCTCAACTGTTTTTCTGCCCCTTTCTCTTCATGAACTGATAACAATTAGCAGACCGGGTTGTCTGCAGACCACTCTTTGGAGAGTGCAAGTGTATTAGTTCGTTTTCACACTGCCAATAAAGACATACCCGAGACTGGGCAATTTACTAAAAAGGTTTAATGGACTTACAGTTCCATGTGGCTGGGGAAGCCTCACAATCATGGTGGAAGGCAAGGAAGAGCAAGTCATGTCTCACATGGAGAGCAGCAGGGAAAGAAAGAGGGCTTGTGCAGGGCAACTCCCTGTTTCAAAACCATCAGATTGGCCGGGCACAGTGGCTGGTGCCTGTAATCCCACACTTTGGTAGGCCGAGGTGGGTGGATCACCTGAGGTCAGGAGTTTGAGACCAGCCTGGTCAACATGGTGAAACCTTGTCTCTACTAAAAATACAAAAATTAGCTTGGCATGGTGGTGAGTGCCTGTAATCCCAGCTACTTGGGAAGCTGAGGCAGGAGAATTGCTTGAACCCAAGAGGCGCGAGTTGCAGTGAGCCAAGATCGTGCCATTGCACCCCAGCCTGGGTGACCAGAGTGAGACTCTGCCTCAAATACACAAACAAACAAACAAAAAATCAGATCTCATGACACTTATTCACTATCACAAGAACAGCATGGGAAAGACCTGCCTACATGATTCAATTACTTCCCATCAGGTCCTATCCACAACACATGGGAAGATGAGATTTGGGTGAGGACACAGCCTGACCATATCATTCCACCCCTGGCCCCTCCCAAATCTCATGTCCTTACATTTCAAAACCAATCATGTCTTCCCAACAGTCCCCCAAAGTCTTAACAACTCATTTCAGCATTAACTCAAAACTCCACAGTCCAAAGTCTCATCAGAGACAAGGCAAGTTGCTTCTGTCTATGAGCCTGTAAAATCAAAAGCAAGTTAGTTACTTTCTTGATATAATGGAGGTACAGGCATTGGGTAAATACAGCTGTTCCAAATGGGACAAACTGGCCAAAACAAAGGGGCTACAGGCCCCATGCAAGTCCAAAGTCCAGCAGGGCAGTCAAATCTTAAAATTCCAAAATGATCTCCATTGTCTCCATGTCTCACATCCAGGTCATGCTGATGCAAGAGGTGGTGTCCCATGGTCTTGGACAGTTCTGCTCCTGTGGCTTGGTAGGGTACAGCCCGCCTCCCGGCTGCTTTCATGTACTGTCATTGAATTGAATGTCTGCAGCTTTTCCAGGCACATGGTGCAGGCTGTCAGTGGACCTACCATCCTGGGGTCTAATGTGCTTCTCATAGCTCCACTACGTGGTTCCCCAGTAGGGACTCTGTGTGGGGGATCCAACCCCACAATTCCCTTCTGCATTGCCCTAGCAGAGTTTCTCCATGAGAGCCCCACCCCTGCAGCAAACTTCTGCCTGGACATCCAGGTGTTTCTATACAACCTCTGAAATCTAGGCAGAGGTTCCCAAACCCCAATTCTTGACCCCTGTGCACTGGCAGGCTCAACACCAAGTGGACCTGCCAAGGCCTGAGGCTTGCATCCTCTGATGCCATGGCCTGAGATCTATGTTGGCTCCTTTCAGCCTTGGCTAGAGCTGCTGGGATGCAGGGCACCAAGTCCCTAGGCTGCACACAGTAGGGGGACCCTGGGCCTGGCACATGAAACCACTTTTTCCTGTTAGGCCTCCCAGTCTGTGATGGAAGGGGCTGCCACAAAGGTCTCTGATGTGCCCTGGAGGCATGAGGCATTTTCCCCATTGTCTTGGTGATCCACATTCAGTTACTCATTGCTTACGCAAATTTCTGCAGCCAGGTTGAATTTCTCCTCAAAAAAATGGGATTTTCTTTTCTATAATATTGTCAGGCTGCACATTTTCTGAAGTTTTGTACTCTGCTTTTCTTATAAAACTGAATACTCAAGTCACCTCTTGAATGTTTTGTTGCTTACAAATTTCTAAAACTGAATGCCTTTAACAGCACCCTAATCACCTCTTGAATGTTTTGTTGCTTAGAAATTTCTTCTGCCAGATACCCTAAATCATCTGTCTCAAGTTCAACGTTCCACAAATCTCTAGGGCAGGGGCAAAATGCCGCCAGTCTCTTTGCTCCAGTTCCCAACAAGTTCCTCATTTCCATCCATAACAAGAATCACCTTTGCTCCAGTTCCCAACAAATTCCTCATTTCCATCTGAGGCCACCTCAGACTTTATTGTCCATATCACTATTAGCATTTTGGGCAAAGCCATTCAACAAGTCTCTAAGAAGTTCCAAACTTTCCCACATTTTCCTGTCTTTTTCTGAGCCCTCCAAACTGTTCCAACCTCTGCCTGTTACCCAGTTCCAAAGTTGCTTCCACATTTTTGAGTATCTTCACAGTAGCACCCCACTCTCATTACCAATTTACTGTATTAGTCTGTTTTCACATTGCTAATAAAGACATACCTGAGACTGGGCAATTTACAAAAGAAAGAGGTTTAATGGACTTACAGTTCCATATGGCTGGGAAAGTCTCACAATCGTGATGGAAGGCAAGGAGAAGCAAGTAATGTCTTACATGGATGGCAGCAGGCAAAGAGAGAGAGCTTGTGCAGGTCAATTCCTCCTTATAGAACCATCAGGTATCATGACACTTATTCACCATCATGAGAACAGCATGGGAAAGACTTGCCCCCATGATACAATTACTTCCCACTGGGTCCCTCCCACAACATGTGGGAATTCAAGATGAGATTTGGGGGAGATACAGCCAAACCATATCAGCAAGTATAGATTATTTTTTATCAAGTTCTCCAGTTATGACTTTGTCTCTTCTTTTATTACAAATATTGTATCTCATAAGAAGCAGAAATATCAATTTGTCAGAAGCTTAGCAAATTCAGAAGAGTGCAGAATATAGAGCTATTAAATATATGATTTCCAAAGTTGAAAACTCTAGGATATGTAAGTAGTATTTGTTCCAGTAGAGTGGGTTATTGCTTATTTTGTTATTTGCAAATAAAATGCTAAAAATCTCTCTTCTTTCTAACTCTAATGGAAGCCTAAAGAGAGGTCAGCATAGAGGATATAGTAGAGGCTGTGTCTTGGATGTCAAGCACACTTGGGATACAAATTCTGTTTCCATTCTTCGCTGACTTCCTGGGGAAGATATATTAATCCCTATGAATCTCAGGTTTTTCTTCAGTAAAAATAAGGAGAAGAGAATTACCTTACAGATCACATTTAAAAAGTGATGAATAAAAGAGATATCATATAATAAACATATGTCATATCCTCATTGCCCACAAATGTTAGTTCCTGTCCCCTTGCCTCTATGTGATCTGAATGAGCCTCCTATTAATGTTTTAGTAATAAGATAATTATCTTTACAGTGGTTTGGGATTAAAGAGAAGACAGGTCCAAAAGTTGGCATTGGCTTTTGGCCATTTTTCTGCAAAGGACAAATGATGATTGATAAAGGAGAGTCTGAAATAGGGAGAGAATGAGCACTGCTTTGGACAAGCTCTAGGGACTGTGACAATGTGGATTGGTATTCAAGATCTGTTAAAAGAAGTGCTCTGGTGAGCCACTTTAGCTTTGGATTGAGATCCTTAAAAGCTACAAATGAAGAGAGATGCCTTTGTGAGGATTGTACCTCAATCACTGAAATTGGACTGAATCCCAGAGTATAGGAGTATCCAGGTACCTGTAAAAGCACAATCTATGAAGGCATGTGCTTACTATTTTTTTTTTTTTTTTTTGAGGTAGAGTCTTTCTCAGTGACCCAAGCTGGAGTGCAGTGGCACAATCATGGCTCACTGCAATCTCAGCTTCCCAGGCTCACATGATCTTTCCACCTCAGCCTCCTGATTAGTTCAAAATACAGGCACGCACCACCATACCTGGCTGTTTTTTTTTTTTTTTTTCATTTTTTTTTGTAGAGACAGAGTCTCACTCTGTTGCCCAGGCTGGTCTCAAACTCTTGGACTCAAGTGATTCTCCCATCTCAGCTTCCCAAGGTGCTGGGATTACAGGAATTAGCCACCATGCCTAGCTAGACTGCCTGACTTACCAGCAAGTCTCAATCAGATAAACATTATTTTATTGTAAACAGTAAAAATATGATAAGTTTAGAATTTTTCTGTAAACAGTAAAAATATGGTAAGTTTATCTGATTGAGACTTGGTGGTATAAGACAGCCTGAACATAAAGCAACAGAAAAAGTAAAAATAAAATGAGCCTATCCAAGAATTCTGGATATTGGAGTTGTCAGTGACAGATTAATATTCTAAAGCTTAAAAATATAATAAATGAAATTTAAAAATCAGTCGATGGTTTTAAGAATAGAGTAGAACCCATAGCTAAAGAGGGAAGGAATAACTTAGATGATAACTCACAAAAAATCATGCAGATTGAAGCACAGAAAGACAAAAAGTTAGAAAGGGGGATAAAAGATATATAATTTATATTGTGAAGTTTTAATACATGTTTAATTGGAATCCCACAAGAAAGCGAGGATAAGATAGTACAGAAACAAAAGTTAAAGGGATAGTGACTGACAGTTTTTTACAGATTCAAATGTCATCCAATGACTGCAGAATATGTGGTTTTATTGTTAGTTTAAGCTCGCACATACCATTTACATAAATTTCTATATTTAGGCCATTAAGCAACATTATCAGTTGGCTTGGGTTAGATTAGATGTATTGGTTATCTACTGTTTTGTAACTAATTACCCCCAAATATTCTGCCTAACAATACAAATAGTTGTTGTCTCTTTCTTTTTTGGTAGGTCAACAGTCAGGAAATATATCTTAGCTAGGTGCCTTTAGCTCAAGGTCTTTCACAGAGCTGCAGTCAAGGTATTGGCCAGAACTGCAGGTATCTTAAAGCTTTTAGGAGGGAAGATTCACTTCCAAGATCACTCGTGGGGCTGTTTAGAGGCCTCAGGTTCTCTCTGCCTTTTACCAGAGACATAAGTTACTTGTCATGTGGGCCTCTCCATAGGGCACCTCACAACATGGCAGCAGGTTTCTTCAAAGCAAGTGACCGAGAGAGTGAAAGAGGATGCCCAAGACAGTACAAATTGTCTTCTTGGAGACATGTTTTCAAAAGTGATGTCCCATGAACTCTGTGGCATTCTATGCAATAAAAACAAATCACTTAATCTGGCCCACACTCAGAAAAAAGAATCACACAAGGATGTGATTACCAGGAGCTGGATTGGATGGGACATCTTACAAGTTGCCTAACACAATGTTCCCTTTGGCCCTTAATCTGTCCTGTCAGTCTCACATGCAAAATACATGTATACCCTCTAAATGGCCATAAAAATCTCATCCTATTATAATCTCAGCTCAAACTTCAGCATGGTATTATTTGAATCAGGTCCAGCTATGGATGAGGTGCCTCAGGTGTATTTCTTTAAGTATAATTCCTTACGTGTAACTTCTTCTTATGTGTAAATTTGTGAAATTAAGGACAGAAGTTATCTGTCCCTGCACATATCCAGCATAAGACAAGGATTGAAAAATTGCTATGTTCTTGTTCAAAAAAGCAAAAAATTGAGACCGTTAAGAACTCATTGGTCCATAGTAATTTTAAAATCTAGTTGTAAAAAAATATTGGAATCTCCTTGATTAGTTCTTAAGGCCTGGATGAAATTCTCCATGGCTCTTGATTTCATCCTGTAAGTCATCTTTCTTTTTCATGAAATGTAGCACTTGTTTGCAGCTGAGTGGTTTTGTCAGCCTGCTTCTTGCCAGTAGAATTTTTGGGGTCTGCATGCTCTTTTTCAATTTGTACTCTCTCTGACTGCTTCAATCTAAACTGGTCATTTTTTCTCCTAATATAATTATCTCAAAAACTTTGTGGGTCTCCTTAGAATTTCCTTGTGGTTCACTCCATTAGATAATAGCCGTAACTCCAAATCCCTTTTAGATAAGCCCTTAGGCTTTTTAGAGGCCCTGTTGTTCACTTAAGAGGATCTATGAGGCACACCCTAAATGTATCTAAAGGATCTTTGTGTGACTCAATAGTACTCTGGGATATCAACTTTGGACTTTCTGAGGTCTGCAAAGATTTTCTAATTCCACCCTGGGTTTCACTTCTAGACTGTTTTGTTGAATGTGCCCTTGATTTGACCTTCACTATGAAGCCATTTCTTAACTTAAGCATCACCTGTCTTCCTGAGGCATTGAGAATTCAAATCCAGAAAGTCCTGGTTCCTTTGTGACTAACAGTTCTTCCCACAATTTAACTCTCTCCCTTTGCATTTTACCATAAGCAGCAAAAAGAAACTATATGGTATCTCAACAATTTGCTTAGACATCTCCTTAGTTCATTTGACACATGCTCTACTTTCCATGTTACTGCCAGTGATGTTGCAGACCTATTTATCACAGTTTAACAATGATTTCAGTTCCTTCAATTTTCAATAGCATGTGTGCCATTTCCTTGTAAATCCTCACTGTCTGTGTCCTCAATATCCACAGTTGTGTTAACAATTTGTTTATAAAAATTGTTGCTTCTCCAATATATTCCAAAAAATCTTTCCAGATGTTATCTGGTTCCAAACTACTCCCAAATTTTAAGGCATTTGTTATGGTATGACCCCATTTCCAGATACTAAAATATGTGTTATATAGTTATTGCTGCATAATACCTTACCCCATACTTAGTGTCTTAAAACAACAAACATTTATTATTTTACAGTTTCTGTGGGTCAAGAGTGTGGAAGTGGCTAAGCAGAATGAGTCCAGCTCAGAATCCCATGAGTCTGCTAATCAAGCTATTTTCTGGGGTTGCAATCATCTGAAGGCCCAGCTGGGGCTAAAGAACGCACTTTGCAGCTCGCTTTTTGCCTGGCTCAGAAGATCCATTTCCAGACTCACTTACACTGGCAGGCCTCAGTTCCTTGCCATGTGAATCACTGGATGGGCTGCCTGGACCTCCTCAGGATACAGCAATTGCTAATAAAAGAGGTTTAAGGGGAACCAGAGAACTAGACGATAAAAGAAGTTGGCTAACATGAAAGCCCCACCTCCAACATTGGGAATCACATTTTAACATGAGATTTGGAGGGGACACACATCCAAACCATTTCAGACCCCAAATGTCATTGAGATTGCCTTTGGCCCTTTGTCATGTCTTCTTCATTTCATGACTCAAGCTGGCATAGTTACCTCTATCAGGGACACTGATAGTCTTTTGGCCGAGGGAAAAGAGATCTCAGAAACATCTCATGTCACTTCCATGCACATTTGGCTGAACAAAGCAGGTTACATGGCTTAAGGCCAACATCAACAGTGCAGGAAGTATACTTCCACTGCAGAGTGGAGCATCAAAGGCAAGGTTGTAAGTTTTAAATAATAATGCATTCTTTCATAGCAAGCCTTAGAGGTTTCAGGGGATTGAAATCATGCAGCATATGTATATATATACATATATACACATACACACATATATACAGACATATACACATATATACACATATACACAGATATATACATATATACACATATATAAATATATATACATATATATAAATATATATATCTCCATGATGCAATTAAGCTAGAAAACAATAACAAAATGATAATACAAAGTCCCCGTATGTTTGGATATTTAGGAAAATAGAAGTTCTGGATGACCCATATAGCAAAGAAAAATAATTATAAACTTAAAAAATGAAATTGCTATATATACCAAAACTTGTGAAATACAACTAAAGTCACACTTAGACATTTATAGCATTAGGTACCTACATTTGAGAAGAAGGTTTAAAAATTCATGAACTAAGCATTCAAGGCAAACATCAAAAAAAAAAACACAATCAAATTAAACCCAAATTAATTGGAGGAAAGAAAAGAATAAAGAGCTGAAAATATTTTTTAAAAATAGAAAACAAATAAAAGAATAATTAATAATTAAAATAGTAATAACTGATAATAATTCATTGAGAAAGGACTTGTATAACCTGAATGACACCTGTTGAAACAGATCTAGAAAAACAGCTGAAGGCACAGATAGCAATAACAGGAATGGAAAAGGAGACCTCAGTAAAAATTTACAGTCATTAAAAATATCAACATTATCATAAGCACATTTGTTTCAATGCATTTATTATGAAATTGGTAAAGTTGTGAGAAAGTGTCAATTCCCAGGCTGGCTAAAGCAGAAATATAAAACCTTAATAATCTTTTCACTTAAAAAAAATTGAAGCGTAATTATAAACCTTCCCACAAATAAAATTCCAGATCCAGATGGCTTACCAGTGGGTTTACCAAACGATTAAAGAATAAGTATTATCAATCTTTCACAAATTCTTGCAGACAATAGGGAGAAAAGGAGGAAACATTCCAGAACTAGTTTTAAAATGTAA
Source organism: Homo sapiens (assembly GCF_000001405.40). Taxonomy (NCBI): domain Eukaryota; kingdom Metazoa; phylum Chordata; class Mammalia; order Primates; family Hominidae; genus Homo; species Homo sapiens. The sequence continues at coordinate 102,861,535 of NC_000002.12, forward strand.
TCTTGATGTCAAAATTTGCTAAGGTAACTATGAGAAAGGATATATTACAGGTAATTTTACTCATGAACATAAATATAAAACCTCTAAATAAAATAATATCAAATCTAATCTTAAAAATTATAAATAATATAATCCACTATGACACATTAGGTGTATTCCAGGAATGCAAAGTTGATTTAACATTTGAAAATGAAGCAATGTAACTTATCGTATTAACAGAATAAAAGAGAAAAATTATGATTATTTGCATAGATGCAGAAATTTCTAAATAAAATTTAATATCCATTTATAATTTTACAAAAGCTTCCCAACAAACTAGAAATAGAAAAAAAAACTTTCTTAACTTGAAAAGGATCTACAGAAAACTTACAGCACACATCACGCTTAGAAGTAAAACGTGAAAGCTTTCTCTTTGAGATCAGAAAATGACAAAAGCGTTGCTGTCACCATTTTACTCAATATCATACTTGATGCACGTGAATAGAGTAGAGTAAGAAAAATAAATAAGAGATTTAATAATTGGAAAATAGTAAATACAAAAGCCACTATGATGTAATAAAATAGGATTATATATGAAGAGACTTTAGAAGAATCTACAGATAAATTGTTGTAATCAACAAGTTCAGCAAGAGAGGTGAGCAGCATATGTCTTAGTTCAGGCTGCTATAAAAGAATACCATCGACTGAGTGGCTTAAATAACAGTCATTTATTTTTCACAGTTCTAGGGGCTGGAAGTCCAAGATCAGGTTGCTGGCAGATTTGGTTCTTGATGGGGGCCCGCTTTCCAACTTGTGAACAGCCGCCTTCTCACTCTGTGCTCACATGGCCTTTCCTTGGTGCCTTCCTCTCTCTCTTCCTCTCCTAAAGGCACTGACCTCATCAGGGGGAACCCACTTTCATGACCTCATCTAAACTTAATTACTTTCCAAAGCCCACACCTCCAAATACCATCAAATTAGATGTTAGGGTTTCAATATATGGATTTTGAGTCATTCAGTCCATAACAGCATACAAATATATAAATATGCAAAGTACATATATAATACACAAAATATTTATAAATAAATTGAATTTTTACTTATCAACAAAAAAAACATTAGAAAATTTACATAGATGCCATTTATAATAATAAAATACCCAAAAGTACATCATACAAAAGATGTCCAAAACCTCCACCCAGAAAACTATAAAAAACCTAAATGAATGAAAGGATATATCAAGTTTATAAATGAGAAGACCCAATTTGAGAAATATGCAAATTGCTTCCAAACTGATTTACAGTTTGAGTGCAATTTTAATCAAAATTCAACTTTGATTTTTCTGGAACTTTGTTTTATTTTACCATTGCTGTGAAATGCAAAAGTCTAAGAATGGCTAAGACAGTATTGAGGAAAGAAAAGCAACGTAGTAGAACTTACTAGACATCAGACTTAAAAAAAATAAGACAAGCTCTCATCATCTCAAAGATAGGCAACCATACAATTGAAATAGAATAGAGTGATGATTTTAAATTTAAGAAATTCTGTTCTACAAAGTCATTCAGTAAGGGATTAAAATAAATGTCACAGAGTTGGGGCATGTATTTGTAATACAGGTACATCCCAAAAATTCATGTCAAACATTTACGAGGAACTCTTATATATCAGTAGGAGAAAGACAAGCAATCTAATTTAAAAAAAAAGTAGGAGACTTGCAAAAGTACCTCTCAAAAGTGGCCAATAAGTGTATTTAAACATACTTAACCTTGTTGATGAACGAGGCATCCAACACACACATCCAACACGCACATCCAACACCACAAGATCTGCTATGCACGTAACCTATAGAGTGGCTGAAATTTAAAAAGACCAATGATGTGTTCAAGGAAAATAAGCAATATTAACTTTAATGCACTTCTAACGATGGTAAATCTTGGTAGAATCACTTTGGAAAATGGTTTGGAGTTAGCTGCTAAAGTTGAAGATAATCCAAATTTATGATCCAGAAATTTCACACCTAGAAATGTGCACTAAGGTATCATCTATAGCTATCATTCATCTCTCTCTCTCTCCCTATATAATATATATATATATACACACATATATGAAAATTATATATATACATATGAGAATGTTTTTATAGCATTATTATATCAAGCAGGGAAAAAACCCAAATTGCCATTATCAATAGTATGGATGAATAAATTGGATATATTTATACGGTGGCATAATATATAGCACTGACAATAAATTCACAACTAGAAACAAAAACATAGATGAGTCTCACAAACATAATGTTGAGCAGAAAAGTTTCAAAACAGGTGTACCTAAGCCATAGAGTCTGGAATATGCATGTTCATGTGGTACAAGTACAAAGAAGTGATTTCCATGGACGTCAGGACAGTGCTCGCCTTTGATGAGGGCAGAGAGGGGCTTCTGAGGGAATGCCATGCTCTACTTTTTGGTGAGGTTTGTAGTATATTTATTTACATGCATTAAACTGAACATTTTTACTTTTCTACACTTCAAAGCAGGGAGGCAGCTTCATATTCCTTCTTCTAAACCTGTTACTTCGCACATTAAGAAAACATGGAAACCAGTTAGAAGAGAAGCTGGTAGAGTCATGAACATTAAAAACTAGTTGTAATCTTGGAGTCACATTCCGCTTTGATTGTATCTTGGGCCCTCGAGTTTTCCTATGGCTGTTTTTACTGTATCACCAACCCCAACCAAGATCATCATCACCAATGGTAGTATTTTCCAAATAGCGTGTTAATGTGGAAGATAAATCAATGGGTTTTGCCAACATTTAAAACAAATCCTTTCTAGTATTTCATCGCCAATTTAGAACATCATTGGGATATTTTAAAGTGGATATTTAGCCACCAAGCAATAATATGTGACTAGAAACTAGTGTCTTCAAATTCTAATTCTAGATGGATAATTTTATATCCCATTTTTAGATGTGAAGGCCTAGTCTTAAATTGCTAATTTACCATTTGCATATATTCTTTTTTCTCTTTTTTTTTTTTTTTTTTTGAGACAGAGTCTTGCTCTGTTGGCAAGGCTGGAGTGCAGTGACACAATCTTGGCTCACTGCAACCTCCGCCTCCCAGGTTCAGGCGATTCTCCTGCCTCAGCCTCCTGAGTAGCTGGGACTACAGGCACATGCCACCACGCCCAGTTAATTTTTGTATTTTTAATAGAGACGGGTTTTCATCATGTTGCCCAGGCTGGTCTTGAACTCCTGACCTCAGGTTGATCCCCGCCTCGGCCTCTGAAAGTGCTGGGATTACAGGCGTGAGTCATTGTGCCTGGTGTAAGGTCCACATAAATTCTTATAAAGTGAGATTATTACTCTGTACAATAAAGAAATGTGAGCTTTGGAGAGGTGAATAAATAATTTTCCCCCACTGAGTGACTCTTTTACATTGAATGGTCTTTATGTTTGTTTAAAAAAAAAAAAAGATTCCACTAGATCATCACTCAATAAACACTGTGCTCTTGGTACATAGAAAGCCTGATGCTGGATGCTACGAAAAAGAGGAAAAGAAGATTATTCCCATTCTTCTGAGGAGTCTATAATCTAGTCAAGGAAACAAGTACAGAACAGATGCAGCTAAATTACAGTGTAAAACAACACTTTTAATGCCCTATTTGAAAATGGTCTGTGTTCAGCCATATAGATGGAGAAGCTTAGCAAGTGCACATGGAGAAGGTGGTTGGTCATCTCAAAGTTGAAAAGCGAGGAGAGAAATGCTGTAACATGGCCTTTAATGGTCTCTAAACTCCTCTCAGTGCTAGACTTTTAAAATTCCACAACTCTGTAAGGGGACCTATTTTTTTTCTTTTAATGGTAGCCCGCACAGGACACCTTCATTTACATATTGCAAATAATGAACTTAGTCTGCAGGGACGAGTTACTGCCACTAATGTCATGAAACTGGGTTAACATAATATTTCACATAACTATCTGCAACCCCCTGACAGGTGCTGCCATGCTCTAACACCTCTGTTTTTGTGATGACACTCTAATAGACTAAAATGATATCACATTTATGTGATAGGAGATGACAGGGTTGAGAATGTAATACTCTGGTCCCTCTATCTGTGTGATAAAAAAATGAGTGCCGAGAGAACTTCCAAGAGGTGGACGTGCAACCTCCCCAGGTCCCCACATCTAGAGGGAAGGTTTAGGCAGTCTAGAGTGGGGATGCCTTCAACTAGTCATCCTGGAATTCCACTGCAGGGAGAGGTGTCCTCTCACTGGTCCAGCTGCTGAGCTACTGTGGTACAAAAGGGCTAGGCCCACAGGGTAGCTGCAGGAATGCCGGGGGAAGGGTCCACCCAGAGGTATTCCTTCCCAGGGAAATTCAAAGGGGATAATTTGTGCCCGAACAACGGAAAGAGGTCTGAACTGGGAGTCCATATCCTCAGTTCTAGTACCTATTTCTCCATAATCTCTGATTCCTTTACTTTTCTGGATCTCTGCTTTCTCATCTATAAAATAAGGGGTTGGATTAGAACAAATCAGTCATTGCAATTTCAAATCTGTAAGAAGCCAGGCAGGTGAGGAAAGTGTGTAAAGCAGGCCTAGGATCAATGAGATGGGGTGCTTGAGCCTGAGGCAAACTGGAGCCATGCAAGGCCCAATTAAAAGAGTTAAAATTTGGCCAGGTGCAGTGGCTCACGCCTGTAATCCCAGCACTTTGGGAGGCCCAGGAGGGTGGATCACGAGGTCAGGAGTTTGAGACCAGACTGGCCAACATGGTGAGACCCTCTCTCTACTAAAAATACAAAAATTAGCCGGGTGTGGTGGTGCATGCCTGTAGTGCCAGCTACATGGGAGGCTGAGGCAGGAGAATCTCTTGAACCCGGGAGGCAGAGGTTGCAGTGAGCCGAGATCACGCCATTGCACTCCAGCCTTGGTGAGAAGAGCGAAACTCTGTCTTAAAAAAAAAAGAGTTAAAATTTGTTTTTAACACTATGCTGGGTTTTAGTAAATGGACATATAGTTTGTAAATGACTACTTTAAATCAACTGTGAAGTTTCTTTTCATTTGACAATGTAAATACAAATGTTCCACAAAGCATTTGATAATTATGTGACATCTCCACTTTAGTTGCATAAGTATGGTATATTAATTAGGATTACATTCAGCTGCAAGTAAAGAATCCCTCAAAGGTAGTGAATTAAATAAAATAGAAAATTATTTCTTACTCTTTTAAGAGTTCAGAGATAGGCAGTTCAGGGTACATCAGCAGCTCCACTCCACAATGCTCTTGGGGGCCCAGGCACTTTCAGGCCATTCCAAAGGTGTGACTCTCGTCCTCATAGTCTTTGTTCCAGGCTTTGAGATGGAGGAAGGGATGAAGAAGAAAGAACAAAGAGCTGGTTTTTTTTTTTTTTTACATTAAAAAGAAAGAAAGGGGAGGAAGGAAAGAAGGAAGAGAGGAAGGAAGAAAGGAAGGAAGGAAGGAAGGATGGAAGGACAGAAGGAGGCAAAGAGGGAAGAAGGCGTGCAGTTTCTTAAAGAAGACCAGAAACTATCTCACGAGTCTTCCTTTTCCATCTCATTGATGAGAATTTAGTGACCTAACTTCAAAAGAAGCTATGAAATGTAGCCTTCACACTAAGCACTCATGTACAGTTATGCACTGAATTGTGTCCTCCCCTGACACAATTCATATGTTGAAGCCCTAACCCCCAGTGCGATAGCAACTTGGGGATAAGGCCTTTGGGGAAGTAACTGAGGTTAAATGGGGTCATAAGATTGGAGTCATTATACAATATAATTGGTGTTTTTAAAGGGAGAGAGGGCTGGGCACTGTGCTTCTACTTACTAGGGAGGCTGAGGTGGGAGGATTGCTTGAGCCCAGGAGTTTGAGGTTACAATGAGCAATGATTGTACAACTGCACTCCAGAGTGAGAGCCTGTCTCTTAAAACAACAACAACAACAACAACAAAGACAACAGCAGCAGCAGCAGCAACAACAACAATGAACTAAATTAAAAAAAATAAAGATCAGAAAGGCTTTGTGGGGGCAGAGTGAGAATGTATCTACAAGCCCTGAAGGGAACCTTCAGTAGAAACCAAATTTGCTGGCACCTCAATCACGACTTGTGGTCTTGAGAACTGTGAGAAAATAAATGCCTGTTGTGTAAACCATTCAAACAGTGTTTTATTTATTTTTTATGTATTTTTCTTTTTATGGTTGCCGAAGCTACCATAAAATACGTGCAGGTAACAATGCTGTTAAGTTGGAAGAAGAAAAGCAGATATGACAGGACAGTGAACAGTCACTGCCATTGCTGGCTTTAGGTTGCCATTGGTGCTGGACCTCAGAATTACCCAAAAAGATTTTGCTAGATTCTGGAAAAACATTGTGATGATAAATATCTGAAATGTATTTCTCTATAGTTTTTTAATTCTCTCAGTTGAGTAGAGGTCACTAAGAGAAAACCCTGAGAATCATGAAGAATAGATTCTGGTTGATCTTCACTGTTAAAAATCTATAAAGATTCACGTAAGTGAGTGATATATTAAGTGTGTTTATACAGGTTTGAAATCTACATTTGTGTGGTAGGTACCCACTAAGATGGCCCCAGTGACCCCTGGACTCGTGCAGTGGTGTGATTCCTTCTCCTTGTATGTCCTCTGGGTTTAATGTTGTTGGAAGGACTTGGTGATGTATTATCAATGGATACAGCAATAGTGGTGGGAAGCCACTTCTGAAATGAGGTTATCAATAACAGCGGCTTCTGTCTTGCATTTTCTCTCTCTCTCTCATTCTCTTTCTGACTTTTTGCTTGCTCTGGGGAAGACAGCTGCCATGTCCCATGTCTTGAGAAGGCCACCTGGGGAGGTCCATGTGCATGGTCTTGGGTGCAGATCTTGGGAGTCTTTCCAGTAGCCAAATGAGTGAGCTCAGAAGCAGATCCTCTCCTAGGCAAGCCTTGAGATGACTGCAGCCCTGGCCAAAGCCATGAATGCAGTCTCATGAGGGTCTCCAAGCTAAGCCACTCCTGGAGTTCTCATTTACAGAAAACATATAATAATAAATATTCATGTTTAGTGAATAAATATTCACTAAGTTTTGTGTTAATGTGTTATGCAGCAATAGATAACATATAATCTATTTTAAAGTTTGCGTTCAACACAAGAAGTTGTATCAATGAAGCCCAATGTGGGCTAGGAAGTTTCATTCATTTCATGCTTATTATTAATCATTATTATGTTTGCTTTGATCACATTACTTTGTTATGCAAAGGTACTAAAGAGGTGAGATATGGCTTTTGCGCTCAAGAAACTTATAATTTAAATGCAGAAACTAAACCAAAAATAGTAGTATTTGTTTTATCATCTTAAGAGTTTATGGCTGGGCGCAGTGGCTCATGCCCGTAATCCCAGCACTTTGGGAGGCCGAGGTGGGCAGATCACGAGGTCAGGAGATCCAGACCATCCTGGCTAACACAGTGAAACCCCGTCTCTACTAAAAATACAAAAAAATTTAGCCGGGTGTGGTGGCGGGCGCCTGTAGTCCCAGCTACTCGGGAGGCTGAGGCAGGAGAATGGCGTGAGCCCGGGAGGCGGAGCTTGCAGTGGGCCGAGATCGCGCCACTGCACTCCAGCCTGGGAGACAGAGCGAGACTCCATCTCAAAAAAAAAAAAAAAAATATATATATATATATATATATATATATATGAGTTTACATTGTATTATGATAAATCAAACCCATCATTCCTTAAAAAACTTCAAGTTGCCTCTTTTGCAAGTAACAGAGGGCCTGGGGATAGGCAGTTTAGGCCTGGTGTGGAGGCTCAGTGATGCCACTGGGAACCCAAGTGATCCTTAGCTCCCTGCTCTTCTATCCACAGCCCACAGATTTCTTCCATCCGTAGCCCACAGATTTCTTCTTCTCAGTTGTTAGTACCTTGTGTACCTCTGCACATTTGTCTGGGATCCAGAGAGGAAGAAGGGGAAAGGTGGGCCAAAGGCACATGGTAGCTGCAATGGGCTTTCTGTCACGCTTGTCAGATACCGATTTACAGGGGTGAAATAATACCTGGTACTAATGCCAATAGAATACTCAGAGATTTAGGGGATTTAAGAGTTTTATTAAAAATGGTACTTATTGTAAAATATCATGGGTTTGCTTCAAGATAATCTCTTGTTTTTCTCATTAATGATGCTACAAAGGCAAACAAATACATTGTGTCTATCCAAACATAATTTTTCTCTTCAGTTGAGTAAGTTTGAATGACAGTATTATTGAAAGACAGGAGAGGCTCAAAATTAACTATAATAGATGTTAATAAATGTAGGATCTACAGAAACACTAAAAAATTTTGGTCAGAAAAACCTTCTACCTTTGAAAAATTTATGCAAATTCACCCAAACTGGAAGTCAATTTGTACATTTTTTGGTGGAAAAGAAGGGACGTTGAGTAAGGCTAACAATTTTATTTTAACGTATTTCTCTTCTCCTGACCCACTGCATGTCTCAGAAAAAAAAAAGGAAAGATACTTGAGAGAAAGTGGTCAGTTCTGATGCAAAAAAGCATAACTTATGAAAGGGTCATTCTGGATGGCTGCCCGTCACTTGAATTTCCTTACGTGCAGTTTACCCACTTCCACAATTGAAAAGTAATGTTTATTTATGTTAGCTCATTTGGATTTATTTACTTATGGTAGTGACTATTTTCTTTTAAAAATTATCATCAAAATGTTTAATTTGGGGTATTTAGAGTGTTTAAGTTGTTTTACATATTCACTTAGGCTGATATTCTAATTGACCTTTTCAAGAGTCATAAACTTATATTCTTCTTCTGTATTTCCAAAACACAGTACCAGATGGAGGGAGGACAGAGGAGAAACAACTATTTAAACCTCTCCAAGATAAGTGAAACAGTTGGGTCTTTGTCTCCCTAATGTCATAGGTATTCTAAACCCAATGGAGGGAAAAGTTTGAATGCATCCTGTAGCTAATGTTGAACATTTCCCATTGTAGAAAAAGTATAGACATTTTACAAACCTGAATTAGACTAGATTCAGGGGCCAATTTTACAAAAATCACTGTACTGAGATCATGTCTATGTGGTACTGAAAATATTGAAATCAAGTGGATTTTCTCAATAAAAAAATTGAAATTGGTCATTTGATGTCTTGTAGACAACCTGGTTATTGAATACAATTTTCCTTTCCATCTTAAAACAAATTGCCAAACAATTATCTTGGTATCTTTGGAGTCAGCATCAATCTGAGTATCGTAGCCAATTTTATTTCAATGTCTTCAGTAACATCCACATTTCAGCACAGAGAAATCTTTGGAGCCATTCCTGGTGAGCCTCGTGCATTAATAAAACCAGGGTGTAGGCCTGGGCCATGATGGGAGAATTGAGAATGGTGTAAGCATGAATACACCATCCAAATCATCAGGACACATTTCTTCACTTCCATGAGCTTTGATCCCTTCTTTAGCAAAAAACATGGCAGTGTGTTATGTCAGCAAGACACAGGTCAGTGTGACTTATGATAATGATGACAGCAACAGTAAAGATGGGTGACATTTACTGAACCCTTATCATGTGCCAAGCACAGACCTACACCAAATCAGGACTCTCTGTCACTTGCCCTCATTGTTTTTTTTGGAGAAAGGCACCTGCAGGAGGAAAGGCAGATTGGAGAACTGTCAAGACATGGCCAGGCACAGGCATCTTCCCCTCCTGGCAGCTAAATGTCCAGATATTTCCTCCTCACCCTAAGCCTATTTTATTTTTTTAATAAGAAAGTTTGGGCCAAATTCCTTTCACATACAAACAAGCTGGGATATATACACAAATCTTTTTTTTTTTTTGAGATGAAGTCTTGCTATTGTTGCCCAGGCTAGAGTGCAATGGCGCAGTCTCGGCTCAGTGCAACTTCCACCTCCCAGGTTCAAGCGATTCTCCTGCCTCAGCCTCCCAAGTAGCTGGGATTACAGGCATCCGCCACCACGCCTGGCTAATTTTTGTATTTTTAGTAGAGACAGGGTTTCACCATGTTGGCCAGGCTGGTCTCAAACTCCTGACCTCAGGCGATCCACCCGCCTCGGTCTCCCAAAGTGCTGGGATTACAGGCATGAGCCACTGCACCTGGCCACACACATCTTATTTAATGCATATAAAAACCCATGAGACTGGTATAATTATAATTTCCATTGTAAAAATGAGAAAACTGAGGTTTAGAGAAGCTTACTAAGTTGCCTAAAATTACCTAGCTCCTGGCAGGCCAGAGATTCAGAAAGACTTTGGCTTCCCAACGCCCAAGCTTAGCCATTCCTCTTCATTTCCCCTTGTTGATGATCATTTCTGAGAGGCTGCACCACAACGGAGGTGGTGGGGGTCACATGATCCAAATGAAACCTGCCATACAGAGCGTGGGTCAGGGCTGGCAAGTGATGACGTTGAGGCCAAGAGTGATTTTGAGGGCAATGAACCTAGTAAAAGTCCAGGTTAATTAGAAATTGGAGCAATTTTCTCTGTGGGAATTTAATTTGGGGTTTGAAAAGAATTTGGGGTTTGTAAAGAAATGAAGCAAGGGTCCAAGTCCTGGGATCCACGTGGAGAAGAGGTCCAGAAAGAAGACCTTTGAAGTTGGCACCTTTCAGCTGTTGGTACATTTTATAAATTTTTCATCCCTTGTCTTCTTCAGGAGCCAAGATTTGTCAAAGCTTCCAACCACTCTTCTCTCCTTCCCCTGTCCCTTCTGACAACATCAGTCCACACAATTATCCACAATTAATAACACCTCATTTCTGTCGCTCTTGGGGGCCATGAGTTTCCTAACTGTGGAGGTTCCTAACCCTATGCAGCTCATGGGGGCTTGAGTTTACTTCTATCTCAGCGTAACTGTGAAACTAGCCAAGTCCTGACACCTCAGCAGCACTTTACCTCTAAAAAGACAGCAAATTAGGACATTAGTAAGACTGTTTTTTGACCTAAAATTCTGCGGTTCTTCCAATGTAAAAAAATAAAAATAAAGTAAATTACAATAAGTGAAGACTTGACATGTCATTTCTGGAAAGTTGCTGACCTCTAGTGTTGGCACAGACCTGAAGGAAAATTCAAACCTCTGTGTTATTTCTATCCAACTTTCCTGTATACTTCCTTTCCTTTTCTCTTATGGAGGAGAAGAAAATAGAAAGTACTTCAAATTAAAGTTCTATTAACTAAAGCTTCATTTACAGAATAAATATTTCTGCTGACATTTGACTGATTATATCAATTTTGAAGTTCAAATTTTAATAAGGTATTACCAAGCCCAAGAATAAACAAGCAAATCAGGCGCAGTTTCCTAGTCCCTTCTTTGTATTAAATGATAAGTGAACTTAAAGCTATGCTTTGTCTTATTAATGTCTGCTAAATATGGATGAATTACTGAATATATATTTATTCTTAAACTCATTTGGAGGCAAATATTTACAAGGCTTTTCTCTTATAATCTGATTTTAATATCTCAACTGAAACTGATTTATAACATGTGACTTCAAATGTGGTATTAGTTAAAGGGGCCAAGAATTAATGAGCTGATTCTATCAAGGGTTTCTTGAAACTGATTTTGAAAGGGGGAAAATATTTCTATATTTTTAATCAAATTTTAATGGTAGAAATTTTCATGGCAAATATCAGAGTCTCACATAAACAAATCTTTAATAATTTTGCATGTGCATATATTTGGTTTTATCATATTGTTAACTGAGTTAGAAACTCACTTGAATATTCTGTGCCATCAAGCGGATTTCATTTCTAGCTTGCAGGTGGATTTCTTCATTTCTTCCGGAATTAGTTACTAAGGAAGTTGGTAAGATATGTTTCCTGGAAATCTTTAAAACTTGCTGTGTATGAGACACAAGGTAGGGTGGGTTGGTGAAGGCCGACTGTCCATTTCTGCTATCAGCTAAAGACCATCATTCCACCCATTTTGTACTTGCATAGGCAGCTTCCTGCTAAGAGTCACTGGAGAGTACACAAACCTCTTCCTGTAACTGGGTTACAGTCACATTGTAGAAATGGCTAAATAATTTAACTGTAATGTAGCAAGATATGTGATAATTAGTAAGCTTTATACACTCAAAAAGTGCTCGCTCTGTGACAGTGAACAAATCCCAGGCACACTTATAATAAGTATCCACCTCCCAGAGCTTTGTGTGAATTGCTTGTGAAGTGTGTCTCATGTAACATAAAAGTAAACAAATGTAAACATATACTTAAAAAAGATATAAGGATTATTTAAAGACCAGCACACCAATTTTGGAAGAGAAGTCTTTTAGGTACTAGGCTCATTTTCTTTTTTTTTTTTTTAACTCAAGCATTTGGACAACTTTTAATTTTTTAATAAGTTGTTTAATTAAAATAATCAATTTGGTTATACTGGGTAGACAAAATTTAAATAAATGCTTCAAGTTGATGTAATAAGAAACCCACTTCAATGTATCTGTTTTATTTCTTTTCTTTTTTTCTTTTCTTTTCTTTTATTATTATTATACTTTAAATTTTAGGGTACATGTGGACAATGTGCAGGTTAGTTACATATGTATACATGTGACATGCTGGTGTGCTGCACCCATTAACTTGTCATTTAGCATTAGGTATATCTCCTAATGCTATCCCTCCCCACTCCCCCCACCCCACAACAGTCCCCAGAGTGTGATGTTCCCCTTCCTGTGTCCATGTGTTCTCATTGTTCAATTCCCATCTATGAGTGAGAACATGCAGTGTTTGGTTTTCTGTCCCTGCGATAGTTTACTGAGAATGATGATTTCCAATTTCATCCATGTCCCTACAAAGGACATGAACTCATCATTTTTTATGGCTGCATAGTATTCCATGGTGTATATGTGCCACATTTTCTTAATCCAGTCTATCATTGTTGGACATTTGGGTTGGTTCCAAGTCTTTGCTATTGTGAATAATGCCGCAATAAACATACGTGTGCATGTGTCTTTATAGCAGCATGATTTATAATCCTTTGGGTATATACCCAGTAATAGGATGGCTGGGTCAAATGGTATTTCTAGTTCTAGATCCCTGAGGAATCGCCACACTGACTTCCACAATGGATGAACTAGTTTACAGTCCCACCAACAGTGTAAAAGTGTTCCTATTTCTCCACATCCTCTCCAGCACCTGTTGTTTCCTGACTTTTTAATGATCACCATTCTAACTGGTGTGAGATGGTATCTCATTGTGGTTTTGATTTGCATTTCTCTGATGGCCAGTGATGATGAGCATTTTTTCATGTCTCTTTTGGCTGCATAAATGTATTCTTTTGAGAAGTGTCTGTTCATGTCCTTTGCCCACTTTTTGATGGGGTTGTTTGTTTTTTTCTTGTAAATTTGTTTGAGTTCATTGTAGATTCTGGATATTAGCCCTTTGTCAGATGAGTAGGTTACGAAAATTTTCTCCCATTCTGTAGGTGGCCTGTTCACTCTGATGGTAGTTTCTTTTGCTCTGCAGAAGCTCTTTAGTTTGATTAGATCCCATTTGTCAATTTTGGCTTTTGTTGCCATTGCTTTTGGTGTTTTAGACATGAAGTCCTTGTCCATGCCTATGTCCTGAATGGTAATGCCTAGGTTTTCTTCTAGGGTTTTTATGGTTTTAGGTCTAACATGGAAGTCTTTAATCCATCTTGAATTAATTTTTGTATAAGGTGTAAGGAAGGGATCCAGTTTCAGCTTTCTACATATGGCTAGCCAGTTTTCCCAGCACCATTTATTAAATAGGGAATCCTTTCCCCATTGCTTGTTTTTCTCAGGTTTGTCAAAGATCAGATAGTTGTAGATATGCGGTGTTATTTCTGAGGGCTCTGTTCTGTTCCATTGATCTATATCTCTGTTTTGGTACCAGTACCATGCTGTTTTGTTGACTATAGCCTTGTAGTATAGTTTGAAGTCAGGTAGCGTGATGCCTATGACTTTGTTCTTTTGGCTTAGGATTGACTTGGCGATGCAGGCTCTTTTTTGGTTCCATATGAACTTTAAAGTAGTTTTTTCCGATTCTGTGAAGAAAGTCATTGCTAGCTTGATGAGGATGGCATTGAATCTATAAATTACCTTGGGCAGTATGGCCATTTTCACCATATTGATTCTTCCTAGCCATGAGCATGGAATGTTCTTCCATTTGTTTGTATCCTCTTTTATTTCATTGAGCAGTGGTTTGTAGTTCTCCTTGAAGAGGTCCTTCATGTCCCTTGTAAGTTGGATTCCTAGGTATTTTATTCTCTTTGAAACAATTGTGAATGGGATTTCACTCATGATTTGGCTCTCTGTTTGTCTGTTATTGGTGTATAAGAATGCTTGTGATTTTTGTACATTGATTTTGTATCCTGAGACTTTACTGAAGTTGCTTATCAGCTTAAGGAGATTTTGGGCTGAGACGATGGGGTTTTCTAGATATACAATCATGTCATCTGCAAACAGGGACAATTTGACTTCCTCTTTTCCTAATTGAATACCCTTTATTTCCTTCTCCTGCCTAATTGCCCTGGCCAGAACTTCCAACACTATGTTGAATAGGAGTGGTGAGAGAGGGCATCCCTGTCTTGTGCCAGTTTTCAAAGGGAATGCTTCCAGTTTTTGCCCATTCAGTATGATATTGGCTGTGGGTTTGTCATAGATAGCTCTTATTATTTTGAGATACGTCCCATCAATACCTAATTTATTGAGAGTTTTTAGCATGAAGGGTTATTGAATTTTGTCAAAGGCCTTTTCTGCATCTATTGAGATAATCATGTGGTTTTTGTCTTTAGTTCTGTTTATATGCTGGATTACATTTATTGATTTGCATATATTGAACCAGCCTTGCATCCCAGGGATGAAGCCCACTTGATCATGGTGTATATAAGCTTTTTGATGTGCTGCTGGATTTGGTTTGCCAGTATTTTATTGAGGATTTTTGCATCAATGTTCATCAAGGATATTGGTCTAAAATTCTCTTTTTTGGCTGTGTCTCTGCCCGGCTTTGGTATCAGGATGATGCTGGCCTCATAAAATGAGTTAGGGAGGATTCCCTCTTTTTCTATTGATTGGAATAATTTAAGAAGGAATGGTAACAGCTCCTCCTTGTACCTCTGGTAGAATTCGGCTGTGGATCCATCTGGTCCTGGACTCTTTTTGGTTGGTAAGCTATTGATTATTGCCACAATTTCAGAGCCTGTTATTGGTCTATTCAGGGATTCAACTTCTTCCTGGTTTAGTCTTTGGAGGGTGTGTGTGTCGAGGAATTTATCCAGTTCTTCTAGATTTTCTAGTTTATTTGCGTAGAGGTGTTTGTAGTATTCTCTGATGGTAGTTTGTATTTCTGTGGGATCAGTGGTGATATCCCCTTTATCATTTTTTATTACATCTATTTGATTCTTCTCTCTTTTCTTCTTTATTAGTCTTGCTAGTGGTCTATCAATTTTGTTGATCCTTTCAAGAAACCAGCTCCTGGATTCATTAATTTTTTGAAGGGTTTTTTGTGTCTCTATTTCCTTCAGTTCTGCTCTTATTTTAGTTATTTCTTGCCTTCTGCTAGCTTTTGAATGTGTTTGCTCTTGCTTTTCTACTTCTTTTAATTGTGATGCTAGGGTGTCAATTTTGCATCTTTTCTGCTTTCTCTTGTGGGCATTTAGTGCTATAAATTTCCCTCTACTCACTGCTTTGAATGTGTCCCAGAGATTCTGGTATGTTGTGTCTTTGTTCTCGTTGGTTTCAAAGAACATCTTTATTTCTGCCTTCATTTTGTTATGCACCCAGTAGTCATTCAGGAGCAGGTTATTCAGTTTCCATGTAGTTGAGCGGTTTTGAGTGAGTTTCTTAATCCTGAGTTCTGGTTTGATAGCACTGTGGTCTGAGAGACAGTTTGTTATAATTTCTGTTCTTTTACATTTGCTGAGGAGAGCTTTACTTCCAACTACGTGGTCAATTTTGGAATAGGTGTGGTGTGGTGCTGAAAAAAATGTATATTCAGTTGATTTCGGGTGGAGAGTTCTGTAGATGTCTATTAGGTCCGCATGGTGCAGAGTTGAGTTCAATTCCTGGGTATCCTTGTTAACTTTCTGTCTCGATGATCTGTCTAATGTTGACAGTGGGGTGTTAAAGTCTCCCATTCTTATTGTGTGGGAGTCTAAGTCTCTTTGTAGGTCACTCAGGACTTGCTTTATGAATCTGGGTGCTCCTGTATTGGGTGCATATATATTTAGGATAGTTAGTTCTTCTTGTTGAATTGATCCCCTTACCATTATGTAATGGCCTTCTTTGTCTCTTTTGATCTTTGTTGGCTTGAAGTCTGTTTTATCAGAGACTAGGATTGCAACCCCTGCCTTTTTTTGTTTTCCATTTGCTTGGTAGATCTTCCTCCATCCTTTTATTTTGAGCCTATGTGTGTCTCTGCACGTGAGATGGGTTTCCTGAATACAGCACACGGATGGGTCTTGACTCTTTATCCAATTTGCCAGTCTGTGTCTTTTAATTGGAGCATTTAGTCCATTTACATTTAAAGTTAATATGGTTATGTGTGAATTTCATCCTGTCATTATGATGTTAGCTGGTTATTTTGCTCGTTAGTTGATGCAGTTTCTTCCTAGCCTCGATGGTCTTTACATTTTGGCATGGTTTTGCAGTGACTGGTACCGGTTGTTCCTTTCCATGTTTAGTGCTTCCTTCAGGAGCTCTTTTAGGGCAGGCCTGGTGGTGACAAAATCTCTCAGCATTTGCTTGTCCGTAAAGTATTTTATTTCTCCTTCACTTATGAAGCTTAGTTTGGCTGGATATGAAATTCTGGGTTGAAAATTCTTTTCTTTAAGAATGTTGAATATTGGCCCCCACTCTCTTCTGGCTTGTAGAGTTTCTGCCAAGAGATCTGCTGTTAGTCTGATGGGCTTCCCTTTGTGGGTAACCGACCTTTCTCTCTGGCTGCCCTTAACATATTTTCCTTCATTTCAACTTTGGTGAATCTGACAATTATGTGTCTTGGAGTTGCTCGTCTCGAGGAGTATCTTTGTGGCGTTCTCTGTATTTCCTGAATCTGAATGTTGGTCTGCCTTGCTAGATTGGGGAAGTTCTCCTGGATAATATCCTGCAGAGTGTTTTCCAATTTGGTTCCATTCTCCCTGTCACTTTCAGGTACACCAATCAGATGTAGATTTGGTCTTTTCACATAGTCCCATATTTCTTGGAGGCTTTGTTCGTTTCTTTTTATTCTTTTTTCTCTAAACTTCCCTTCTCGCTTCATTTCATTCATTTCATCTTCCATCACTGATACCCTTTCTTCCAGTTGATCACATCGGCTCCTGAGGCTTCTGCATTCTTCACATAGTTCTCGAGCCTTGGCTTTCAGCTCCATCAGCTCCTTTAAGCACTTCTCTGTATTGGTTATTCTAGTTATACATTCATCCAAATTTTTTTCAAAGTTTTTAACTTCTTTGCCTTTGGTTTGAATTTCCTTCTGTAGCTTGGAGTAGTTTATCGTCTGAAGCCTTCTTCTCTCAACTCGTCAAAGTCATTCTCCATCTAGCTTTTTTCTGTTGCTGGTGAGGAACTGCATTCCTTTGGAGGAGGAGAGGCGCTCAGCTTTTTAGAGTTTCCAGTTTTTCTGCTCTGTTTTTTCCCCATCTTTGTGGTTTTATCTACTTTTGGTCTTTGATGGTGGTGATGTACAGATGGGTTTTTGGTGTGCATGTCCTTTCTGTTTGTTGGTTTTCCTTCTAGCAGACAGGACCCTCAGCTGCAGGTCTGTTGGAGATTGCTAGAGGTCCACTCCAGACCCTGTTTGCCTGGGTATCAGCAGCAGTGGCTGCAGAACAGCGGATTTTCGTGAACCGCGAATGCTGCTGTCTGATCGTTCCTCTGGAAGTTTTGTCTCAGAGGAGTACCTGGCCGTGTGAGGTGTCAGTCTGCCCCTACTGGGGGGTGCCTCCCCGTTAGGCTGCTCGGGGGTCAGGGGTCAGGGACCCACTTGAGGAGGCAGTCTGCCCATTCTCAGATCTCCAGCTGCATGCTGGGAGAACCACTGCTCTCTTCAAAGCTGTCAGACAGGGACATTTAAGTCTGCAGAGGTTACTGCTGTCTTTTTGTTTATCTGTGCCCTGCCCCCAGAGGTGGAGCCTACACAGGCAGGCAGGCCTCCTTGAGCTGTGGTGGGCTCCACCCAGTTCGAGCTTCCCGGCTGCTTTGTTTACCTAAGCGAGCCTGGGCAATGGCGCGTGCCCCTCCCCCAGCCTCGCTGCCCCCTTGCAGTTTGATCTCAGACTGCTGTGCTAGCAATCAGCGAGACTCCGTGGGCGTAGGACCCTCCAAGCCATGTGTGGGATATAATCTCCTGGTGTGCCGTTTTTTAAGCCCGTCAGAAAAGCGCAGTATTAGGGTGGGAGTGACCCGGTTTTCCAGGTGCCATCTGTCACCCCTTTCTTTGACTAGGAAAGGGAAGTCCCTGACCCCTTGCCCTTCCTGAGTCAGGCAATGCCTCGCCCTGTTTCGGCTCTCGCACGGTGCGCTGCACCCACTGTCCTGTGCCCACTGTCTGTCACTCCCTAGTGAGATGAACCCAGTACCTCAGATGGAAATGCAGAAATCACCCATCTTCTGCATCGCTCACACTGGGAGCTGTAGACCAGAGCTGTTCCTATTTGGCCATCTTGGCTGCCAGCTTCTAGGCTCATTTTCTGATAAAACCCTCTCTTTCACTGTATTAGTCTGGGTTCTCCAGAGAGACAAAATCCATAAGATAGGATGTATTCCCTCTTTCTCAGGGGACTTCAGTGCTTTTTCTTCTTCAGCTGATTGGATGAGGCTCAGCCATATTATGGGGGGTAAACTACTTTACTCAAAGTCTACTGATTTGAATGTTAACCTACATAAAGGCCACACACACACAAACCAACTTCAGAGCCACATCTAGACTGATGTTTTACCAAATAGCTGGGCACCATACCTTAACCAGGTTGCCACTTAAAATTATCCATCACATGCTGTTACACAATTATACCCGGGCTTGATTTAATATCTTATGTACAAATATTTTATTTTTCTCATGTCATTATTTACTTGGTCCAATTTGAGAAAAGTTTAAATGTTTAAATCAAGTTTGTCCAACCCACGACCCATGGGCCGCATGTGGCCCAGGACAGCTTTGAATGCAGCCCAACACAAATTCATAAACTTCCTTAAAACATTATGAGTTGTTTTTTACATTTTTTTTAGTTCATCAGCTATTGTTAGTGTATTTTATGTGTGGTTCCAAACAATTCTTCTTCCAGTGTGGCCCAGGGAAGCCAAGAGATTGGACACCCTTGGTTTAAATGATTTTGTTATGTGAAGAAACCCTTCTGAGGTGTTCTTTGTGACTCTGGTCTCATCACAACTTCCTTCCCTTTGTCACAGCTTCATTGTGGTCTGTGAGTCCTCTCAGCCTTGTCTGGTTCCCTCCCTCCTCATTCCCCTCTTATGCTTTTTTTTTTCCCTAAGAAATCTCTTGCATGTCTTGTACCATCTTGGTGTCTGCTTTCACAGAACTGAGACAATGCAGTGTTGAGGGCTCATGTTTTGTAGCTGGGGGAGGAACCCAGGATGGATCAGAGTGGTCATGTGATAGGGCCCTACAGAATTCTGGTTTCTAGGCATTCCTAGGGACCAACTCAGCTGCCCAAATGCTTAGACTTCCTAATCTGATAAACTAGCACTCTGATTGACGGAACTTCTTGGAGCCATGGGTTTATGTATTTTTTAAAATGCTTAAAAAAATTTTTGAGGGGAGTTAATTAAGCTATAAACATCTTTTATATATTTAAATGCAAATAGTTAATGAATAAGTACTATGTGTAAAGTATGGTGCAGTTTTAGGAAAGATGAGTAAGTTTTGGTCTCTGCCTTTATTTAGATGAGAACATAGGAAAAACAAACCAGAATGGGGTGGCTGATATAAGAAAATGAAACAGGGAAGTAGGTGGTCTGGAAGAAAAAATGAGACCAATCACAGGCTGCTTCCAAAATAAGAAGGTAAAGAACATGTCATTTGAACTGGATCTCTTAGGATGAGATATTGCAGGAGAGGACAGTGAGACCAGTGTTTGATGGAGAGAAAAGAGTGCATGCCCAGCAAAGCAGGAAGTTCCAAAGACTGATCTGAGAGGACGGTGTTTTAAATGAAGTGAGGAAGAGGGAGTAATGCTGGATAGGGAGACTGCAGCCAGTGGTTGAGTGACCTGATGCCAGGGGAAGAAGTTGGGAATTGATTCTAGGAGAAGAATTTCGAGCAAAAATATGCCTGCATATTTTACATATTGATTACCAATCGAGCAAAAATTTGCCTGCATATTTTACATATTGATTAACAATCTGTGACTTCTAACTGTGGTCCAGGTGTCAATCCCATTCACCCTGTGAATGACATGGACCTTGTAGCATGTTTACTCACATCCTGTCAATTATTCTGTATAGAGCATGATACTAATGACATAATGACATGGCAAGTTTTAGCTCATGTGACTTGATTTATATCCAATTTAGCTTCATTATCTGTGAAATAAACAATAAGACAGGGAAAGAATAGCTACATAATGTATTTGGAGTTTATACAAATATAACTGAATAAAAAATTCTGTTGAAAGATAACATTAAAAAAAGTAGGGAAAGGAATGGGTAGATAGTAAATAGAAAAAAAATCACCCATGGCAAATTGACCTCTAAAAGAAATATTTGACAACTTCCTGAAAACAAACATTTGGCAAATGTGCCCAAGAATGTTCTATCCTTAAAATAAATGTACGTTTAAGAAACATCCACTTTGGTCTTAATAAAACAAATGATTTTTTTTTTCATGATGCATTAGCAATCCCTAGTGGGCTCATACATGTGCCAGCCAGTGTAGACATTGTCGGACTGAAGTAAAAACTGAGAAGAGCAAATACAATGTAATTAAAGACAGTCTGTTTTATAAAAATAATAATTCCATAATGACGAAATGTTATGCAAAGGTAAACACAATGCATATTAATTCTATGCAAGTTTTATTAATGTTCTTGAAGAAATTACTTATTAGTTGAATTTTTTTTAATTTTGAAAATATTCCAACTCACAGAAAAGTTGAAAGGATAATACAATGAACATCTTTATGTCCCCCAGCTAGATTCAGATTCACCAACTCTTAGCAAGTGGTCATATCTATTCTCTTTCTCACGCTCTTTCTCCTCTTTTGTCAAACTGTTCATAAGTAGCTCACAGATATGATGACATATCACCCTACTGTTACCAGAATTAGCCTGTGTAACCACTTCACCATGTCTACACTCAGGGAAGTCTCTGATGTAAAAATGAGATCTAACACACAATCCATACTCAAATTTCTCAGTTGTTCTCAAATATCTTTTTTGAAACCACTTATTGAGGTCTAATTGACATACAAAAAATGCATACATATTTAACATATACAACCTGGTGAGTTTGGAGATAGGCACACATCTGTGAAACGATCACCACTATCTCTACCAAAAACATATTATCGCTTCCACAAGATCCTTCCTGGCCTTTTTATGTATTATTATTGATACGATTTGGTGATCAGAACACTTAACATCAGATCCACCTTCTCAGTAAACTTTTTTGTTTCTGTAAGTACTATGCTGTAAAGTAGATCTCTAGGACTTATTCATCTTGAATTACTAAAACTTTGTATGCTTTGACCAAAAACACCCCATCCCCTTCTCCCCACTAAACCCTGGCAGCCACCCTCCTACTCTCTGCTACTATGAGTTTGACTATTTTAGATTCCTCACCTAAGTGGGATCATGTGGTATTTGTCCTTTTGTAACTGACTTGTTTCGTTTAGCATAGTGTCCTCCAGGTTTATCCGTGTTGTTGCAAGTGGCAAGATTTCCTCCTTTTTAAAGTCTGATTGAGTGCCTTTATAACTTTTTATTTGAATTGTTTTTTGATTCAGGATCTAATTGAGACTCATTCATTACATTTGACTGCTGAATTTTTGTGCTCTTTCCGAATCTTGAACATATCCCTAAGCCTACTCTGTGCTCTTCAAGATGTGGAAGGCTTTGATACGTCCTGCAGGATGTACCACATTCTGAATGTGACACATTCCTCCTTATTAGATGCAGGACAAACCTTTCTGAGGAAAGCACTACTCCTGTTCTTTTGGGGGGTGCTCTCTTCTCCACATTGGGAGGCACGTGATGCCAGGTTGACTCCTGACTGGCGCGATGCTCACCCAGTTCGTCGTCTTTCTTGTCCAGAGGGTGATTGACAGATCTCTCCATTGTAAAGATGCATTACCTCCTTTCTAATTAATAGCTAATCTGAGGAGTGGTATTAATGTACATGCTAATTCTTAGTTTTTAAAGCTCTGAGTCAGTTTTGGGGAGTTGGGTATTGTTGGAAGTTCTTCTAGTAAAAGTTCAACGTGACTTTACTGATTGCAGAAGTGTGCTTCTCCATATGCAGTGAAAGACAGTCAAGTTAGGGCTGGAAGGGACCCAAGTGATAATCTGGTTCAATTTCATTTTTTATTTATAGAAAATGAGGTCAAGCCATCTCAGTGAAATAGTAAGAACCATACTCCAGATCCCCCGATTCCAGTCCAATTTTCTTTCTATTATTTTTGAGGTGCATTTATTTAGTCCTTCAAGAACCAGAGCAAAATCTTGGACAATCAAAAGAAGACAGAAGGGCATCATGGACAAGGATAGATTATGCTATTCTTGGGGATGTGTATTCGGGATAATAACAGCAGAAGGTGACGGCTCTATAATATATAAAATATCATGTGAGCCACAGATTTGGGCCACACATGCAATTTAAAATTTTCAAGTAACCATTTAAAAAAATGAAAATAAAGAGATGTAACTAACTGCAATAATATGTGTTATTTAATCAATATCCCAAATATGATCATTTCAACAAGTAATCAATATTTTAAAAATTATATATAGGCTGGGAGTGGTGGCTCCTGCCTGTAATCTCAGCACTTTGGGAGGCTGAGGTGGGCAGATCATTTGAGGTCAGGAGTTTGAGACCAGCCTGGCCAACATAGCAAAACCCCATCTCTACTACAAATACAAAAAAAAATTAGCCTGGCGTGGTGGTGTGTGCCTGTAATCCCAGCTGCTTGGGAGGCTGAGGCATGAGAATCACTTGAACCCAGGAGGCAGAGATTGCAGTGAGCTGAGATTATGCCACTGGACTCCAGCCTGTGTGACACAGCAAAACTCTGTCTCTCTCTCTCTCTGTCTCTGTCTCTCTCTCTCTATCTATAGATGTGTGTGTGTGTGTGTGTGTATGTATATATATACACATATATATATAATGAAATTTTATATTCCTTTTTTTGAATCAGTATGTACCCTCTACTTTTTAGCACATCTCAATTCAGAGTAGCCACCTTTCAAGGGAGCAAAATAACCTCATTCAACCAGTGACAATGTTGTTGAATGATGCTGCTCTAGAAGAATGAGGAAATGTCAAATAGAGGTTCCTACTAAAGGGGCAATGAAAGCAATTGCCTGACACCCAAAATAGGACCTAATAGATATTAGCAGTTAGTGGTAATATTTGGAATGATAATTTTATTTTCTCTACCTAGGCCTTTAGGACTTTGGATTCCTTGAAGGTATTCAAATATTAACTAATAACTTTCAACATTTCACAAGTCTATTTAGTAATGTTATACATTTATAAAAAAATACACTGTGAGACTAACATCAATGGCAGTCATATCACTGCATAAGTCAAACTAACACTTAGGATCTGAGATGGGGTATGTGGAACGTGAGGTCACCTAGGGTGAGAAGGGGTTGAAGGTGCTATGATCACTACTTTGAATTTCTTATAATTTTGTCTTTGAATTTGTGTTTTGTAAATAAAATCAGGTGGGACTCAAGTGTGTGCTGGTGACTGCCTCTTGCTGCCTTCAGCCTCCTGCTCCCCAGAATGAGTTCTAGGCTGCTGACTTCTCACTTCATCCACAGGTCTGGATATGGCATGGGGAGGGGCAAGAGCAGGTGCATGAACCTCACACAGAGTCGTCCACACTCACCTGGCAATTACCACTGTGCCCGCAATACCACATTAAATAACAATTTAAAAATACCATGATAGCTCAGAAGAAAGGTACAAGAAAAAAAAAAAGCTTTTTTTTTTTTCCTGCTGTTTGAAACAAGGCTTCATGTTGTCATTTTACCCTAGGCCCTAGAAAGTATGTAGCTGACCTTGTGCTCAGTGTTGGAGAAGCTGCTTTCATCTGATTCCCATTGCTATTAACTGTTTTGTAGCAATTTCAATTGCTGCCATTTTAAAAAACAAAAATCAGGGAAATAATTATTTCCTCATAAAGGCAGTTTGGTAGACAAACTTTTTGAAAGAATGTGGGGCATGGATAATCATTAAATTGGACTTTTATGTAGAAAATATTGGGAACACCTGATCTGGAAGCAGAATGTGTTAGGAAACAACTAAGTCAGGCAACTCAACAAAAAGCCAAGTCATTGCATGGGTGTTAGGGGAAGAAGGCTAACTTTTGCGGGTTTGTTTTATATGAAATAATCAGTTAACTTACTGAATTTTTCACTATTGTGGACTTTCGGTGGGATTTTGTAAATATAGTGTAATTAAATAAAAAGTTTTATTTAATAATATTTGGCACTTTATATATGCAGGGATTTAGTAGGCAAGGTTATGGGCCAGATTGTAAAATTATGATCAGTAAGAAGAAAACTAAAACCAGAATAATGATATGCTATTAATAAATATGCTCTATTGACCCAAGAGGGCTAGAGCTGCATTTCAAAGTCTTTGTAAGAAAAGTGACAAAACTCTGATGCGAACAGTTTCAGGAAGCCTGACCGGGGTGCTGTTGTGGACGTTGTGCAGTGTCTCAGCAGTCCTAGCAGTGTGCTAGCACAGCTGGAGCAAGCATAGCTCTGTTCCTGCCTGTGTGTGGGCTCACCTTAGGAGGGGGTTTCTTTCTTGCTATCCCTTAGGTTTTGTTTCACTTTTAAGTTTATATTATCCACAAAGAGTATAAACAGAAATGTACTGAGAATTTAGATCATTTTCCCAGTACATAAGGACCTGTTTCTCTCCTGCTAACATTAACCCTACTTGAGACTTAGAGAAAGAGGCATCACACTTAGAAAGTCTCCTGTGGGTATAATGTCTACTCTTTGTTTCATGAAAGGATATCCTGGGGTGGTTAGCTTTTTGGTTTTCTTTCTCTCTTTCTCTCTTTCTTTCTTTCTTTCTTTCTTTCTTTTCTTTCTTTCTTTCCTTCTTTCCTTCCTTTCTTCTTTCTTTCCTTTCTTTCTTTCTTTCTTTCTTTCTCTTTTTCTTTCTTTCTTTCTCTCTCCTTTCTTTCCTTTCTCCCTTCCCTCCCCTCCCCTCCCCTCCCTTCCCCTCCCCTCCCTCCCTTCCCTTCCCTTCCCCTCCCTTCCTTCTCCCCTCCCCTCCCTTCCCCTCCCCTCCTCCCTCCCTTCTTCTCTGCCTCCCTCCCTCCCCCCTCCCCTCCCTCCCCCCTCCCCTCAGTCCCTCCCTCCCTCCCTCCCTCCCTTCCTTCCTTTCTTCCTTCCTTCTTTTTTGTGGATGGAGTTCTGCTCTGTCACCCTGGCTGGAGCGCAGTGGCACGATCTCAGCTCACTGCAACCTCCGCCTCCAGGGTTCAAGCAATTCTCCTGCCTCAGCCTCTTGAGTAGCTGATATTACAGGTGCTCACCTGTACCTAGCTAATTTTTGTATTTGTAGTAGAGACTGTGTTTCACCATGTTGATCAGGCTGGTCTCAAACTTCTGACTACAAGTAATCTGTCCACCTCGGCCTCCCAAAGTGCTGGGATTACAGACATGAGCCATCATGCCTGGCCTTACCACTCTATTTCCATCTTATATTTTTCCTTACTTCTCCTCCAGCTTTTTTTTTTAATGGTGACCAACTAAATGCCTATCAATTTATCAGAACTGTTTTAGACTTATGATTAATATCACCATTCAGGGCATTAATTCCAAGCTCTCAGAAACCTAAGACCCTGGATTGCCATTTGCTTCCTTAGCCTTCATGCCTGCTTTGCTTGAAGCAGTGTATATTCTTTTGTTCTTTGGTGACATCTATTTTCACATCATAATCCATATTACATACACTCCTTGGGAATGAATATGAGTAGTTAAATTAAACTGGTCATGAAAACAGGGAAATAATTATTTCCTAATAAAGGCAGAAGAATGCCAGTAACCTCTGGAGATAGCTTGAGGACACTTTGCTATCAGTCATAACCTTCATCTTCCCTGGTCTCTAGCCATCTTCTTAAACACCTATATCTATTTGAAATTCTTCAAAAAGCAAATTAGAAATTAAAGACCAGTTCTTATTTAGGCCGTTGAAAAAGATCAAGTGACAACTGGCTGATCTTGGGGACTTGACTGAGACCTTTCTAGTTGTGGGCTGTGAATGCCCGGCCATCAGGTCTTAGCAAGTTCCATCACCACGCACAGAGTGTGGCAGATCACGTCTTCCAGGATTTCTGATAGACACAATCCATTTTTAATGCCTTGTGTCAGGCATCCCTGCTGTCCTCTAACCATTCTTAATAATAAGACAAAAGTGATATTTTAGGGTAACAGTTAATAAATAATGTGACTTATCCAATCACACCTTTCACTAAAATATTATTATCTTTTGGCAGATTCATTACTGTAGAGGCATCAGGATCTGATGAAACATTCTCTAATTCTACCACTAGTACATTTTCCAGAGTTGTCTTTCTTTTAATTTAATTCTCCCACTCTGAAAGCATACTGTCCATTGCAATTACTGAATGAGCATTTAATCTCCCATAACTAAGGCATTTTAATCTTTTCTTATGGAAAGACGATTAAAAGGTCCTAATATTGCTATGATATGGATACATTTCATCCCGACCGAGTGAATCAAAATTTCCTTTGTTCTTATTACTACAAGTTAAGACAAACCAACTGTCTAGGCACTTCACTGCAATAGTTAAGCTACCTTTAGCACAAGGTGTGATAAATGTTTCAAAACGTAGTCTATTGATTGAATAGAAAGGTTTTCAGAACTTCCTTGGGCAGAGGTGAGCCTAGAGGTAGAGAATCGCAAGATAAGTTTTTATAGTTGTTATGGTAGCTTGGTTTACAGTCTGTTATGTTTGTCCCAAAGCAATAAATCTTTCTACTTTTAAAATGCTGTGTGGCTAACAGAGATATTGAATCACTTTGAAACCACAAGGGTTGATTTTGTTATATTATAGCATCGCTATCTTGATCATTAATTTTTTTTAATTTAAAATCTTAGTACTACACTAGTATAAAACAAAAGTTGGTGAAGTTTTAAACTTTTTAAACTTTTTAAAAATCAGTACATTTTCCCGATTTTTACCTTCACGTAACTGTTCTATTTCCCTGGAGCACAGAATGTCACGTTTAAATAATTGCATATCCTGAGTGTTTACAATGTGCATACACCTTAGTCTATTATCAACTCCAGTAAAAACACATAAATATAATCTGCAATGTGATGTTTACCTAAGAAGATAATTTCTTCATGACTATTTTGCCTGGCCTCCAACCATGGGCCCTGGTGTATGTATTTCAGTTGTACTGGTCACTGGTTTATTAGGAAGGACCTCACACTACATTATGCATTTTCATAACACCCTGGGCTTGATTGAGAAGTGTCATATCCTTTCTCTTCAACCTCTATTTCTCAGCCACATTCATTCATAACCTAATTCTCCCCTTCAGAATTGTGGTGATGTAAACCGGGGTCACAGATTAGCAATTTTGCAGCTGGAAAACAAGGCAATTCTGCTTTGTATTTTATTATGTATTTATTCCTCAAGGATCATTTCCTATTTATTGAAATTTGGAAAAACAACAATTCCTTCCAGACTGATAATGATCTGGTAATCAATGTGAAATATATTTGTAAAACAAATACAGATTTACAGATTTCTCCTGTGAAAACATTCAGATGGCTGAAACAGCCATTTTAATAGTTATACTGTATTTGAACTTTTTAAAAGATACCCTTTTAGGAGATAACATGTTTCCTGTGATTCTGCCACATGTGCTACTTTGTTATATTTTATGATGAAGACTCTTTTATACTTAGATAAAAGGTTTATTAAGTAAATGTTTGTGTTAATAGTGTAAACTGGCATAAGAAACTGTTCATGAATATTTCACAAATTTTTAACAATGATGATAGAATCAGAAATTCACAGAAAGAATATCTAAGAACTTTGAGCCATACATAAATTCATAAGAATATAGATTCACTTTGCTTGCATATTGTTTCTTTATTAACCAGGAGCTGCTTTGATTATTTGGGCTGAGGTGTTGATAGCCCAAGGTGTAGTTCTTGATTACATAGGTAAAGAAATATACATTAAGCTGAATAGAAAGCTGATAGTAGTGTAGGCTGAATGCAGTTAATTAGCTGCTTATTCAAATACCCTGTTCATTATTTCTTCCTCTAAGAATGAGACTGTTGTGTGTATATGTGTGTGTGTGTGTGTGTGTGTGTGTGTGTATGTGTGTATGTAGGGCAAAAGTAGGAATGTAATGATATTGGTACCATTTTTTTAAGAGACCTTGGGAAAAGAAGAGGAAAAAAGCTTTATTTAAAAGGATGTAAAGACTTCAACATTCCAAGGGGACTGCAGAGATTGAATTTATTTATCCTATAACATTTCTACATTGATTATTTGAATTTTCTAGTTAAAAATTTCCTAGTTAGTTCTACACTAGTGTAAAAAGGAAAACCATCATAATTTCAACCTGTCATTACAAAGCTCTGGTGGTTTAGAGGAGTTTGCTTCCGTGAAAATGGGGGTAGCCACCCTCTTCCTTAACTCTATAAGATTCTCTTCAAGGTGAAATATTATTAGGGTACAGTTAGTTACCTGAGGTTTGTAATTTGGTCTTTGAGATGTGGCTTCTTGTTTCATGAAATTAATAGCATTAGGAGATATACCTAATGCTAAATGACGAGTTAATGGGTGCAGCACACCAGCATGGCACATGTATACATATGTAACTAACCTGCACATTGTGCACATGTACCCTAAAACGTAAAGTATAATAATAATAAAATAAAAAAAGAAAAATTAAATAAAAAATAAAAGTAAAAAAAAAAGAAAACTAAAGAAAATGACAAGGTAATGAATATCTGATACAGTGCTTTAAAAAAGTCCTTTGAGTGAATATGGCTACAGGGAGGGAAATACAAATCTCATTTTGTTTGCTGAGTCAATCCTCGCAAAAACACATTTCAGTTGCAAAATTTTGCAATAAATAAGATAAAGAGATTCAGCAAAGGTTTAAAAATTTTCTGACTTCCAGTGTATAAAATGAGAATGGTCATGAAATATCCACTTCGTAAAATTACTGTAAAAATTTAAAAAGATAACATACATAAAGTTCTTAGCAGAGTGTTTAACATATACCAATAATTTGAAAGGTAAAAAAATAAAAATGTTAAGAAAAATAAACATTTGGTCACATGTCATCTCCTTCAAACTGGGCTATTGGTTTTCCCTGTAGAGATACATAGCTATTAAAAAAAAACAAAAACAAAGAAACCAATAAAACAAAACCCAGCCCCAAAACATTTTAGGAATAAATGACCTGTTAAAAATACAGCAAAACCATCCTCTGACCTTGAAACAGAGTTTATGAATTCTGAAAAGGTGAGCAAAAACATAATAATTAACTATATACCTGCCCATCCAAACAGTTATTGTGGAAGTCCTGGTCCATCTGTTTTTATAACAACTTTGCAGGTTTCAACAGGATTTGCTGCATTTAGCAAGTCGTCCAACAGCCTTCAGGGAGAGGGTGATCATGTGTAAGGCCGAAGTCAGCCACAGACAGTATTTCTCCTTCTCATGCTCTGGAATTTGGAGTCATTTTACGGAAAGGAAGTTCAGTTGAGCTAAACGGTTTGCTTCCCTCTGAATTAGAAGTCATAAAGGCCGATGGTGTAAGAACACTTCCTCCAACCCACATTTTTGGCTCAGGGCTCTGTTTGAAGCATTTTGTGGTTAAAGCCATGCCAATACCAAAGCACATAAAGACCGGACCCAACACTATTTTTGCTTGGCTGAATTGCTATGTATTTCTGTGAATGTCTAAAATGTAGAAATAATGAAACTTGCTTTGCCCAATACTGTAATTTTGCTTGTATGGACATTGTCAAATTAGGAAACAATGAAAAGAAATTTCCCCAAACTCCACCCTGTTTAAAAGGCAATTCTCATTATTCCCTTTGTGTTTACCACATCACAATGCACCTTAAACTCCTCATGGAAATACGGAGCTAGACTTTCCCACCAGCTGCCCCATCACAGCTTGTTGACTTTTATTGGACTGATTTAAGACAATGTTTCATAAATCTACATTGGGAAGCCCACTGCAAGAAGTAAGGGAATGAGTATATGGATATAGGGCAATTGGGAATGGATTTGATTTTGAGAACAAGTTTTCTTCCATTGTCTTGTTCAAAAGAAGACTGGGGAGATTTTCCTGATGATGACTTCAGAAGACTTACTGATGCTGCTTTGAGACAGGGTCCTCACATTTTTTCTTTTTAATTTATAAACAAAATATGTGTCTTTTCTATGTATCCAGTCTTTTGTCTTTGATATTAAGTGACTTAGGAAGAGAATCTAACAGTCTTCAGTCAGAATAGGGATATACTAATTTTCAACTATATAGTTGATAAATCTGTATTTTCACTGAAGAATTATTTCCCTTATGGAATACAAATAAGTGGTAGAAAAGTGATTTTGGAATAAAGCATATTAACATAATTAACATATAAAACAGAAAGGGTCATTTTGACTTCAGAAGACTCTTTCTTTCTCTCACACACACACAGACATACACGATAATGAAATCTTCCTAGCAAGTTCAGTTAACATTGGACAACGATAATTAATTTGTAGTTGTAGAATAACCTCTCTTATTTACATAGCTTTTAAATATCAGACACCTGATTTAGAAAACATTAAATGCTGAGGTAAAAATACAAAATCCTTTCTGAATAGAGGACAAGAATTTTTAATTTTATTTAGTGCCCTGACTTGACTAATTTGTCTTCACATTTTTATAATACTAAAACTGCATGCGTGGGGCTCTGTGGCTAGAAATTACTCAGTGTTGTGGAAGTAGATCGTTGGAGTTGCCCCCATTTGCCGAGTTGAGTCTGGGGTCCAGTTGGCCTCCCCGGCTGTCCTGAGGGAGGGCTCTTGGTCTCTTGGCTCTGAACCCCCCTCCCAGGTGCACCTGTTCTGCCGGGTCCTTTTGTCCTCACCAGCAGCCCCACATTTGACTGGGTGATTGCTGGGAGCCAGAAAGAATGTGAGTGGCTGGGCTCCTCTGTCTTCCCTCCCTGACTTTCCCTGGCTTCTCTCGTCTCTTGTTCCCTTAGAAAGGAGAGAAGCCAAAACGCAATTAAAGTGACTTTTTCTGAGTCATTGGCCCATAAGGGGTCTTTATAGGGAGGTTGAAATTCAATCCACTTTTAAGAAAAAGAGTTTTCTTCTCTATACACACACAATCTGGCCAGCTGTAGGTGTTCCTGGGGAGAACAAGCACTCAAAATACTCAGAAAATCGTCTATAAAGGATTGAACAATAACTGCCAGGATTCAGGAGATTTCCTGGGGATTAATGAGTAGCGGGGAGGAACTGGTGGCCTTCAACTGTACTCTGGGCAGTTAACCTCAGCCAGTCAGTCCTTCCTAAGAAACGCTTGCATTGAGGCGGCGATTGCTATTATAGGATATAAACCTAGAAGAACACTTTTAGTGTGATTTTATTTCAATGTGCCCTTTGCTTCTGAAAGACTGCAGCATCGTGTGGAGCATTTGGTGGCTAATAACACAGCATTCGTTACCCTGCGATGCACTTCTCATCACATTAATCAAGCTGATTGGAATAATGTTTAAGAGAAAAATTAATATTTTATTGTTGTAAAAAATCTTGTAGAAAACTTTTAAAATATTAAATACACAGCCAAGATTGTATTGAGATTAGAACAAACCAGGAATGATTTTTATCACAAGTACGATTATAACATTTACCTCAAGAGTGAGGATTTTTTTCTCATGGTGATACGATCACTTCAAAAACCTAAAAAAAAAAAGTATTCGGTCCCTTTCTGGCTAATCCTTATGCTAGCCAAATAGTTTAATAGTTAAAAGCTTCATAACCCAACTTTACTTGTGTTTTAATTACATGAGGAAAATCCAGGAAAAAAGTCATTTTTAATTTGACATGCAAACACTTCTCTACTTCTTATTGTGATTCTCATTCACTGCATCTTTAGAGCAGTGATCCCAACAGATTAAAAACCGGCTTTGTCACTTATGTTATTTGCATCTCAAATGAGGCAAGTTTGAGGTGAATGGTTGGCACCAATGCCAATCGAACGCTCCAGAGCAGGGGTCCGCAACCCCCGGCCACAGATCGGTATTGATTGGTGGCCTGTTAGGAACCGGGCCACACAGTGTGAGGTGAATGGCTGGTGAGCCAGTGAAGCTTCATTTCTATTTAAAGCCACTCCCCATTGCTCACATTACCCCCTGAGTTCCGCCTCCTGTCAGATCAGTGGCGGCATCAGAGTCTCATAGAGGCGTAAACCCTATCGTGAACTGTGCATGCGAAGGATCTAGGTTGTGGGCTCCTTATGAGAATCTAACACCTGATGCTCTGTCACTGTCTCCCATCACCTCCAGATGGGACCATCTAGTTGCAGGAAAATGAGCTCAGGGCTCCCACTGATTCTACATTATCGTGAGTTGTATAATTATTTCATTATATATTATAATGTAATAATAATAGCAATAGATGATAGTACACAATAAGCGTTATGTTCTTGAATCCTCCCCAAACCATCTCCCCGTCTTTTGGTCTGTGGAAAAATATCGTCTTCCACAAAACCAGTCCCTGGTGCCAAAAAAGTTAGAAACTGTTGTTCCAGAGGACTAAGTCTGCTCATGCTTGAATGTCTCCATGTCAGAGCTTACCTTTCAGGATGACTAGTGAACCACCCTACCCACACAGCAGGTCCTGAACCGTCAGCAGAACTACTTCCTTTGCTCCTCACCTATTACTTTGTTTTGAAAGTCTATGAAGTCAGCATTCAGGCTGAGAAATAAGTAGATCAGAGGCATATTCTTTAGTTCTGTTGCCTAATTGAACATAATTTGGAAGTAACTGGTTCTAGAAAACCTAAGAATGACAAACAAAGCATACAGAGTCAGCAAAGAGATATATATTTCCAGATCTCCCTTCCCCTCCTGGTGAGCCTCAGCTACCAGGAACCATCTGGTAGGGTGGAGGAGACAGGCTGGAAGGGCAGGAACTGGGGTGCAGCTTGTGGGAGTGGGTTAGGCTAATCTCTGAGGTCAGACCAGATGGAAGTGGGTGGTCCTACACACATGGGCCTGCAAGTGGACACAGAGCTGGCATCCTGCACCTTGCTTGGATATTCTCTGGGTCTGTTCTGTGGATGGCCTCAGCGTCTGAAGGGGATAGGGATTGAATGTCAAGGACAAGACATTATGTTCCTCTGCCTCTCAGGAAGGCAGCTCCTCCAGCCTCACAGCAAAAAGAGATGCAATGGAGCTTTCCTGGAGAAAAGGCACTGTCTCATTTTCTAACTCCATTACCTGAAACTCATGTGTTAAATGGGAATAGAACAGAGCTAGCAACAGAGATAAATTTTGAAATACATAAAGTTGAACCTAGAAGTCCAAACTCATTCATTCAATAGATAAATATGTAAATAGGAAGAAAATCAGAAAACAAATCATGCTACTAAAAACTTTGGAATGGCTTGAATTAAGATCAGTAGGAATCCAGGCTCAAGTTTTAAACAGATCATGCTACACACTCCTATGCACTGTGTAAGTCCACACTGGTTCAACGATGGTTCCTGATAGCTGAGGCTCACCAGAAGTTACAATTCCAGGAACAGGAAGAAAGGGGAAGTAAGTCGTCATGGTTAAGCACATGGCCCTGGAAGCCAACTCTCACCCACACCCATTAGCCACCTGCTGGGATATGAGCCAACAGGTCACTAACCTCTTTGAGTTGCAATCCCCTGGCTGCCTCTAGTCCTCAGTGCCTCTTCTTCAGTGGAGCTGCAGAACTACAGTCAGGCACTGCATCAGGACAGGTCAATCAAGGAACTGCACATTCAGTGGTGGTCATGCAAAATTATCATGGAGCTGAAAATTTCCTGTTGCCTAGGGACTTCATAGCCATTGGGATGTCACAGTATAATGCATTGCTCACATGATTGTGATGATGCTGGTGTAGGTACCTACTGCACTGCCCTTGTATAAAAGTATAGCTCATGCAATTATGTACAGTACAGAATACTTGATAATGATGGTAAACAACTATGTTACTGGTTTATTTATTAGATTATACTTTTAATTGTTATTTTGGAGTGTTAATAACTTATTAAAGAGAGAAAAAAGAAAAAGTTAACTGTAAAACAGCCTTCAGGAGGATTCCAGAAGGAGACACTGCTATCATAGAGATGATAGCTCCATGCATGTTATTGCCCCTGAAGACCCTCCAGTGGAACAAGATGTGGAGATGGAAGACAGTGACATTGAGGATCCTGACCCTGTGTAGACCTAGGCTCATTGTATGTGGATCTTAATTTTTAACAAAAAAGTGAAAAGGTAAAAAACAAATAGAAACTAGTTTATAGAATAATGATATAAAGAAACAGCTTTTGTACAGATGTACAATGTGTTTGTATTTTAAGCTAAGTGTTATTACAAGAGTCAAAAGTGGAAAATTTTAAAGTTTATAAAGTAAAAAAGTTACAGTAAGTTAACATTAATTTATTATCAAAGAAAGACATTTTAAAATAGATTTAGTGTTGCCTAAGTATCCAGGGTTTATGAAGTCTACAGCGGTGTACACTAATGTCCTAGGGCTTCGCATTCAGTCCTCACTCACTGACTCACCCAGAGCAACTTTCAGTCCTGCAAGCTCCATGCATAGTAAGTGCCCTATACAGGAGGATCATTTGAAAAAAATCTTTTATACCATATTTTTACTATTTTTTCTATGTTTAGATACATATTACTTACTATTGTGTTACAGTTGCCTACAGTATTCAGTACAGAAGCAGGCTGTGCAGGTTTGTAGCCTAGGAACAATAGGCCATACCACACAGCCTCAGTGTGTAGTGGGCTGTACCATCTAGGTCTGTGTAAGCACACTCTATGACACTTGCAGAGCAATCAAATTGCCTCACAACGTGTTTTGCAGAATGTATCCCTGTCGTTAAGTGACATATGACTATGTTTAAATACTTGGGAGAAAAGCACGAGTTTCAGTTTTCCCATCGTTTTTGTTAGTAGAACCTGGACGTTGGTGTTGTCTTCTGTAAAATGGGAACAAAAATACCTTGCAAGGCTGCTGTGAAGTTTAAAGGTTAATGATGTAACCAAGCAGCTAAAACAGACTGATGCAATCCTCACTCACTACAGCATACAACAATGCTGGTATGGTTAATATTCTTGATTTACAGATGTAGATATCCAGGTACAGAGATACCACTGTGAAGCTCTTAGCACACTGTAAGCATCCAACAAATATTAGCTTTAGGGATTTTGGTTTAGAAAATATTCTTTCATTGGAATCGCTCGAAGAAAAGTGTTTGACAGGGCTGCTATAACAAAGTGCCATCAACTGGGTGGCTTAGACAACAGAAATTTATTTTTTCATAATTTTGGAGGCCAGAACTCCAAGATCATGGTGTCAGCAGGGTTGGTTTCTTGATCCTTGTAGATGCTGCCTTCTCTCTGTGTCTTTTCATAGTCTTTCCTCTGTGTGGGTCTGTGTCCTAATCTCCTCCTTATAAGGACACCAATCACACTGGAGTGGGGTTCATTCTAATAATCTCATTTTATCTTAATTACCTCTTTAAAGTCGTTATCTACAAATACAGTCACATTCTGGGTTACTGAGGGTTAGGACTTCAGTGTTTGACTTTTGGGGGACATAATTCAGCGCATCACAAGGGGTAAATAAAAACAATCAGCTTAGTTCAGTCTAGGTGATCTCGGCAATAGAACTGTCTCCAGCTATGCTGTTAGGTTCAGTGCTTTGGCACATAATTAAGAATGCTAACAAAAAAAGAGAATTTTAGACCAATATCCCTGATGAACATCGATGCAAAAATCCTCAATAAAATACTGGCAAACCGAATCCAGCAGCACATCAAAAAGCTTATCCACCATGATCAAGTGGGCTTCATCCCTGGGATGCAAGGCTGGTTCAACATATGCAAATCAATAAATGTAATCCAGCATATAAACAGAACCAACAACAAAAACCACATGATTATCTCAATAGATGCAGAAAAGGCCTTTGACAAAATTCAACAACATTTATGCTAAAAACTCTCAATAAATTAGGTATTGATGGGACGTATCTCAAAATAATAAGAGCTATCTATGACAAACCCACAGCCAATATCATACTGAATGGGCAAAATCTGGAAGGATTCTCTTTGAAAACTGGCACAAGACGGATGCCCTCTCTCACCACTCCTATTCAACATGGTGTTGGAAGTTCTGGCCAGGGCAATCAGGCAGGAGAAGGAAATAAAGGGTATTCAATTAGGAAAAGAGGAAGTCAAATTGTCCCTGTTTGCAGATGACATGATTGTAAATCTAGAAAACCCCATCGTCTCAGCCCAAAATCTCCTTAAGCTGATAAGCAACTTCAGTAAAGTCTCAGGATACAAAATCAACGTGCAAAAATCACAAGCATTCTTATACACCAATAACAGACAAACAGAGAGCCAAATCATGAGTGAACTCCCATTCACAATTGCTTCAATGAGAATAAAATACCTAGGAATCCAACTTACAAGGGACGTGAAGGACTTCTTCAAGGAGAACTACAAACCACTGCTCAACAAAATAAAAGAGGATACAAACAAATGAAAGAACATTCCATGCTCATGGGTAGGAAGAATCAATATCATGAAAATGGCCGTACTGCCCAAGGTAATTTATAGATTCAATGCCATCCCCATCAAGCTACCAATGATTTTCTTCACAGAATCAGAAAAAACTACTTTAAAGTTCATATGGAACCAAAAAAGAGCTCGCATTGCCAAGTCAATCTTAAGCCAAAAGAACAAAGCTGGAGGCATCACGCTACCTGACTTCAAACTATACTACAAGGCTACAGTAACCAAAACAGCATGGTACTGGTACCAAAACAGAGATAGAGACCAACGGAACAGAACAGAGCCCTCAGAAATAACACCGCATATCTACAACTATCTGATCTTTGACAAACCTGAGAAAAACAAGCAATGGGGAAAGGATTCCCTATTTAATAAATGGTGCTGGGAAAACTGGCTAGCCATATGTAGAAAGCTGAAACTGGATCCCTTCCTTACACCTTATACAAAAATTAATTCAAGATGTATTAAAGACTGAAATGTTAGACCTAAAACCATAAAAACCCTAGAAGAAAACCTAGGCAATACCATTCAGGACATAGACATGGGCAAGGACTTCATGTCTAAAACACCAAAAGCAATGGCAACAAAAGCCAAAATTGACAAATGGGATCTAATTAAACTAAAGAGCTTCTGCAGAGCAAAAGAAACTACCATCAGAGTGAACAGGCCACCTACAGAATGGGAGAAAATTTTTGCAATCTACCCATCTGACAAAGGGCTAATATCCAGAATCTACAAAGAACTCAAACTAATTTACAAGAAAAAAACAAACAACCCCATCAAAAAGTGGGCAAAGGACATGAACAGACACTTCTCAAAAGAATACATTTATGCAGCCAAAAGAGACATGAAAAAATGCTCATCATCACTGGCCATCAGAGAAATGCAAATCAAAACCACAATGAGATACCATCTCACACCAGTTAGAATGGCGATCATCAAAAAGTCAGGAAACAACAGGTGCTGGAGAGGTTGTGGAGAAATAGGAACACTTTTACCCTGCTGGTGGGACTGTAAACTAGTTCAACCATTGTGGAAGTCAGTGTGGCGATTCCTCAGGGATCTAGAACTAGAAATACCATTGGACCCAGCCATCCCATTACTGGGTATATACTCAAAGGATTATAAATCATGCTGCTATAAAGACACATGCACATGTATGTTTATTGTGGCACAATTCACAATAGCAAAGACTTGGAACCAACCCAAATGTCCAACAATGATAGACTGGATTAAGAAAATGTGGCACATATACACCATGGAATACTAAGCAGCCATAAAAAGGATGAGTTCATGTCCTTTGTAGGGACATGGATGAAGCTGGAAACCATCATTCTCAGCAAACTATCGCAAGGACAAAAAACCAAACACCGCATGTTCTCACTCATAGGTGGGACTTGAACAATGAGTACACATGGACACAGGAAGGGGAACATCACACACCGGGGCCTGTTGTGGGGTTGGGGGAGGGGGGAGGGATAGCATTAGGAGATATACCTAATGTAAATGATGAATTCATGGGTGCAGCACACCAACATGACACATGTATACATATGTAACAAACCTGCACGTTGTGCACATGTACCCTAAAACCTAAAGTATAAAAAAAAAAAGAATGCTAGGGAGGGGGGCAGAGGCTGTGAAACTACCTCTTGGGTATTATGTTCAGTACCTAGGTGATGGGATCATTCGTACCCCAATCCTCAGCTTCATGCAATACACCCAGGTAATGAACCTGCACGTGTACTCCCTGAATTTAAAGTAAAAATTGAAAAAAAAAAAAAAAGAATGCCTATGACTTTGATGTCCCTAAGTTATATAAAGAAACCACTGCTGAAGTTGCCCTTTCCCCAGCCAGGGAAATTTGATCCCTTGAAACCCTTAAAAATACAGCAGTAATAATGATGGGAAAAGCTTCCATTGCCACAGATCTTTTGTTTCGTAACAAAGAAGTGCATGTTATCAGGAAATTTTGACAAGAAGTGGTTAAACCGTGAAGGACTATTTCTTTGTTCGCCATCGTTCATCCAAGACCAAACTTCACTGGCATTCAGATAAGGAGGAGTTGGCTGGAGTGCTGCCCTGCCTTGGTATTTGGTGCACAGTCCTGGGAGGATCCTGGTGCTGGGACAGTCCTGGTTTTGTAGATTCCTAGTGCCTAGAGGACACAACTCAAGGAGAGAAAAGGACAGTTTGGGACAACAGGTGGGTGGGCAGTCTTGAAAATTGGTAGCCACAGACGCCCAGCGAGAGTGAAGAAGGACAGGTGGCTTCATTCTGTGGTTGATGATTCCCTCATGGAAGTTCTTGTTCAGGTTTGTCTGTTGCTACTTTGAAATTTATTGTTTATTTGTATTCTTGTTCTTTTGACATTATTCTTTTTAATTTCAATGCCACTGCTTTTGTATGTAAATTAATTCATTTTTTAAAATTTTACTCTTTCAGGACATTGCACATTAACAAAGAGGCTAGAAGAGGATAATTAGTACAAATTAGCCATTCATGCAACAGGCAGTGTTCAAAGAGGCTTCAAGTTCAAGGGAGCTCAGAGTTCCATTTTCCACCGAAAAGCTTTAAACAGACTGAATATTAGTGGACATTTTTGAATAATTTTAAAACATAATTTTACACCTGATCTTAGCCAGAAGGCTGAGAAGTGATAACAAAAGTGTCAGTATTCTGGAGAGATATTCCTCAGTTGTTATCACTTACCACAGTAACTAACATCGATGTTGGACATGCTGTTTTTATAACAACATTCTTTTTTTATATTATTCTTTAATTTTATAAGACTTCATAGGACACAGGCAATACAAATCTGCTATGTTATTCCTTTTTGTCTCTCCTTGTAATTTACAACCTGAAAATGTTGACTGTACAACAAACCAGAATGTTTTAAAAATCCCAAGCTAGATTGTGCTACTCCTTTTTTGTGGTTCTTTAGTAAGAGTCTGCCTGGAAGCTCTTTATGAGGGTAAAAAGGCTGGGATTTTGAAGGCAGAGAGTCAAATTCTTGCACTCCCCCATTTAAGATCTTTGTTGATGTAGGCAAGATTCCTCATTTACCTCAGGGATAGTGTCCTCACAGGGAAATTGACAAATAACCAGGAGAACATCTGGAATGTACACGGCAGGCAATCGGAGACACTTTTGCTGTTGCCTAGGAATGGATACACCCTGGTTAGAGTAAAGCGTATCTCTTCTCCACGCCTTCCATTGTCTACTTTCTCTTTGAAACATCTTAGGGATAATTATTAGGAATAAATACTGAGAAAAATAGCACCGGCAATAAAAGTAGCTGCAATAATAATAGTAAAAGCTAATATTGATGTACGATGCACAAGGCACCGGGCTGTGCTTTATGTGAGATTCCTTCTTTACTTGTCACTACCATTTCATAAGGGAACTACTATAGCACATGCTACTGCTAAGAACCCCAAATGGGTTGAGAAACTTGATCAGGATCACACCTCCATGCTACTAAGCGGCAGTCAGGATTTGTTTCACCAGATATCTCAGATCAATACTAATGAAGCTCTTTGGATACATAAAGGAATAAATTATGGTTCATTTCCATTTCAAATGGAAATAAATAACAAAGAAAATAAAAAAATTAAATTTTCTAGCCAACGGATTGATAATTTTTAAGTAAGGAATCAATTACAATTGGACATAAGATTGTCTATACAGCTGTTGTCAACTTCTTGCAGCCAAACTCTGTGAGATCCATTCTTCTTGGTGGTCACATAGCAATGTTTATTTTAAAAGTTGTATAATTTCTGCTCCTAGTCTGAAGGATAAGTAATACAGCATTTCTACGGCCAAAACAAAGAAGAAAGCAGACAGGAATGTTCCAGGTTTTCATAATTCTTCAAATTGTAATAGAATAGATATTATATTAACAATTATAATTATAATTTAAATGTCAGAAATTTTAAATATTTTATGCATGTGTGATTATAGAGACACATTCTCCAAACTAAATTCATTAAAAATATTATTTCATTAGATACATATTTAATATTTTTTGGTTTGTGATATGTTTTAATATCTTAATATTATTAAATATGTGTTCTTAGGACCTGCTCAGTTGGGTAGGATTAAACATAACAGTCCTACTATCTGAGTAGTGGATTCTGACGTTAGAGATAATTATCCCTAAAAAGGGGGTTGCATAAATTTTAAAAGGAGGCTGTATATATTTAAATGGAAGTAAATTGATGTAACAGATAATCTTTATCTTTTTGGTGATAATCTTAAAATAATGCAAAGAGGATCTTTGAAATAATTGTTGGTGAACACGTGCTATTAGAGCTGGGTGCATTCTTTCTTTGCATCGTTCCCAACTCAGGAAAAAGCCCCAGGGCATTGTGGGAAGTCGGAATTATAGTGTCTGAATTTTGAATAGTATTTGGCTGAATGTAAACATGACAACATTTTACTAATAGAGTACCTGAAGGGCCTGGTTTGCCGTGACTTGTAGAAATTAAACTTCTTTATTCGATTCCTCACAGAGCCCAGGGGACAGGCTGAGGCTCAATGGTAGCATCAACTACCAATATCAAATTGTGCACGTGTATCCTAGAAATTCCTTTTCTGTAGGCCATATTACAAAGTTTGATCAACTCAGTGTTTCATATCTTCAGTGAGATATATATTCTGAGAATCGAGCTCTCTAGTCATCACAAGATTGACAGCTGACCTCAGGGCTCAAGTACTGCATCAGTCAGCTTAGGCTAAGTTATGTGGTAGTAACAAACATGCTCCAAGTCTTTGTGGCTTATAAAAATCTAGGTTAATTTTTGGGTCATGCTACTCATCTGGTACAAGTCAGCTACATTTCTTGTACCCAGGATAAAGAAGCAGCTCCTGTCTGGAATATTGCCTGTTTCATGGCAGAAAATAATGAGACCATGACAGAGTCTCATATGAGATTTTAAAGCTTTTGCTCCGTGGTGTCACATGCCACTTGCTCTGACATTTTCTTGGCCAAAGGAAGTCATATGGCCATGACTGATGTCATTGAATAAAAAATGTATAATCCTTTCCTAGAGAGGGGCATTCTAATTCATATGGCTAAATCTGATGTCAATGGTTTGAAGATATATTATCTTCCCACCAGAAAAGGTGGTGTTTATTTCAACTAGTAACACAACCTACCAGTTTCCTAAGAAGAAATTAG
This sequence comes from Homo sapiens, assembly GCF_000001405.40. Classification (NCBI taxonomy): domain Eukaryota; kingdom Metazoa; phylum Chordata; class Mammalia; order Primates; family Hominidae; genus Homo; species Homo sapiens. The sequence continues at coordinate 102,903,738 of NC_000002.12, forward strand.
TAATCTAGCTTTGTCCAGAGCATATCCAGTATCTTATCCTAACAGATAAATAAGCTAAGGAGAAAAATAATTCTCCTCCAGTGTCTTTACGATTAGCAAATAGCCCTTCAGGCAGTAGACAAGACGTCTGATTCTGGCGAAGGCAGAGGTCAATGATTTCTTTGGTGGTTGGATGCCTCAAATGAAAAAATCTCCAGTTTGGCAGCTGTATGTAAAGGGAGATATCTAGTCAGTAATTAGTTCTTTGTGCAAAAAGAACTAATTACTGACTAGATATCTATTAAGCATTAGCTCTTGTGGGAGAACCTGGGAGCAACAGTTATGCACCCACATATTTTGTGGACTTGAAGTGTGCAGAACTCAGCAGAGCATATTGTCAGGAAGCAGTGCTGTAGAACATGCTGGACACATATGCCAGAAGGGACTCTGCCCCGGAGGAGGCAATAGAGCAATGCCAGCCCATCTCTGTGGAGGGGCTAATATGCTATAATACTTCCCCGGGATTACTTACTGGGAATGTCCGGAGGCTCACCATGGCCATTGCAAGTGCAGTAGAGAGTTGTTTTTGCATGTCTTCATAATGTTACTTTGGGTTCAATATGGCCAATCTATTTAAAGTGGGGATTTGATAACCTAGTCCAATCTAATTGGAATATTTTTCTTTAGCTTAGTCAAGGGTCCAAACAATGAAATTTGAGCCCTGTCACCTCCTCTGTCTCTCACCAGGTGAATACAGCCTCTCAGACAGTGTCTCTGGCACAACAAAGATGACGGTTTGGTTCCCCATACATTTACCTGGTCAATATTCTTCAGGATTCAGCAGAAACCTTCCCTCTGGGACACTTTCTTTTTTAACCCTTTCACTGCCTTGCCAGGGCCCCACACAGTTTAGTCATCACTATCTGTCAGTCCAAGGACAGTAAGTCCTCACTTAACATCATCCATGGGTTGTTGGAAACTGACTTTAAGCAAAACTCTGTATTTATAGGGAAATTAATGTTTAGGCTAATTGAACCTAAACGAGAGTTAGGTTCCTATGGCCTGTTGTTGGTCATAAAAACATCACCAAACTTCTAATATAAAGACCAAACTTCTAAATAAAGACCAAAACACTTCTAATATTAAACACTAAAATACATGTGAACTGTACAGACATTTAAAAAATAATAAAAACAAGATAATTATTTCCCTTCCTATCCCAGTTTGGGGTGGGAGGTGGCCAGTGCTTAGCCTGGTAGCTCAGGGTGCCAGGCGGGAACCAGTCCCGGATAGGACCCATCTCATCACAAGTTGCACTCACACACACACAGACTGGGCCCATGTAGGCACATGGATTCACCTAATGTGCATGTTTTTGGGATGTGCAAGGGAACCAGAGTACCTAGAGAAAACCCACACAGACATGGGGAGAACATGCCAACTCCACACAGACTGTGGCCCCAGCAGAAATCAGTTCTTTTTCTCATCCATGTTATAGTGTAATGATGTTATTCCAGGACCTGCTGTAGTCCATATACTTGTATATGTGTAACCATCAGCCTGCATTGGGTGATCTGTTTACATGTCTATCTCCCATAGTGAACTAAACATGTATCCTATGTCTGCTTCTTCAGAATAAATTAGGTATCTCTGTGTTCTCAGGTACCATCCATATCTTCTCAACCTTGTACCACTAACAACTAAATGCTCAATAAAAGTTGGTAAATTGGATTAGCTTCCAATTTGCCTGTGCTGGAAGGGTAACACTTAAAATATCTGCCTATACTTTCAAGCAGAGAATTCTATGTGTTAATAATTGACATTTCTTGAGTACTCACCGCAGACTACGCTCAATCCTTTATATGTGCTATTTCATTTCATTTAGTCCTCACTGAATCCCCATAAGCTCAGTATTAATGTCTCTATTTTATTGATTAAAAAATAAAATTGAGGATATGAGACAGATTAGGTACTACTTAGGGATTTTATGAGTCTTCAAATATTGCTGTCTATCTTCAAAAAGACAAATAAAAAGAAACTAGATATTAGTAACTTATGAAGGTGTAAGTTCTAGCTTCTGTCTTGAACACATCCTTAATATTTTTGAATACTAGATTCATTCCAACCAATATTTTTCCAGAGTTTCTTCCTGGTGTTGAGTAAAGCCTCTGATGTGTAAGCATATAAGATGGTGGGGAAATATGGCTAAACTTCTTTCTCAGAATTATGCAAGTGTTCTTGTACCTTACTTTCCTGAAGTCTGTACCATAAACATCTTATATGTCAATTAAAATTCAAATATACAATTGAATATCTTTCTATGCATTTTCATATCTCCATATATCATGCAGGAAATCAAATGTGACTGGTTTATCCAATGAGTTACATTTGCTAGGTAAGCAGGAAACAACTCCATTATTTCAAACCACTATTTCAAATGAGTTCTGATGCATTCCCTTGCTGAGCCAGGATGACAGAGCAGGAGAAGCTCAATTCTAAGCTGGTCACTTTGCCACATCAGGAGTTGGTGGCCTAAAGTACATCCACATCAAGACTTGAACCTGGCATCCAGGAGAAAGCTGCAATTCTGCCCCCAGCTCAAGCTCGACCCCAGCTTGAGGCCTCACAAGGGGGGAACGTGTCTAGCTTTGCTTTGTTTCTGTTTCCTGTTTCTCTGAGCTTCTATGCTTAGATGTTTCCAGCTCCTCTATAGTTGGGATGGAGGTAAAGGAGTGAACTCTTTCCCAGCTGGGCTTTTGCACTAGGATCGTGGGATTCCCTGTGTGGTACATAGCAAATACTGTGCATTCTCTCACAGGACACTTTTATAGGCTCTTTCCAGATCTCACATGGGGCGTTCCCTTATTCCATGGTTCACCAACTTGGCTGCTGAGTTTTCTTTCTCACCCTTATGAAGTCCTCAGCTTGCCCTCTGGCTCGCAGCTTCTTTCTGCTGGCGAGCCTTTTCAGGCAGACCTACCAGAACCATGCATGTCCACCCAGTGTTAGGAGTGCAAGCGTCTCCCACTCAGCCACTCTTCATGGCTCTCTGGTCAAAGGCAGCCTCTTGACTTCAGATTTCTGGGGGTATCATTTCTGTGCCTCTCAAACTGTTGGGACACAGGTCAATTCCCCAAATATTTTCATCATTCTCCAGGCCACAGAACCCTTTCACCTTAACTGGGAGTGGGAGTAAACATCCCCAGACACCTTCCCTGAAGGGAGATACACACTAACGTCCATCTCTTCAAGTAAGCCTCTCACTCTCTCCAATCAGCTTCTAGCCTTCTAATATCTAGGCTGGAGGACAGAAATTGGTCATGTGGTCACATAATTAAATTTGGCCACCCCTTTAGCAAAACATGAATGTGTGGTACAGGCAGAATGGTCCCCAAAGATGCCCATGCCCTAATTCCTGTGAATATGCTATATTACCTCACAAGAAGGACTTTGCAGTTGTAATTAAGATGAGGGATCTTAAAATAGGGACATAATATTGGATTATTCCAATATGTTCAATCTAATGACATGAGCCCTTAAAAGGAAAGAGCTGTGTCAGAGACAGAAATTGAGGTTAGTGAGATTTAGAGTGTGAGAAAGATTCAATCTGTTGTTCTTGATTTTGAAGACAAAGGGAGCCACCAGCCAGTGAAAGAAGGTGGCCTATGGAAACTGGGAATAACTCCTGGCTAGCAGTCAGCAAGGAAATGTAGGCTTCATTTCTGCAACCACAGGAACTGGATTCTGCTGACATTCTGGGTGAGCTGGGAGCAGATTCTTCCCCAAAGCCTCCAGATAAGCAGTCCAGGCCAGCTGCCATTTTCATTTTCACCTTGTGGTACCCTAAGCAGAGAACCTACCTAACCTGCCTAGACTTCTGAGTGACAGAGCTATGAGATAATAAATTTGTGTTGCGTTAAACTGGTGAATTTGTGGTGACCTATTACAGCAAGAATAGAAAAATGAATACAGATAGTTTGGCTTCTATTTTGAGAATGCAGGAGGTGATTGTCTCCATACTATATTCACCTTTGGGGTCTCTGCCAAGACTACCAGAAAAGTCCCATTTAATATTGTGTTGCGTATTTTCTTTTCTAAGTCAATGCTCAGCCACCTGCTGCTTCTCCAGGGTCTACAGAGGCCAGCAGGTCCATCAAGAAGAGCAACACCTGGGGAAATTCTGGGCAACAATCAGGAAAGGAGCAGTAGATTAATATTTTATATATTGCTCTTAAAAGAGAGCTAAATGTTTACTTTAATACACAGTTTCCCTCTATTTTATTGAGCTATATATAGAGAATGGAAATAAAAGCTTACATTCATGTTTCTAAAACCTATGATTTTAAAGCCAGCCTGCTCAGCTTCATACAAATTCTCAGCCGCCTACATTTCTCTTCTGTTTGCATTTCCCCATTTCTCAACAATAAAGTATAGAAGAGTAGGAGGCAGAGTGCAAGGTTAAATTCATTATCATTAATTGGTTGCTAATGTAGAAAGAAGTGATCAAATAACAACTTTATGTACTGTTTTGAAAGTAGGGCTAGACATTCTGCCACAATATTGATGTCTCAGGGGTGGAAGGATGAAGTGGGATTCAGGAACACATAGCAGGTGTATTAATGTGAGCTATAAAATGAGCTTTCTGAATCTGTATTTTGAGGGCTACAGAGTCTCTGCACTAACTGCTAATCTCCCACTTGGAACAATCACTACAGCAGAGGAATAAAGCCAACACTGAAGCCGTTAAACCTTGCATCGTTTCTTGTGTGTTGACTCTTGGACTTCAAGGGTGTATGGTACTTCTCAGCTGAATCAGTCAGGGTGGGCTAGGGTGCTTGTATTAGTCAGGGTTTTCTAGAGAGACAGAACAAATATATATACACACACACACACACATATATTTATATACATATGTGTATATATGTGTGTGTGTATATATATATATATATATATAATGAATTCTCAGCTGCCTGTATTTCTCTTGTGATCATGTAAGTTAATACCAATGAGCTTATTAGGTATTAACTTACATGATCACCAGGTCCCACAATAGGCTGTCTGCAAGCTAAGGAGCAAGGAGAGCCAGTCCAAGTCCCAAAACTGAAGAACCTGGAGTCCAATGTTCAAGGGCAGGAAGCATCCAGCATGGGAGAAAGATGTAGGCTGAGAGGCTAGGCCAGTCTCTCATGTTCACATTTTTCTGCCTGCTTTATATTCGCTGGCAGCTGATTAGATTGTGCCCACCAGATTAAGGGTGGATCTACTTTCCCCAGCCCACTGACTCAAATGTTAATTTTTTTGGCAACACCCTCACAGACACACCCAGGATCAGTCCTTTGTATCCTTCAATCCAATCAAGTTGACACTCAGTATTAACCATCACCAGTCCATCCCTTGGCAACTTTAGCTCATACACATCTCATGAGATCATACATAATCTTCAAATAAAGACAATAATAAGGTCATAATTATACCTAACATAATACAACTATCCTTCATACAACCAGAAATGCACCAATCTCCAACCCAAATACTACTACATAGAGTTAACAATACTTAAATGCTGATATGAAGTCAATAAATCTTATGTCATATGATAAAAAGATAATTAAATGAAGATATTTTCTTAGTACAAGTGTATACATGCACAAATCTGTTTTAAACAAAAGAAAGAGGAAATACTCGTGACAATTACAGTCCCCATTTCTGCAGCTGGTCACGTGGTCATAGCTGGTATTGATGACTACCTTCTTCTACTACCCATTCTGTATTCCCTTTGCCTTCAGCAAGCACCTTAGCAGGTCATGGTTTTTATTTTTCCTGGTGGAGTGACCCAAACCTTCATTCCTGAAGGGTCTGGGCCATTTGTAGTCCTGCCTGAATTGGGCTGTTGTAGTTTCCCATTGACCTTAATCACAGGGCATGTCACCCCAGCCAACATGGTAACTCCCTTCTTAGCCTGTTGACTTAAAGGTAGGAGGAGCCCAAAGTGTCCAGGTGGCAATCTTAACTTCCAATGTAATGGGATTGTTGTTGTGTCTGCTGGTGGCAGTGTTCCTCCCTCTGAAACTAAGACCTCTAGGCCAGCAGAACGTAATGTAGCAGGCACAGGAAGCAAAAATTTTGCTAGTGGATCACTAGGGGTGATGGTGAGTGATGCCACTTCCATGTCCACCCCTTGATTCCTGGACCTGTGAATCCTGGCTATGGGAGAAAAAGTACCATATATTGGACACTGATTCAGAGCATACATGGCTTTCTGGAGAACTTTGCCCCAGCCCTGCAAAGTATCGTCACCTAGCTGCCATTGTAATTGTGACTTCAAAAGGCCATTCCAACATTCTATCAATCCAGCTGCTTCAGGATGATGGAGAACATGGTAAGGCCAGTGAATTCCATGAGCATGAGCCCACTGCTGCACTTCTTTAGCCATAAAGTGAGTGCCTTGGTCAGAGGCAATGCTGTGTGGAATACCACGATGGGGGACAGGGCATTCTGTGAGTCCACGAATGGTAGTCTTGGAAGAAGCTTTGCATGCAGGATAGGCAAATCCATATTTGGAGTAAGTGTCTATTCCAGTGAGGACAAACCTCTTCCCTTTCTGTGATGGAGGTGGTCCAATATAATCAACCTGCCAACAGGTAGATGGCTGATTACCCTGAGAAATAGTGCCATATGAGGGCTCAGTGTTGGTCTCTGCTCTAGGCACTCAGCAGTGGCTGTGGACAGGTCAGCCTTGGTGAGTGGAAGTCCATGTTGCTCAGCCCATGTGTAACCTCCATCCCTGGCACCATGGCCACTTTGTTCATGGGCCCTCTGGGGGATGACAGGAGTGACAGGGGAAAGAGGCTGAGTGATATTCACAGAATGGGTCATCCTATCCACTTGATTTTTAAAAATCCTCCTCTGCTGAGGTCACCCATTTGTGAGCACTCACATGGGATATCAATATCTTCACGGTTTTTGATGACTCAGAGCGTTCCATCCACATACCTCTCCCTTAAAGTTCTTTGTCACCAATTTTCCGATCATGCTTCTTCCAAGTCCCTGACCATCCAGCCAAACCATGGGCTACAGACCGTTAATTCGCATATAATTGTACATCTGTCTATCTTTCCTTCCATGTAAAGTGCACGACCAGGTGCACTGCTTGAAGTTCTCCCACTGAGAAGGCTTCCCTTCACCACTCTCCTTCAGTGATGTCCTAGAAAGGGCTGTAGTGCTACAGCTGTCCACTTTCAGGTGATGCCTGCATATCGTGCAGAACCATCAATGAACCAGGCCCTTGTCTTCTTTTCCTCTGTCAATTGATCACAGGGAATTCCCAATGAGGCCATCGGTGCAGGCTGGGGGAGAGAAGGCAGGATGGCAAGAGTGGAGACCATGGGCATTTGAGCCACTTCCTTATGTAACTTTCTTTTGCCTTCAGGACCTGCTCGAGCCCAATTACATATATACCACTTCCATTGGATGATGGAGTGCTGCTGTGCATGACCCACTTTATGGCTAGATGGGTCCAAAACACCCAGTTCCTGATAGGCAGTTCGGGTCACATTGGTGACTTGATGATCCATAGTCAAACGTTCAGTTTCCACCAAAGCCCAGTAACAGGCCAAGAGCTGTATCTCAAAAGGAGAGTAGTTATTTGCAGAAGATGGCAGGGCCTTGCTCCAAAATTCTAGAGGCCTCCACTGTGATTCACCTATTGGAGCCTGCCAAAGGCTCCAAAAAGTATCCCTATTTGCCACTGACACCTCAAGCACCGTTGGATCTGCTGGGTCCTATGGCCCAAGTGGCAGAGCAGCTTGCACAGCAGCCTGGACCTGTTGCAGAGCCTTCTCCTGTTATGCACTCTACTCAAAACTGGCAGCCTTTTGGGTCACTCAATAAATGGGCTGGAGTAACACACCCAGCTGAGGAATGTGTTGCCTGCAAAATCCAAATAGGGCCACTAGGTGTGTGCCTCTTTCTTGGTTGTAGGAGGGACCAAATGAAGCAACTTATCCTTCACCTTAGAAGTAATATTTTGACAGACCCCACACCACTGGACCCCTAGAAATTCTACTGAGGTAGAAGTTCCCTGAATTTTAGTCGGATTTATTTCCCATCCTCTGGCATGCAAATGTCGCACAAATAAGTCGAGTGTGTTTGCTACTTCTTGCTCACTGGATCCAATCAGCATAATGTCATCAATGTAATGGACTAGTGTGATATCTTGTGGAAGTGAAAAGTGATGAAGATCTCTCCAAATAAGATTTTGACACAAAGCTGAAGAGTTGATATACCCCTGAGGTAGGACAGCAAAGGTATATTGCTGACCTTGCCAGCTGAAGGCAAGTTGCTTCTGGTGGACCTTATGGACAGGAGTGGAGAAAAAGGAACTTGCCAAGTCAATGGCTGCATGCAAGGTACCAGCAGATGTATTTATTTGCTTAAGCAATGAAACCACATCTGGTACAGCAGCTGCAATTGGAGTCACCACTTGGTTAAGCTTAGAATAATCCACTGTAATTCCTCAAGATGCATCTGTCTTCTGCACAGGCCAAATGTGAGAGGTGAATGGAGATGTGATGAGAATCATCACCCCTGCATCTTTCAAGTCCTTAATGGTAGTGCTAATCTCTGCAATCCTTCCAGGGATGCCATATTGTTTTTTATTTGTTTTGATTTACTATTTTGTAGGTAAAGGCAGCTCTAATGGCTTCCATTTGGCCTTTCCCACCATAGTAGCCCTCACCCTACCAGTCAGGGAGCTGATGTGGGGTCCTGCCAGCTGCTAAGTATGTCTATGCAAATTATGCATCCTGGCACTGGGGAAATGACCACAGGATGAGTCTGGGGACCCACTGGACCCACTGTAAGTTGGTCCTGAGCTAAAACTCTATTGCCTGACCTCCATAATCCCCTACTTTAATAACTGGAGGGCCACAATGACATTTTGGGTCCCCTGGAATCAATGTCACCTCAGATCCAGTATACAGTAGTATCCAAAATGTCTGATCATTTCACATTCCCCAATGCACAGTTACCCTGATAAATGGCTGGAGATCTTCTTGGGGAAGGATGGGAGAAAGATTAACTGCATAAATTGTTGGTAATGTAGTGGGGTCCTTCTTTAATGAGACGCAGCCTCCCATTCATTCAAGGGGTTCTGGGTCTGTAAACTGGCTTAAGTCTGGAAATTGTTCGAGGGGCTGTGATTCTCTGTTTTTATAATTCGACCTAGAAGCTTTCTGCTTGTATAAATTAAGTAGGAATGCAGTGGGGTTCCTATCAATTTCACTTCTAGGAACACCGTGATTAATTAGCCAATTCCAGAGCTCTACACAAGTCAGACTATTCTGATTGCCGCTTTGCCTCTGCTGTCCATTACAGTAGTTACGCCTAGCTTGCCTTTGATAGTTGATTGCCACCACTTGGCCCCTGCCACCTCAGCATCCAATTATCCCCACTATATTTCAATTTTGTAGTTGAGTGACTGCAGTTCACTCCGTTAGATCTGACATACAAAGAGGAACAATTACAAGGCTCTTCAAAGATGCAGGTGCTGTCCTCACAAATCTATTTTGCAAGTCATTGGTCAAGGATATATCTTCGGACCCTCCCAGCTGGGATGAGGAAGTCTAAAGTGACTAATTCATCCCACAGTTCCAATCTCCCTAAGCCTTTGGATACCTTCCTCTACATTAAACCAAGGGAGATCAGGCATTTCCAGCTCACTCACAGTGGACCATCTTTTAATCCACATTTCAGCTAACCAGGCAAATAAACTATTAGAACCTTTCTTAACTCCCCGAGCTGAAACATTAAAAACAGGGTCCTACTTAGTGAGCCCAAATCAATAAATTCAGACTGATCCAACTCTATGTTCCTTCCACCATTATCCCATACCCTTAATATCCATTCCCATGCCTGTTCTCCCGATTTTTGTTTATATAAATTTGAGAGCTCAAACAGTTCTTTTCAAGCGTAGTGCACCTCTTCATGGGTCACACTCTCAACCTTACCTCTAGGGGCCCTCGGGGACTTTAGTCTAGTTATGGGTCTAGAAGCAAACAGAGGTGTCGGGGGTGGCTTCTGAGGAGAATCAACATTATCATGCCTGACAACTGCCTCAGGAAAGGCCATCACTATTGCCTCAGGCAGCCCAGGGTTTATCTCCTCAGACAAAGGTGAAAAGGCTGATGTCAGCATGGGTCAGGGAGAGGATGTTGTCACTACTGGGGTTGGGGAAGCTGTTCCTTTTGGCAAAAAAGGTCCATCAGAGTTTACAAACTCAGCGTCCCCAGCTTCATCAGGGTCCTCCCACATGTCCCAATTGCAAGTTGCAGTGTCCCATTCTTTTCCAATCAATGCCCTCACTTTAACAGTAGACACCTGGTGAGGCTGTGGATGCATCTTTCATTGCAGGTCAGCCACTCGCATGATAAGAGCTTGTGTTTGTTTTTGCACAATTTCGTCTCTTTCTCTATAGGAGATAAGACTTTCACTCAGGGCAATCTTAGCAGATTTGAGGCTCAGTATCTGCTTCTGAAGCCAGGAGACAGAATCTCTGAGTTCATCATTTGCTTTCAACACTTTGTCCCCTGAACTTAGGAGCAACCAACCAGCTTCATTATGTTCCTCAGTTCTCCACATATGGCTGAAGGTATTATGTAAAGTGTCACTAAACTCCTTGACTCTCACAAGCAGGAATCAGGAGTGTCAAATACATTTATTTTGCGTAACTCTCTAAACACTTCATACCAAGGACTATCAGTGTTCTCCATACTATTACAAGTAGAGTCCTTAGCATTTTTAGGTCTAATAATATTAAGTGGCAAACTCCAGAAACCCTGAAACCAATGAAAGAACTCCATCTTTAATATTCCATTTCTCTAAAACCACTCCGGGTACCAAAATCTGTATTAGTCGAGGTTCTCTAGAGAAACAGAACTAATATCATATATATTATTATATATCTATATATTATATAAATTATATATATATCTATATATAATATAGATACCATATATATGATATAAGATATATAAATATATAGAGGAGTTTATTAAGGATTAAGTATTATATATAAAGGGGAGTTTATTAAGTATTAACTTACATGATCACAAGGTCCCGCAATAGGCTATCTGCAAGCTGAGGAGCAAGGAGAACCAGTCCGAGTCCAAAAACTGAAGAATGTCTGATGTTTGAGGGCAGGAAGCATCCAGGATGGGAGAAAGATATAGGCTGGGAGGCTAGGCCAGTCTCTCATTTTCACATTTTTCTGCCTACTTCATATTTGCTGGCAGCTGATTAAATTGTGCCCACCAGATTAACAGTGAATCTACCTTCCCCAGCCCACTGACTCAATTGTTAATCTCTTTTGGAAACACCCTCACAGACACACCCAGGAGCAATACTTTGTATCCTTCAATCCAATCAAGTTGACACTCAGTATTAACCATCAAAATGTGCTACAGTAACAAATAGCCCTCACATTTCTTGTGCCTTAATCCAACAAAAGATGATATTTCACTTACACAGCATATGCATTGTGAGTCAGCTAGGGGCTGAGCTTTTTGGAGTCAGTAGGACCCAGGTGACTCCTCCATATTTCCTCCCAGGATTATTACAGCATAGGGATGGGAATGTGCTGAATCATACCGCAGAGTCATGGCTTACTTCACAGTAGGCAGGAAAGAGAAATCCTATGATATGCCTGGAAGGCAGAGAGCTGGACATTATTTTGTTAATAGCTCTTCCTCGACTTTTCTTTTTCTTTTTTTTTTTTTTTTTTTACTAATATCTCATGATGAGTTTTATTTTGTAACTGTAAAGATAGTACCAAAGATATGAATTTTAACGAAAATGAGGTCAAAATGTGAAGTTTATTTTTGTCCCATTTTATGAGAAAATATTTATGTGATTAAAAAATAGTATTATCCTACTTTGAACCCTCATTAAAAAATATTAAGTATGATTTTATGTGTGCATGTCCTGTGCCCATCCTCTGAATATTTTTACTTCCTGGTAGACCCTCATAACTACATTTTGGAAATAACTCCCTAGGTTAAATAAAATAACACTTCTTTCAAAGCAACTTTTTTATGTTAAAATACATATCAAAGCATCAAACTTTTAACAAATCAGCTTTTTAAGTCTATTGGTAATTAAAGGAATGGGACATGTAGAAGAGCTTGGGTTGTATCTACACTACTAATGTGTCTCAAATACAGAAGTCTCATGTGCTTTCTTAACCTATTCAGTTACCACATCTTCTGCATGCCCTTGGGAGGAACCCCACAGGTTACCAGATCTCTATGGTCTTCTGCCCAGGTCTCAGTGGTAACTGGCATTTCACCTTAGTGTCCTCTGCATTTTTCTCACTGTATTTGTCTGCGTTCACACTGCTATAAAAAATACCCGAGACTGAGTAATTTATAAAGGAAAGTGGTTTAATTGACTCACAGTTTCACATGGCTGGGTAGGCCTCAGGAAACTTACAATCATGGTGGAAGGCAAAGGGGAAACCAGCACCTTCTTCACAAGGCAGCAGGAGAGAAAGGGAGAAAGGAGGAGCTGCCAAACACTCATAAAATACATCAGATCTCATGAGAATTCCCTATCATGAGAACAGCATGGGGGAAACCATAACCATGATCCAGTCACCTCCCACCAGATCCCTTCCTTGATGAATGGGGATTACAATTTGAGATGAGATTTGGGTGGGGACGCAGGGCCAAACCATATGATTCTCTTTCTGGCCCCTCTCAAATCTCATGTCCTTTTTGCATTTCAAAACCAATCTTGCCTTCTCAACAATCCCCCAAAGTCTTAACTAATTTCAGCATTAACTCAAATGTTCACAGTCCAAAGTTTTATTTGAGACAAGGGAACTTCCTTCCTCCTATGAGCCTGTAAAATCAAAAGCAAGTTAGCTACTTTCAAGATACAATGGAGGTACAGGCATTTGGTAAATGCTGACATTCCAAATGGAGGAAGTTGGATGAAGCAAAGGGGCTACAGGTCCCATGCAAATCCAAAATCCAGTGGGACAGTCATTAAATCTTAAAGCTCTGAAATGATCTCCTTTGATGCCATGTCTCACATGTAGGTCACACTGATACAAGAGATGGGCTCCTAAGGCCTTGGGCAGTTCTGCCCCTGTGGCTCTGAAGGGTATAGCCCCCACAGCTGTTTTCCCTGGCTGGCATTGAGTGCCTGTGGCATTTCCAGGCACACAGTGCCAGCTGTTGGTGGATCTATCATTCTGGAGTTTGGAGGATGGTGACCCTCTTCTTATAGCTCCACTAGGCAGTAATCCAGTGGGGACTCTGTGTGACAGCTCCAACCCCACATTTCCCTTCTGCACTGCCCTAGCAGAGGTTCTCCATGGGGGCTCCACCCCTGCAGCAGACTTCTGCCCAGACATCTAGGTGTTTCCTTGCATCCTCTGAAACCTAGCTGGATCTTCCCAAAACTCAACTCTTGTCTTCTGTGCACCCACAGGCCCAAAACCATATGGAAACTGTCAAGATTTGGGGTTTGCACTCTCTGAAGCCATGGCCCGAGCTATGCCTTGGCCTCTTTTAGCCATGGCTGGAGCTGGAAAGGCTGGGATGCAGGGCACCAAGTCCTGAGGCTGCACAAAACAGTGGGGCTCTGGGACCGGTCCACAAAATCATTTTTCCCTCCTAGGGCTCTGGGCCTGTCATGAGAGGGGCTGTGAAGACCTCTGACATGCTCTGAGGACATGTTCCCCATTGTCTTGGTGATTAACATTTGACTCCTCATTACTTATGCAAATTTCTTCAGCCAGCTTGAATTTCTTTTCAGAAAATGGATCTTTCTTTTCTGTCACATCGTTAGGCTGCAAATTTTACAAACTTTTATATTTTGCTTCCCTTTTAAATATAAGTTCAAATTTTAGATAATCTCTTTCAAGTTCAAAGTTCCAAAGATCTCTAGGGCAGGGGGAAAATGCTGCCAGCTTCTTTGCTAAAACATAGCAAGAGTGAACTTTGCTCCAGTTCCCAAAAATTTCCTCATCTCCATCTGAGACCATCTCATCCTGGACTTCATTGTCCATATTACTATCAGCATTTTGGTCAAAACCATTCAACAAGTCTCTAGGAAGATCCAAATTTTTCTGCATCTTTCTGTCTTCTTCTGAGCCCTCCAAACTTTTCCAGTCTCTGTCCATTACCCAGTTCCAATGTGGCTTCCACATTTTCAGGTTCTCTTTATAGCACCACCCCACTCTACTGGTACCAATTTACTGTATTAGTCCATTTTCACCACTATAAAGAATACCAGAGACTGGGTAATTTATAAAGGAAAGACATTTAATTGACTCACAGTTCCACTTGACTGGGGAGGCCTCAGAAAACTTACAATTATGGTGGAAGGCAAAAGGGAAGCAAACACCTTCTTCACAAGATGGCAGGAGGGAGAGAGAGGAAGGAAGAACTGCCAAACGCTTATAAAAATATCAGATCTCATGAGAACTCCCTATCATGAGAACAGCATGGGGGAAACCACCCCCATGATCCAGCCACCTCCGACCAAGTCTCTTCCTTGACACATGGGGATTACAACTCAAGTTGAGATTTGGGTGGGGACACGGAGCCAAATCACATCATTCACATACGCTTTCACAGTGCCCATCAAATACCCCATTTATGTAATCTGTATCCTAAACCAGCCTATGCACTCTAATATGCTATCAAATTCTCATCTGATGGTGAATTATCCCTTAAAAAGAGTGATTTTCATAGTTTTGAAGTAGGGCCATTATTTTTGGCAAGAATTGTGTAAGAAGCTGATTGCTGGCAAGTATGATTTGGTGAGCTCCCTTGGAAACCCAGAGCCTAACTGCCAATGTGCCTTACACACCCCCATGTCCCTACCATCCACTTCGACCCTGCTCTTCTTTATAAGCCATTCTCTTTAACCAAGCATGAGGCTTCCAGGGGGGCTACAATAAAAGGCAAGTCTCCCCTGCTTTGTAATCGTCTCGACCACAATCATTTGTGAAATAAGAACGGTGTCAGATTACTCCTCTTCTTCTTTTGTGGTTATTGTGTTCATCACTAGAGTGTGAGCTCCCTGAACACAGGCACTTTTGTCAGTTTCACCCACTGTGGTATCTGACATGTTAGAAGGATGCCTGGCACAGAGGAGACATTCAGCAAAGATTCGTGGAATGAAGATCACATTCATACATAGGAACACCTTAGAAAGTGGGACCCAGGGCACACAATTTAATGGTTAATATTGTAGATTTTAGGGAAAACTAGTCCTAGATTTGAATACAAATCATTTCTCTTAGTATTTATGTGTCCTTAGACTTTTATTTAACCCCTAAACTAGTTTCTTTTTATAAAAGACAGATAATAGGAGAAATTCTCACTATTGGGAAGATCATAAGAGATAATGTTTATAAAACAACCAATGTGGTACCTCACATATAGCAAGTGCTGAATAACCTGTAGGTATTATCATTATTATTAATACCAAGTGGGGGAGAAGGAAGGCATCACACTTTAAGTCTGAGCATGGGAGGTGCTGGGGCAAACCATAATTAATGGGGAAGCACTGTATTAGAGCAGAAGGAAGCAAGAGAGACCCCAAAACTTCCCCACTATGTCTCCAAAGTGGCTGTCTGAATTAGGATTTTAGAAAGAACTAAGGCATGTGACCTCCATATGTATATTTAAAAACACATAGGTAGGTATATTTATAAAATGAATATTTATTTTTACACCAACATATATGTAGATGTATGCAAAAAGTAAATTAAAACCATTTGCATTTGAAAACATTTGAAGAATTTCACAAAGGCTTTGAGGTTCTGTGGGTGGGCCGAGAGTTGTGGGGGTAGGTGTGAGGGGGGAAATCCCAGAATGTCACAAAACCAGAGATATGGGGTCCATGCTCTAAACACCTGACACACCTCAGAATTTCAATAATATCCAATTATCTTCATTTGCACCAGATGAAGGAAATGAAATTGAGTATAATACCTCTGCTATGTTAAATGTTGTTTGTTTTTCTGTTTGTTTTGAAATGGAGTTTTGCTCTTTTTGCCCAGGCTGGAGTACAATGGCACGACTCAGCTCACTGCAACCTCCATCTCCTGGGTTCAAGTGATTCTCCTGCCTCAGCCTCCCAAGTAGCTGGGATTACAGGTGGCTGCCACCATGCCTGGCTGATTTTTGTATTTTTAGTACAGACAAGATTTCACCATGTTGGCCAGGCTGATTTGAACTCGTGATCTCAGGTGATCCTCCTGCCTCGGCCTCCCAAAGTGCTGGGATTACAGGCGTGAGCCACTGTGCCTGACCTCACATTAACTGTTTATTGGCCTCATGGCCAGGTAATTGATCTGAAACAGATAACTTGCTACCTAGCTGCAAAGTAGAAAAATGCGTGCAGTGTTTGTGGCAATGACAGAGTTCTGTGAAGGGTTTGGCTATTTCAGACACATGGCATGATCTGTGTGGAAAGAGAGATGTTTGTCTGTATTCTGAGACCTCAAAGGTGTAAGCCATTGGACCACTCTTGTTTTCCAAACATAAGACACATTGGCCTTAAGGAAGCAGCCCAAATGACATGATGTTATCTTGCTTTAATCAGTGTACAATGTAGAAAGAATTCAAGATGGGCATTCTATTCCCATACTTCCAGCACTGATGGCACACAGAGCCCTGGACATTAATTTAGCCTCGAGTATTTCGGTTTCTCCCAGGCAAATGGAAATAATGCCTTTGCTACTTGTATTATAGAACTTTTGGGAAGATTAAGATGATGGGTACAGAAATACACAGACCAAAAGAATTTGAAGGTTGTTAGTGAATTTTTTGCTTTCTTCCTCTTACTAGTGGCGGCTTTCTTGTTCTTCCTTCTTGTCCTCTTTCTCCCCCTCTCCCTTCTCCCTCCTTCTTGCTTTGTTGGGCCCCTTATCCTTTGGGAAGGAAAAGTTGGTGAATGTTGTAATAAAAATAAATGAGTTCCCAGTGGGTTGGCCTCACTTTTTCCACCCTCATAATAGACAGGAGGGAAGGTATCCCAGAGATCATCTAGTCAGTTGTCATTTAACTGAAGAAACTGTTTCTAATCCTAAATAAATCTTATGTAGAATCTGGTATATATAATGTTTTTAAAAGAAGTGCTCTATTTTAAATGGGAATCCAAGGATGGAAAGTGAGTTTACAGCGTTCCTGTGTAGGACTTCCCCCAAACCACCAAGTTTTACAGAAAACAGCGCAAAACAAAAGTTTCTTCTCCAACCTTCTCATTTGACATAGGAGAACCTAGAGGATCTGAAGGGTAAAATAACTTGAAGCTAAAGAAAGAATACCTTGTGAGCAGGCCCGTTCAATGACTGAAACTGCCATGGAAATTCATTGCCTAGTGTCTGTGTTAAGGGAAGAGAAGGGCTGGAACACATTATGACTTATGAAATACCATAAGATTGTGAAACCTTCATTCATGGTTTGCTTTGCCTAAAGCAAGTCAAACTCTCCCTTGGCCTTAGTTCTTCATGTGCAGAATGAAAGGGTTGATGAAATGAGCTCCAAGATCCTATAATTCAGGAGTTCCAGCATTCTTCTTCTTAATGAAGAAAGGCCTCCATAGAAGCAAAATACAGTACAGAAAAAGACTCTTCAGATTCCTACAGCAGGTATACTCACCCACAATATTTTCTGAATGCCTATCCTGTGCCAGCCATGGTTTTTAGGTATCTGACACAGCTCCGTGAACAAAGTAGAAAAAAAAATGCATTGGTAACATGCAGCTAAAATTCTACCCAAAGTCAGGTTTTTGTGAGATTTTTATACCAATTTATATCAATGAAGTACTTTTGGCAGATCCGCTACACTTACCCACTGATGGTGGCCATCTCTAGTAAATAATGCCGATGTTTTATGAAGCGTGTACTTGTGCTGGGGGATTTACATATTTTACTTTATTCTTTACGACAACCCTATAAAGTGGGTGTTATTACTCTTTTTACAGATAAGGACACTGAAGCTCAAGGCATTTGCACAAGCTGCCTAAGGCTACTTTTAAAAAGTGTGAAGAAGTTAGGATTTGCCCCAAATCCCCTGACAACTCCTTTGTGTTCTCATTCTTCTCCCTCAGCAACCGATGCCCTCAGCCAATGGAAAAGCCAGAGATATACTTCCATGGAAAAAAAAAGGGACCATTATAAAGAGTTGCATTTAAAGAAACTCTGTTGGGTAGTTAATTTAAGTGAATTCAACATAGACTATTATAAGTAGTCTAGAAAATACACTGTGTTACATATGCCCCTTTGCTTTTTGAGCTGGGATGAAAAAATAAGATTTCTGGGGGTAAAGAAGCCTAAAGCCATGGCATCACTTGGTCTTCTCCATGGAACAAACTCCACTGCTGCATTAATATTGAGTTGATCTTTAGCGACTGTAATGCCTGCATAACATTTGGTGTCCAAGTTATGGTTCCATTCTGGTTGCCTGACTTCCTTGTCTCATTGTCTCTGAGTTGAACACGTCAGTTTGTTTTGTAGTCCTCTGTTTATTGATCAGACCCTGTCATCTCCAAGATGGTCCTTACATGCAATTGAACCCTCCACCTTCCAGACCCTCCTATCCACCTCTCCACAACCTCTGGGCACCCTTTCACCTGGGCTGTCAGAATAATGAAGGCTTGATTTCAATACTTTCCCTCATTTCTCTGTTCACTGCTCTGCGGGTTAATGCAGATTCCAAACTTCAAGAAGCAGCTGTTAAACATGTCATTAACACTGCTTCGGCTGCAAATGAGACTCTGCTACTGGGATTACTCCGTGAGCTATAGTTTTGTGATGAGCTTTGTCAATCACAGCTGACCTGCTGTGTACCGAATGGAACTTAGATTATCTTCTTTCTTCCTCTGACTCTTGTCATTTTTTTTCACAAAGAATTACTATTCTACTCCCTGAAAGATTGATTACTTCCACAAATAAGAGAGTCTGAGACATTAATACAAAATTCACAGGCTTTTCTTTATCTCAAACCTGCAACTCCCTCTACATTTCCTCCTGGTAATTATATTAGAATTGTGTACACTAGGAATTGCCATCTGATTATTATGAAACTAGTTTTGTCATGACAAAAATGAGCTTAAGTCGTGTTTTTTTGGAAAATGATCAGTACAGTGCACTGGATGAGAGAGAAGGAGATTAAATCCAACTTGCTTTCATCCATGAATGCTTTCATCTCTTTTTCAAACACAGGAAATGATTACCACTGCTATAAGCTGCAGTTCATATGAGTGAAAAGGATAAAGAAATATTGAAAATTCTGTAACCAACAGTAGGACATAATATAGGTCTCTGGCACCCACTGTGCGACATGTACTTTATTTTTCTATACTGCCAATGTCAAGAGTTTCAGATTTGAAAGGGAGTCTTACCTTGAGGTGTAACATTATGGACTGAGGAATAAACAAATTGACTTTTTAAAAGAAAAGCTTAGACAAATTTTTAATAGACAATTAAAAAGAAGGTAGTACTTACAACCTCTAGTAACTATTAGCTGTAGTGAAACATTGGCTCATGTTTATAATTTGTAAGAGAGAGAAGGTAGAGCCGTCATTCCATCATAGTGTATTTTCTAATGTATCGTCAAGTATACAAAAGATTCTTCAAGAGCAGTGATCACAGCCTATTTGCCTTTATATCCCTGATATCTAGTATGTTGTTAGCTAGGTAATGGATAATGAAGTGAGTGAGTGAATGAATGAGTGTTCTTTGGGTGAGTTATCCAGTGTCATTTTGAGACTGAAGAAATAAATGTGGTTTTAGTCATTCACATGCAAAAACATTGACTGTGCACTTTCTCTCTATTTCATACACACGCACACATGCCCTTGCAATGCTTATACTCTAATTTACATCCCAAATTACACTCCACAATAGGTCTTATTTTTAACGAGGATAGACACTGAAACTGCTTTATCAGTTATCTAGTGCCGTTATAATACTGTGTAACAAACCACAATACCTTCAATGGCATTCAACAAAAAACATTTATTGTTTATATGCAATATATGCAATTTCTTACCAAGTAACACAATTAATGAATTAGGTTCACCTCAAAACACTAAATAATATATCTGTTCCTTACTCCAGGCAGAGACACAAAAACTGGAACCTTAAAGATGAACAGGAAATGATGGAAAACAGGAGGAGAACCATGTGATTAGACATATATAAAACTGGAAGCTTTATCAACTCCCACAGTTCCATCTGGGGTCAGCTGGGGGTTGGGTAAATGGTTCTGCAGTTCTTGGTTGGGCTTGGGGTCTGGGGATCAGCTGTTGCATGATCGACGATGGCTTCCACTTAGACAAATAGGGCAGGTTAGCTGTGCTCCACGTGTCTGTGTTTCTCCAGCAGCCCAGTCTGAGTGTGTCCCCATTGATGGCAGAGTTGTAAGAGTGAGAAACCTGTAGGCTTCTAAGGTCTTGGCCTGGAACTGCCACTTCCTCTCTACTCTATTGGTCCAAACAAAATAGACGGGGTAGAAGAATATACTCTGCTTTTGTAGGACAAAATTCAAAGTGACATGCCAAAAGGCATGGTTAGAGGGAGGGGTGAATAATTTGGCTGTTTTCATAAATTGCGCATTTGCTATTTTATGAATGCCTTTAAAATAAAGGAATATTGATCACATTGAATTGAGTGCACTTGGGGTTCAGTTTACTCCTTTCTGACCTCTAGTTACACGTGCATAAAATATAATATTGTTGTGCTCAAATGAGATAAAAGGAAGAAATGTATGTTTCTCTCATATTTGAAATCAAGAGGCATGTTCTGTTCCAGGCCACTAGCAGACACAAGCTTTTCCTCTAGACAGCTGATATTCTTTTTGCTATGTAGGTGTGAATAAAAGAGCAACAGAGATGGTGTAAAAACTGCTAATAGAGAAACAGCACAGGAGGTGGATGGAGGGTGGGGACAGTACGGGCTAAAAAAAGCAGGAATTCTCACTCCAAAATGGAAGCTTTATCAACTTCCAGTTCCATCTGAGATAGCACAAGAGAGCAAAAGAAGAGAGATGGTTTTCAATAGATCAATAAGGTGATCACTAAACTAAGTCCATGACCCAAGGTTATTTGAGTATTTCATATTTTGACTCATTTACATCTCATGAGCCCCAATAGTGCTTCTCAGTATTCAATTTTTTTCTCCATTGATTTTAATTAAGCTCACCATAGGCTAGCAACCCTGATGAACAGGAAGAGTATTTTCTATCAAAAAGCTGTGTAGCTTCTGAGGCCTGAATTCGGAAGCTCGCCTACATCTATTCAAAATGTTTTTACTTCCATCCTGTGGCACGATTCTTAAAATGTGAAATAAAGACACATTCTGCTGCTACGCCATAAAGATTTTCCACTCTGTAACTGTGAAAATTACCATATTATTCCTGATTCAGACATGTCATATGGAATCTGGGATCAGTGATAAGTGCTGTGTATACAGTAGCTTCTGTGCGGGAAGTGGCGCTTGCTGCTGTTCATGATGGGACATGCTTTCATACCTCCATTTAGATGTCTAATCACATGGTTCTCCTCTCGTTTTCCATCATTTCCTCTTCATCTTTAAGATTCCAATTTTTGTGTCTCTGACTAGAGTAAGGAACAGACATATTATTTAGTGTTTTGAGGTGAACCTAATCCATTAATTGTGTTACTTGGTAAGAAATTGCTGCTCTATCTTTATGACAAGGTATCTCAAGGCAAAAATCAGAGCCATTTGAATGATAGCTTTAAGAGGAAAGTGGGGCAATGTCAGTCCATAGGAAGTGTTTTCAGAGCACAAGGGACTTCTTTATATAGTCCATCTATTTAATAAGTGCAATAGTGTATATTCTAACAATGGCTTAGCATAGAAAATGAAAAACGTGGGTCCAATAGAAATCAGAACAATAGGACAAGTCATTTGAATGCAGTGTTATCAAAAGCCACTGAGTAATCTTACTCAGCCATATCATTCTGGGGAAAAAAAAGGAGAAAGGAAGGAAGAAAACAAGGAAAGAGGAAACCAACTGATCAACCAAAACTCTGATTATAAAGTTATGTTAATTTTTTAATATAGAAAACTAGTTATCTATTGCCACATAACAAATTACCCCCAAATTTAGTGTCTACAAAGAATAACATTTATTACCTGAATGTTTCTTAGGTCAGGAATCTGGGTACAGCTTAGCTAGGTATGTCTTATTCAAGGTCTCTCCTGAAGCTGTAGCCAAGCTGACAGCTGGGACAGTGGTCTCATCTGAAGACTCTACTGGAGAGGGGTATGGGAAGGAGAGTGTGAATTTGTTTATAAGTTCTCTCGCCCCTGGTCCCTCACCACACAGACTCACAACATGGCAGTTGGCTTCCCCAAGACAAGTGTTCCAAGAAAGAGCATGACAGAGCTTGAGAAGGAAGCAAGTCTTTTTAAAACCTAATCTTGAAAGTGACATTCCATCATATTTGCTGTATTCTGTTAGAAGCAAATCAGTGTCTTTCTCATTGTCAAGGGTGGCAGATCACAAGGCCTGACACCTGGCTGGTGGGAATCATTGGCAGCCACATTCATAGGTACCTACCCTATGCATAAAGGCACAAAGACGAGCACTTAGAAAACCCATCTGTAATCTTATCACCCAAGGAGAGTTATAGTTAAATTTTTAGTACATGCACATACAGATATTTATCAATACATTGAAATCCATTTGTATCATTTTCCTCAAAGAATTAGTTCATACCATATGCAACTTTCTGAAACCCCTCACTTAATAATGGGCTATACAGTAAAACAAAAAGCTTTTCATAAATCAACTAATGCATATTTATTTTGAAAACAAAAGCAAAATCCAATTGATCTATAACCTCACTACTTGGACATAACTACTATTGGCCTTTTATAGTACTTTCATCTCTTTTTTCATGTTTATCTGTCTATAAATACAAACACCTAAACACAAATGTTATCTACTATCATGCCCTTGGTAACCTGGGTTCTTATGTTGCTCTCAAAGAAAGCTGTGGTTAGCAGCACTCACTGTGGAAGGACATCCAATCTCTGCAGAAAACAATTTATATTTATTGTTAATATCATAGTTGTTACACATTGAAGAGCTTGACTAAACTGCCATTTTACATTTTGTCAATATCTTATTTTGAGGTGCAGTATTAAATATATTTGATAGTTAAAGTTAAGGAAAATACAAATTTATTGTTCAAACAGAAAATACCAATATTTCAACAACAGTGATTCAGATAATGTTCCATTATGCTTAAAAAGTTAAAAAAGGAGACAACTCAAAAATAAAAACACAAATACAACTAAGTGTAGAAATAAATGCGAAATTAGCACTTTTGTTTCTGCAAGATATCTTGTGTCACACTAATTTGTTAAATGCAAGTTTATCGATTGGTGGTTTTGTTCGTGCCTGAGTCAAGTTGAATAAAGGTACAGGAGGTTGTGAGTATAGAGTTTAGATGTAGTTAAATCTTTGTATTATTTAAATGACTTTGTAATAAAAAATAATAATGATTGGCTATCCATGAGAATTTTTCCCTTTAAGGAATTGTGAATTCATTACCAACATGCCCATTTTATTGCTAATATTAGGCTCGTATTTTGGACAGTTTCTGCCTTTGCATATAACATCTCTCTCTTCATTACCATTGCCCACAAAATCTTAATACTTACTTTCTTCTTTATTTTTGTCTTGAAAAATCTATAAGCTTTGTTAAGATTGCACTGGCTAATGATATTTGCTCCCCTTTCCTGATAATTGAAACTATATATGTAATATACATGCATGATCAATCTACTAAGAACTACTATTCCAAAGTCCCCGGTCTAATGAAACACACATTCTAGAAGGGGAGATTGTGTGTGTGTATTTTCCTTTGTGAGTATATATGTGTGGGTTTTGAGTATTGCTAAAGTGTATTAAAGTGTTAGGTAATGATAAATTCAATGAAGAAAAATAAAGCAAGCGACACAGCTAATCCAGTGAGGTTTGACTATTCCTTATCTGACCCCAGGTCCCCAGGATGGACAGCCATCCTGTTTGGTAAGGAGTCAGAGGCAGCTATACTCAGTATGCTCTCAGTTCTCAAACCTGGCTGCACACTGAAAACACATGGAGGGCTTTAAAAACACTGTGCTTGCATAGACAGAAAGATGGACACAGTAAACGTTGGGCACTCCAAAAGGGAGGAGGAAGGGAGGGGCTAGTGTTGAAAAACAATGGGTACTATGTTCACTATTTGGATGATGTGTTCCCTGAAGCCCAAACTCTAGCATCAGCCACTATACCCATGTAGCAAACTTGCGCATGTACCGCTGAATCCAAAATACAATCCAATAAAATAAAATAATAAAAATGCTGTGCCTGGATCCTGTCTCCAGAGGTTCTGTTGTGATTGGCCTCGGGTGTTCTGGCCTGAGCAGTGGGATTTTTAACAGCTCCTTTGCCAATTCCAAGAAGTCAGACTCCTAAAGTCTGAAGCTCTCCAGATGACGGCATTTGTAAATTGGCTTTTAGTGTAGATGGATGGTGCCAATCTCCTGCTTACAGCTCTCCAGTGGCTCATCAAGGCCCATGGTGGTGTTTCTCAACCCTGCCTGATAGCAAAAATCACCTGGGGTGCTTGTTAAATGTCCAGATCTTTAGAATCTCTTCCCTATCTACTAAATCAGAGTCTCCAGGAACAGAGTCAGTGGGTCATCTCAGCTCTTCTTAACAAGCAACCTGGTTGATAACATCTGGCAAATTTTAACAGCCTTCTCAAAATTATTGCCTGAATTCCTTCCATGGCATTCAAGGCCTATGAATCCAGCTTCAAATGTCATCCTTTAAGCTATGCCAGACTGATTACTATTTACAGATTGCAATGCACTCTTATAATCTCCTGGTTAGAAACTTTTGCCAAAAACACTTTGTCAGTTCGGTGTTTACAATTTGTAGCAAGTGGCAGAGGGATTTTTTGGTAAAAGGGAAGAGGCTATTTTGGAATACATACTGGGTCTCTCACAGAGAATTCATGAAGAGAATGGTTTATCAGCCAACAGTGGGTTTGTTCATAGCACTGTGCAATATTTTGTGCCTATCTCTTTTTACTCATGAGGAGCTTTGCTCCCACTAGGCTGCTGAAGCTTTTTCTTATCATCTTTTGATGATCTAAGGGACCTCGTTTGTAATGACAGAATACTAAGTTTAGATGTATTTAGTTTCATAATTTGAAAAGTATTTTTTTAAACCATGGAAGCTCATTTGTTTTTCCATTACCCAAGTAGATTGGAAAACAAGGGCCCATCATCATTTAATGGAGAATCTGAGGCCAACAAAACCCAGAGAACTTAAGAGGATTATACCAGGTTGCACAGCTGGCCAGCAGCTGAGTAGAGTCTAGATTTCTGTACATTCTCATTCCCTAGTTTTTCTACCTCGTTGAGAATTGATTCTCTCCCTTTGTACCATTTATAAATGATTCCCACTATTTACCTGATGGTCTTTACTTGGTGTACAGCTCATGAATGCTATTTTCCTCTTAAAACTTAAAATAGGCTGCTAAGGTTAGATGGTAATGGTGTCCTTTTTAATAATAAATTAATGTGGGTATTACTTTATCATACTTAATTAGAAATCATGAGATTATTTTGGAAATTTGTGGATTATAGAGCAAAGTAGAAGGTTTACATCTAGGGAAGAAAGAGATGAAGTGTTTATTTTGTTTTTCTTAGATAAATACTTCATGTAGGTCTGAATGGTCAGATGGGATGTATAATTCAGCTTGCTGTGGGAGATGATGGAAACTTTTCACTCTGAGGCAGTAGGGAAGATCACTGTGGCTGCAGGACCTTGTAGGAGAGGGAAAGAGATAGTGTGGTAATGCCAAAGAAAACCAGACCTTTCAAGAGATTTTTTTTCCACTGAATTGCTTTTATTATTTTATCATAAGATTTGGGTTTTTTCCTTTTTTTTCCACCCAGCTAGAAGTGGATGCATGCAAGAGGTGTGAGAGAAGAGTCAAGCAGAATTCTGTAAAGTGGGCTGTTGACTTGGTTTTATCCTTTTTGGGGCAGAGGTTTGAACTCATCAGCCACAGTCAGGATTTAACTTGTTTAGGCATCAGAGTAACAGCTCTTAGCAGGAGGTTCCTCCCCCCTTCTGCCTAGAACGCTCACCACTGTGTGTGTGTGCCTCCTCATTTTCCTCCCTCAGGTCTGAGCTTACGCTCACTTGCTCTGAGAGTCCTGGCTGTGCTTGCAACTGTGTCCCTGTTCCTGGGCCTTATAACCCCCTGCTCTTTCTCTTTGTGCCACTCAGCCCTATTTGTAGCTAAGTAATTATTTGATAATTTTATGTCTTTCCTGGTAGACTTCCAGTCCACAAGAATATGGATCGTATCATTTCCCTCCAGTATTGTATTTTCAGTGTCTAGAGCAACAGCAATTATGATTGAGTGAATAAATGAATGAATAAGTGAATGAATGCTTTTCACTGAAATGCTATTCACTCTCCATTTGAAATGCACTTTTCCTGTCCTTTCTCTCAGAGAAATGAAAACAAAACTCTTAGTACTCTTTGAGGACTCTGTTTAGATATCATATTATTTTTGTTCTTGTGGAAATTTTCTGCATTTTCTTCTGGAATAGAAAAAAGTAATCTTTTTCATTTCTGCTCATTAAGCCTTTGCATATCTCTCTATAATCATAAGGCAACAGTACATACTATAAAACTTAGGAGTTTTATTTTTCTGTTCCCCTGCAACCTCCACACTGTGGTCTACTTAATGGCTGAATGTGTTTTGTTAATCCATATTTTCCTTTAGTGGGTGATGAATAAAGATACATCAACATTTTGAATCGATGGGTAAAAGGACAATTGGGAAAAAACTCTGGGGAGCAGACTGGATCTAAAACAGATGCAGATACAACAAAGTATCGAACTGTCTAGCAAGACGAGAGACTTCCGGATATGTAATATTTTGGAAGAATATGGTTTTAGATTTTTGTAGGTGCTCTGCACTTTGGAAACTTCATATAATTACTTGAAAAGGTACTGATGCAGGTTGAAGACAAGCTTCTCATAGCTAACTGATTTTGAATTAATGATATTTCCTATCTGAGCTCCAATTCTTCACATGTAAACTACTTCTTATCTCTTCTGTAAATGCCTACTTCTTATGATAAATCTTTCATAATTTATTGTATTCGGACTATATCATGACCCCTTTTCTGACGAAGTTGGGAGCTGCCTGTTACAATCAATGATCAGTATCCATGCCCTGTTTGTGATTAGTGCGTGGTAACTTTATGTAAACTGCACAATGAAGGCTGATTACACTTTGTCTCAGAGCAATTGAAACAGTGATATCATGAGTCTCTATACCAAGGAGCCACATGAATTTCACTTGGCTGGTGAGAAATAGTGCAGCAAATGTATCCACTCTGGATCCTTCTGTGCCACTGTTTGTGCCATTAGGCATTTTATTATAAAGTAGTTTAATTTTGGAGCTCAACCTAAAACACACACACACACACACACACCTTTAGCTTGTCGAGTATCAAAAACACTTTCCCATAAAATGCCCCTTCTTTTTTTAAAAAAGAAAAAAGAGTAATATTTAAGCCTGTTTGATGATGGATTTTTAGAGTTTTACCAATTCTTAACCTTTACTGAGTTTCTCTTATTGTTTCATTTTTTTGAATCTTACTGCTTTGGGTTTATTACTGCTTCTGCCCTGAGTACTTTTTAACTCAGTCTGTGTATTTCTGCAAACTTATTGGGGGCGGAGGGTAGTGGTAGTGATAGGGACAGTCAGAAGTGGTGAGATGAGAGGCAGAAAGAGATGAGAGGCAGATGAGCTAGAGGCAGGGCTGACAGAAGAAACCTAAGGACTTCCCAATGTTCTCTAAACAGCAGGCTTTGGAGCTCTGATACGAGAAGCTCAGCATCAGTGCTAGCAGTAATACCAAATAACTTAGCGAAAAGTTAAAACATTCTGCAGTTCTGCTTATCAGCTTTGAGCCCCATGGTCCTTGCTAACAAGAGGGATAAAACAAAAATTTTTTAAAATAATAAATACAAGGACATTTGGTGTAGTGTGCACACCAAGAAAGATACCAGAAATTTGGTACACTATTCTGCTCGGCCTTTGCATACTAATGAAAATAAATCATTATTCTGATAAATGAAGGCCATTTCTCCTGCAGCCTTTCAGGGAGAACACTGCACCTGACACTCTCTTTGAAGCATTTGGAAGTCTGAACACTCAATTTCTTGCCACTGCCAGCTTTTGAAAATTGGCCTCTCCCCTCCTTGGGATTTAGCCGCAGAGTCAGCAGTGACTCCACAAAGCCCTTGCACATTGGGGGTTTAAGGCCGAGGAAGGGGCTGGATTTTTCAGGAGTAAGCGGAATCTTAATGCCCTCACCGCAGATGGAGAGAGGAAATGAAAATATATACCTGAGCATATTAGTGCATCGAGGGGGCTCCTGTCTCAGACTTGTCTTCAGCCAAAGAGGGGTCGTCCACACTAATAACTGTGATCATACCAAAATTATTCAATGCCAATTTATTTACTTACTTCCCCCCATCAAAAAGACAATGCATCGCCAACAAGTCACAGACAATTCTTTTCCTGTAAAGGTTGGGGTGCTCGATGTACATTCAGAGCCACGCACGCGAGTGCGAAGAAGTCGACTACCACAGCTATTTAATCAGGAGTGTTTGTTGATTTGAGCAGAGGCCCTATGCTGTGAAATGAAAACAGAAAACCAAATTTTCTTGAGCAATCTCGCTGTTCCTGCTTCAGGTGCTAGGCCATTTCACTAAAGCAGCTCAGACGAGAATGTCATTAGTTCTTAAGCCCCAGGTGAATTTGCCACTGTTCCACATGATTAAGCCAGATAATTGTGTGTTGATAGCGAATGTGGTTGGTGAAATACAATTTCTAGGGCCTTCCTAAACAAACACAATGTAGGAGTGAGTCAGAGAGCTGTCATTTCAGTCCTTTGTCACAGGTTTTGCACGGGCAGACATCTCTGGCAAGGGCCGGCTAGCAATTCAGTGGTGACGGCCATCCCTGGGCTCTTAAAGGTGACCTGGCTTGAAAAGGGAATCACACATCATTCTGCATTTGTTTAGGGAAGAAGAAAAAAGGACATCTCATTAAAGTGCCAAGATACAATGCCGGCTCCTACGTGCACCTTGTTTTGGACCCTGAATGTAAAAGATCACTTTCAGCGTGTTTTAAAAAGCATTCGTGATTTCAGCGATCCTTTCTGAAATGTGTAAAAATACCATCGTCTCCAATGATAAAAACAACAACAACATCTGCCGATGGCAAAATATAGTCAACTTTCAGGGCCAAGTTTTTGGAAGCAGCCAATGCGTTTGCATGTGTGATTTTCTTTTTCACATATAAGTTTCTGTGGATACAAAAATATATGTTTGTATGTACTGATCAGGTGTCTGTGTCTTAAATTTACATAGCTATGGTTTCCCTGCACCTAAATATTGAGGCTTTTAAAATTTGTAGTGTGAAGGTATAAAGCTTTTAATTTGTTGTTGGTGGCATTTGGCATGATATCTTGGGTGGTTTTATTACTTGTATTTTTAAAGCAAATATACTTAAATTTTCAAAGGGATCACTTCCTGTCAATATGTATATTGTTTCCCCACTTTTCTCCCAAGTTAATAAACAACTACAATGATAATACCATATATTTTGATGGTTTTTCTTTTTTTTTCTTTTGGTCTATAACGTGCTCAGCTGATCCTTACAAAAGAAGACTGCCATTGACTTCTGAAGAAAAACAAAAATAAGGTTAAAAATGGATTCCAAACTAGAGATTGGAAAAACAATAGCCCCTTAATTGGCATGAGAAATTACACACATCCGAAGTGTGTACAGATGTTGTGATGGGGGATGGTTACTGATATGGCAGCTTTCAATGTCAGTAACAATACTCGAAATCATTACTGTGAAAAACCCATCACAAAACCACAGAGCATTTGTACTCATGGAGTGCCGCCTCTGTCCAAGAAGCCTTTTCTCTCACATATCCAAGCCTGAACACCTCCAAGGACAGGGAGGTAGATCATTGCCTTGGGGCATAGATGTATGTACGGGTGCTCCTTCAAGACAACCACCTGTTGATGAGCAGAAATGAGTTGAGTGTGACCCAAGGCTGTCTCTCAAATGCCTCTGATATTGCAGCCACCACTCCCACAGTCTCTGCCCCAGTGGATCAGGACTCCTCAGAGTCAAGGGTTTCCCCTGAGTGAATTCTTTCTGCCAGCCATCCTTGCATGTCTTGGTCTCTTAGCTCTTCCAAATTCCTCATGAAGAAACTTGTTTTTATTATTGTTCCCTTTGTTAAGGGAGTTGAAGACAAGGCTTGAAGGTCCAATTGGAGGGTAGGAGACATAAATAATTCATGATGGCATTGTCTCTAAAGGAGAAAACCTCCCCAGCTCAACAACAGAATTGGTGGTGCATTTTTGTTTCCTTTTAGCAGGTGGTAGTAGCCCTGATGGAAGTGGCTGCCAGCCAAGAAGAAGGGGAAATGGCATGGTGTCTATAACTTCTTTACTTGTCTCTCCTTCAGTTAGATCACAAAGGAGCTGTGCAAATTAACCTTAAGCTTGTTTTGGAAAGCAGGTTGGCATGGTCTTGAAACACTTAGGTTATCATATCAACACAAATAGCTAGTCATCGGGCAATACTCAGACTTGAAATAGGGAAAGCATCACCCTTGGACAGAATTCCCGACATCAGCTGTGCCGCTGACTAGTGCCATGGCCTTGGGCAACTCAGTTCATCAACATGTTATTCAGTTTCCTCATTTGGGTGAGGTTACCTCACATTTATTTCTATTCTTTAAAGTCCATGATTCTTTAAATGTAAGAATGAACCTTTAAGTTTAGTAGAAGTAGAACTAGGGATGGTGAAGGTGGAAACTTTAAAGGCTCAGGGGGCAGTGAAGAATGCAAGATCCCAAAGTGGGACGGAGAGCCATTGCTGCCTGGGGCATGGTGTGAGCTGTTCAATGGCATAGAAGATGCTGGAAGCAAGAGCAGGCTAATATCATTTGGCTGATCCTGCTAGCAAGATGATGTCTGACCCAATCCAGATAGTGGAAACACTTCTTTCAAAGATCAACAAATTCAGTGAGATGAGGGAGGCTTGGTATGTGAAAACATTGGTAACAGCTTGAAGCACTGCAGAGAGTAAGTGAGTATGACTAGAAGGTGGTCTGGTTGCCTACAGAACAAGGTTGTCACTAAGGTTGTTATATTATTAGAAATTGTTACTCTATAGATGAAGTGGGATCAGAACACAGTCTAGAAGATAAACTGGGACCATTTTTCACATTAAAAGGTGGGGTGGTTGAGGGAGTAAAGCATCTGTTAGACGTGGGAATGCTGACATTCTGGCATTACAAAAAATTCCCCAGTCTTTTCATGGGACCATGTAGTGCTAAGCAGAAAGGTGTGTGTGTGTATATATATATGTGTGTGTGTCTGTGTGTGTCTGTGTGTGTATTTCGAGAGACAGGGTCTGACTCTGTTACCCAGGTTGGGGTGCAGTGGCACTATCATGGCTTACTGCCTTACTATAGCCTGGACCTGCTGGGCTCAAGCAATCTTCCCACCTCAGCCTCCTCAGTAGCTGAGACAAGTGTTCACCACCATACCTGGTAAATTTGTTCTATTTTTTTGTAGAGATAGGATCTTGCTATGTTGTCCAGGCTGGTCTTGAGCTCCTGGGCTCAAGCAATCCTATCTCAGTCTCCCAAAGTGCTGGGACTGCAGGTGTGAGCCACTGTGTCCTGCCAATATTTTAATAGTCAGTGAAAAATGTTCTTGAAAATAAGACTATAGATGCAGAAAGTAGAAAGCACTAAAGTCAGCTTTGTAATTCGCCTTAGGCGTGCTTACATGAATCGTTCAGATTGATATACATTTCGCAGCACACATCTGAAAAAGAAAATTTCCCGGGCCCTTTATTTGCACATCTCAGGAAACCTTTCTGTTAGTGGCTATGGCTTCGAGCAGGTGGGACTCCACAATTGGCAAGGTGAATTCCATTGGGAATCTTGAAGCTCCCCTTCTGAAAGGGCGGTGATCTGCATGCACAGACTTGCCGCCTGCTGCCTGCACATGTCAGCCTCGTGATGGAGCAGAAATGCACTGAACCAAGGGGTAAACAAAGTCGAAGCTGGAGCCAAGTTACTGGTCCAATACTTGAGTGTTTTTGTTCACAAAGTGCAGCCCATGTTTAATGTAGAAAGAAGAGAGATGCAGTTGTTCCCTAATGGAAGGCTGTAATAGGACAATTCGGGGTATTGTACTTGTCCACTGAGTGAATGGGGCTATAACCACATGATTTCTATTAACAAAAAAAAAAAAAAAAAAAAATGGCAGGAGTGCTGTTAAACTCTCCTGCTCTGCACAGAATGCATCTCTTACCTCTTTCACCCATCCACTGTGCCCACTCCTAGCCTCACCCATATAAGTCTATTAATGCTACTAAACTAGGACATGTGAACTTTGGGGAAATGGTTGCATTTTTCCCCCAAATAGGGTCATTAGGGGCCTTTAAAACAGTCTCTGTAAGCAAGACTAAAACCTAATCCCATCTCAATGATTAGATTCCATCCTGCAAAGTACTTCATTGAGCATCACTACTGTGAGTTTTTTTAGATGTAATTTTGGTGGCTCAGAAATGCTTTTTTTTTTCTTGTTAAGTGATTGCAGCAAAAGGAAAGGAAATATTAGTGGCAGCCAGCATTTAAAAATGAACCATTGTGGCCCTTAACATTTTATAAGTAATCATAAATTTCAGCTGACAGCTTATTTCTTGATTCCTTTCTAATTAGAGACTTAATAATATATATTTCTTGAAGACAAAAGTGGTCTGGGCTCTTACGAATGCCAGAAGCTTTGCTAAAATAAAACAACTGAGGCCAATGTCAAACATAGGACAGTTTCACTGCATAAGAGAGTGTTATAAGAGGTCCTAGGCATCATGCTACTAAATTTAGGGGAAACCAGAGCGTGCTTTAATACTTTTAAATAATTGTGTTCAAATAGCCTTGCTCACTCCTTAAACAGCTAAATCTTTTTAATGCCTCTCAAAAAGGGTTCCAAATGGATTTAAATGGATTTGATGAATGTGAAATTTCCCTCTCTACTTGTAATTTTTCCAGAAATAGTGCAATTAATTTGATTTGTGCATAGGTACAAATCATTAGTAAATTGGGTGCTTGTATTTTAAAAGGATTTGGTCTTATTTAACCCCTACAAATTAATGAGTTTTGGTCAAAAAAATCATTCTGTGAATTTTGAGTTATCAGCCCCCAGTACTGGGCTTTTGTATTTTTTTTTTTACTACTACACATCAGAAGAAATTGTGCTCAACACTCTAATGAACTGTTGTTTCCTTTATAACAAGAACTTTTAATGTGTATTCATCACAAAAGCTTTTCATCATATTGACTTATTTATTTATTTTAAGAAACAAAGTCTCACTCTGTCACCCAGGCTGGAGTGCAGTGGTGCGATCATAGCTACCTGCAGGCCAAGACTCCTGGGCTCAAGCAATCTTTCCACCTTAGCCTCTGGAGTTGCTGGGACTACAGGTGCACAACATCATCCCCAGCTGCTATTAACTCTTCTTTAGGTCAAAAGGTTTCAGGTTTTCTGTTGATTTTTCCTTTTCTTTTATTTACTAGAGCCAGTTTAGGGGTAAGCCTGGATCAATGGTTTAATTCCTCATCTTTCAGCAGGACTCAAATGTCAGGATTCAAATATTCTTTAGATAATCTCTTTCTGATTTTGTTCAAATGAGCCCTAAAACTATTTTTTATATTATTAGATCGTATTTGAGGCTTGCTAAGGATTAGAATGTGCTTCCTTGGGAAGATTTGGAATTGGGAGAATTTGTTTTTTGGGGAGAAGCTTTTGCCATTGGGAAATGATTGT
The DNA here is from genome assembly GCF_000001405.40 of Homo sapiens. Classification (NCBI taxonomy): domain Eukaryota; kingdom Metazoa; phylum Chordata; class Mammalia; order Primates; family Hominidae; genus Homo; species Homo sapiens. The sequence continues at coordinate 102,937,730 of NC_000002.12, forward strand.
AGCTCAGGTAGTTTCATGTGGCTGGAATTTACAAAGCAGAGGAGAGACATCCAGAGATATTGAGAGAGAGAGAGAGAGAGAGAGAGATATTAAAGGAGGAGTTTCCTATATTCCACTCAGCTGGAGTGATGAAATTTTGTTGCATACGTAGGACATTCACTGAAGACACCAGCAGGATAAGGCCTTATTACCATGGCTAAACTAGCACCCCAAAAGGCTACTGTGGGTTCATCCTAATATAGCTTAAAAACAAGCTTCCAAAGGATAAAAATAATTTTCAAGTAACTTAACTATCTGCCAGAACAAAATCTACCACTTTATACAAAGGGCACAAAATCTAGGCATTCAACAATGTTACAATCATAATATGCAGCATCCATGAAAAAATTACCAGACATTTGAAGACAGAAGAAACCTGGAGAAAAATAAGTCAATAGAAACAGATACATGAATGAGAGAGATGATGTAATTAGTAGATAAGGAATTTAAAATGTTGTTATAAATATATTCAATTATTTAAAAGAAAAACATGAACATAATGGAGATAGAAATGGAAACCATAAAAAGGAAGCAAATAAAACCATAGAACTAAAAAAAATACAGTATCTGGAATGAGAAATTAACTGGATGGGATTAGTAGCAGATTAGATAGTACAGAAGAAAAGGTCAGTAAACTTGAGGGCAAGACAACAGAAAATATCTGAACAAAAATGCAGAGAATCAAATGAAAAAAAAATGAGCAGACCTGTGGGATAATAATAAGTGGCCTATAATATGTATACTTCAAGTCTCAGGAGGAAAGGAGAGAGGAGGGGATATGAAATAATTGAAGAAATAATAACAAAAATGTCCAAATAGAATTAAAATTATAAATCCATTGATTCAAGAAACTTAACACATCCAAGTAGAATAAGCACTGCAGTTCATGATAATCAAGTAGCTAAAAATCAATAACAAAGTCATAATCTTGAAGTCTGCTAGAAAAAAAACTTCACATTATGTAAAGGGAAACAAAAATAAGAATTGTTGCCTATTCTGTTTAGAGACTGCAAGGCAAATGTCAATTAATTTTTTTTAATGTTGGAAGGAAAAAAAGTCAACATTAACTTTTCCTATTAAAAGTATCCTGTGAAATCGCCTTTAAAATAAAGATAAAATAGAAATTAAAAAATAATCAAAAGCTGAAATAATTCATCATCAGCAGACCTGTGCTACCAGTAATATTAAGGAAAGTTCTTTAGGCTAAAGAAAAATAATAACAGATGGAAACTTGGATTTTCACAAAGGAATGAAGAGTGCCAAAGTTGGTAAATACAGGGGTAAATAGGAAATATATATTTTCATTTGTGTGGTTATTTAAAAGACAATTCACTGCCTAAAACAAAAGTAATAACAATGTATTATGAGATGTCTAACATATGTAAATATGTGACAATAATAGCACTGAAGTTGTGAAGTGTGAAGTGCAGTATACTGTTATAAGGTTCTTATAGTACATGAGTACTGATATGATTTAAGTTAGACTGTGATAGCATAAAGATGTATATTTTAAATGCTAGAGCAACCATTAAAGGGGAAACAAAAAGATATACTCAAAAACAAATAACAAACAAGCAATAAAATAAACAAACAAAATCCCCATAAGACGAAATCACCAATAATTGTTCTACCAGGAAAATTTTCAGCAGGGAGATGTTTTGCTGGGTATAATAGTATCCTGATATATTTGTGATATTTGCATATAGACTAAAATTATCTCTAGCAGTGAATACTACTAGATTGACTGATTGATTGCAGCCTACTGATTGCTGTAGTAGGTAAAGGACTAAAGGGTAGTAATGTTGTTGATCTTGGGCAGCTCACATTGGCTTCCCAGAAAACAGTCAAAGTTTAATGAGTTTTGTTCAGATAAAGCTTGGGGGAAAGGAGGAGCCGTCTTCAAAAAACAGAACAAAACAAAGCAAAACACGGTTGTACTTCAGGTTGCAGCGGGTCCTCTCGAATTCTTTTCTGAACAATGAATTCATGCAGTGAATAAGAGAGAGAGATTGGAAACTCTTTGAGGACATGAATCCTGCTGTACTCATCTTTGTTTTCCTAGCGTCTGGCACATAGTAAATGCTAACAAATGTTGGCGTAAGCAGCTGCAATTCTTCAACTGTGTGATGCAGTTAAACTTACTCACCAAGGCCTATTTCATTGTCTTCATTTATGTTTTGTGATGACATCTAAGCGAATCAGGACACTCATTGTGTGGTGATCTTACTTGAGGCATTTAGACTCTCTTATTGGGGAATGAATGTTTATTTTCCCCAAAAATTCTTACATTGAAGCTCTTACTCCCAGTATGGCTGTATTTGGAGATAGTGCCTCTAAGAAAATAATTAAGGTTAAATGAGGTGATGGGGTGGGGCTCTGATCTCATAGGACTGTGTCCTTTAAAGAAGAAACACCAGGGAGACCATTCTTCCTGCACACACATTGAAGAAAGGCCATAACAAAACCCAGTGAGAAGGCTGCTGTCTGCAACCTAAGGGGAGAGCCCTCATCAGACACCAACCCTGCTGGCATCTTGATCATGGGCTTGCGGCCCCCGGAACTATGAGAATATACATTTCTGTTGTTTGAGCTCCCCAGTTAGGGGTATTTTGTTATAGCAGCCTGAGCCGATTCATGCATCCCTGAGCCACAGAAGCAGAGGATTCTGAAACCATTCATTTTGATGTAGTTTGTACCTTGATCCCAATTGAAGTTAGGGTAATGTTTGGTGATTTTCCCATCACTCAAGATTGGAACTGTGTGTATTCCTTAATCCTGAGAATCCCTGTGGCTCCACCAAGTATATTGGGGTTTTGGTTGGCATCTCTCCACAGAGACACTGGGCATAAAGGGAGGGTTTGTGGGAACCCATCCAACCTAGGGAACATGAAGTTACAGCTGCCTTATAGTCCTCTTTGTCCTTTCATTCATTTGTGACTTTTTCAGCTTAGGTGAATATTGTCTCAATGCCATCATTCTGCTTTTACTGCATGTTAACAGTGCTCCTGGCTGAAGAGAGTGATGTCAGTGTTTCTTGCCTATAAACCAAATGAGGTCTTGCTGTCATTCTGGCCAGACCTGCTTTTGTTTGCTAAATTCAGACAGAAGGCATCAGACCAGTGCAATCTGCTCGGTTCCTAGCTACGGGAGCCAGCAGTGTGACTCAGGGTCAGACGCATGGGTATGGACACCTCTGCTAATGAAGCTGGATCTCTTTTGCTGTACTGTATTACTATAAAAAGAGAATTAAACACTTTTGACTTTTTTCATGTAAATTAATAAATCAGCATAGGTATTTTTTAGTTACATTCATTCTTAAAACATGAAAATTTTAAATATGCCAGGTTTATTTGAGTTTCCTCACCTCTATCCTCTCTAAGGAGTATTTTCCAGTAATGTGAAGCAAAAACTTTTCAAAGAATTTTATAGTTTTCAGCCTTGCATCTCTTCCTCAGGTTACTTACCTGTGTAATAGTGGCTAAGTGTGAAAGAAAGAATAGCATTTGACATATAGTAAATGTTCAATAAAAATCACTGCTTGAGGAATAAATTATGAAATGAATTGCTATAACTCTTCAAAGCTATTTAAAAGTAACAATTCTAAACAAAACTGTCTTTGTAAGATTTTAAAATTCATAGGTTAGAAGTATTTTGATATTAAACTTTTTCTCTCAAGGTAATTTTTTTACAATGGGAAAGAAAAATCTTTATATTAATTGTGTATCTCAAAGAGCAGTTGATCTTTGGTTCCTACGTGAGCCCATTTAACAGAACAGTATGGGAAGTTGTACTAGCAGAGCTCCATTTCTTTGGCTATCTTGAACACCGGCTTATTAGGTGGGTTCACTGGTGTGAATGTATGTCTCGGTCACCACCATTTATATGCCTGCTGGCTTTTCCTTACACCCTAGAACTTTAAAGAAAATAGCAGAGGACTTAGATTCCTCCAGAAGACTCCTTTAATCACTAATGCCTGATGAGAGCTATTCAAAAGAGAAATACTCTTTTTGAAGCAGCTATTTGTAGAATGTGAGGCTACTATCTTCCTCCACACACCTCCCCCTCTCTACGTATGCATTCTGTGTCTCTAATTTGTTAGCCTTAAGTTCCTTCACCTGTAATAATCCATTAACATTTGACATGTTGGGAGATATGCATTAAGGTAGAATTTGTAAATTTGGATATTACCAACCGGGGTTTCCCAGCTCAGGGTTAAGATTTTATGCTAGACCTTAACTTGATGTAGCCTTGTTGATAGCTCCAAATGAATGCTGCATCATGGTGAGCCTTCCAGTAGTCTGGGCTAGATTTCTTAGAAAATGCACAAGCAGGAGTCTCTTTCATAATTGCCAATGACATCTTCACTTTCTAAAACCAATTCTATCATGATGCGAACATCGCACTATAAAGGGCAAGAACATGCATTAAACCAAATTTTTTGACTACCCAGACAATAGGGAAATACAACGAAGGAGGCTTATTCATTTGCAGGGTCTGTTTTGTCTCATTGCTGACATCCTGGACAGCCTGTCCCCAGAGGTAGCATGATGTCACTGGGTGTCCCAGATCTGAGTTGGCACTACAAAGCATTGACTACATCAGCAGTCACTGATGGGAGCATAACACTTTTCCAGAAAAATAGCAATACAGGAAATGGATACTCTAACCTTTTGGTTTGGGTGTTGTTTCACATAGGAATACAGACCTCCATTGTGTCCACTCTTGCATTGATAAGCCAAGAAAAGAACAAATGATTTTACTTTATTTTCTTACCCTTTCCCATTTGGAACCCCAAAGTTTTGGTCCACACTGCATTATTTTGCAGGAAAACAAAACAGAACAAAAACAAAACCTGTGCAAACCTGCCAGGAGACAGAAGGGCGGGAAGAATATTAAGCAAGGAAGAACACTTTTGAGTCGAGCTGGCAAAAGCCACTGTGTTTGCTGCAGGGGAGCAGATTAAAGTCTCCTAAACACTTCATTTCCCTATGGGGCCTGACTATATGAGAACAATTCAAGGTCCACTGCCTTGAGTGATGGAACTTCCCCTCCTCACCAGCCTACCCGCCGTGGTCTTTATCAAATTTGAATGACCTATGCTCACCAGGACAGATACATGCAGTTGCATATTGTCTAGGTATGTCAGGTATTAGATGCTGGTAGACTTTTTATGCATGAAACTATGGATAGTTAGCTCAGGATACAAATTATATTTTAATATTATCAGTGAGGTTTCAAGTAAACTCCCCAGGGTCCCCAGCTTTGACATGCTTTTGAGCTCAGAATCCAGAGGACTTCTAAAATCCACCTTGCAGTTACAACTCTGATGGAATGATCCATCTAATAAATCGTCTTGTCAGGGAGGCAACGGGCTGCAGTGCAGTGTTCAGCGTGGCATAGAGGGCTGCCTGCAACCATGTCAGAAAAACCACTCCACTCCAGGCCTGATAGAAGCAATACAATCCAATAGAAAAGTCCCAGTCCCCTGCACAGCTAGGATTGAAACCTTTCCTGTGATCACTCACTCTTCGTGGAAGATCTCAATTCTTTGAATTGCAACATTTGGGGATCTCTGGATGCCCAGAGAAGAATCTGCAACTGCAAGAGTATAATAGTCTTTCTCCCACCCTTTATTTTATTTTACTTTATTTTATTTTATTTTACTTTATTTTATTTTATTTATTTTACTTTTTTATTTTATTTTATTTTATTTTATTTTATTTATTTTGCTCTTTTTTTGTTAATCTCTGAAAGGGTCCATGAGGAAGGACACAGGCAGCGAGAGGCCTGTGTCCTGGCTGGAAAGGGTGTTTAAAACCCATTTGGAGTTTGGGTGAAGGTGAAAGTTGTCAGGCTGTGAAAAATGGCATCAGTGTTGGCTGACCTGAAATAGGGCTGTAAAGTTCTATTCCTCACAAAGGCAAGATATATTATTGCTGTAACGCCATTATTCCGCTCCATCACTTTTAAACCTTGTTCCCATTATCTGCAAGTTAAATATAACCCTATGTAAAAACAGGAAGGACAGCACTAAGTTGTCCAGCTTAACAGCATACACTTAAAACATAATAGAGCACTTGTTACTGTATTTTATGGAACGGAAACTCCAAATGTAAAGATGTATTAAGGAAATATCTCAAAGTTATTAGGGAAGGATATTTACAATTACAGATTGCTTTATATTATGCTTTTATGAACATCTCAGGAAATGAAATAGCCCTCAGCTGTAGAGAGTGAAGAGGGAGGTAATTTTCCTTAATACGGGTGATAAAATTAATCTGATTGAAATCGCTGGCGATTATTTCCCAGAATACTGAGTGGCAGTACAATCACTTACACTCTTTTATATTTTTTTAGTCAAAGCTCGTGTAGATGAAAGCTAATTACAAAGTAGT